>NC_000014.9:53248076-53551106 GCF_000001405.40 Homo sapiens
GTGAGGAAGCTGAGGCTTGGGAAAGTCAAGTGACCAGCTCCAGGTTTTACAACTAATGAGTGAGGGAGGGTAGGCTGTGCCAACTGGGAAATGACCTTGGATACCAGGAATAAGGTTTGATCCTGCAGGAGGTGGAGATCAACAAAGACTTTACTCTGAAGTGACATAATCAGAGCTGTGTTTTAGAAAGGGCACTCTAGCAGAATCATCTTTCATCTCCAACATGGTGGCTTATCTTGGCCAAACTACCCCAGTTTTCATACAGATCTAAATTGCAAAAAGGCACAAAATGCCTTGATTGACCTTCTTTCTGTTCTTTTTGTTTTCTTAAGTTGTGTGCTATATTTTTCTGCAGATTTAGCTAAGAATCACTTCACTAATGAAAAACCTTCTGTGCCTCAAACCTGACTTTTTACCACGTGCGCAACTAAATACCTTTAAAGAGACTGCTTTCAAGTCCCTGTATATTCTATCATAGTTTGTAAACACTTCTTTCCTTAGAGTTCTTTGGGCCAAAGGGTGTACAAAATGAATCCATGAAGTGTACATTATTCATGAGAATATAAGATTTATTCCACACATTTACACAAATAAATGAGACAAAATTATGTTTTAATATGTACTTAATTATGTCTTACGGATGTGCCTGAATTACCAATAAGTTCAATATAATAATGTAGGCAATCTAAAAATTTGCCACTCCTAATGTATCTTATTATGGAAACTTTTTTTAAATGTGTTTAGATTCAGCCAGTTAAAAATAACTCTTGATCTTATAAAGTGTAAATAGTCCATATTTCTTTATTTGAATAAAACTAGACTCATACACTTGTAGAATGCATAGTATTATACAAAATGCAGGTATTGATTAATTTGCAAAACTGAAAAATTAAAAATAATGTGTATAATCTTTCAATGCCTGTTGGTATGAAAATTCACTCTTGCATTTTACATTTTTGGTGAAAGATCTTGTGCACTCATGAGAACCTGCATGTATGGTGATTAAGAGCATGGATTCTGGACCCCAGGTGTGAATTCAGACAACCTACTCATCAGCAAGTTGTAATTTGACCTTGACTTAACCTCTCTGCCCTCATGTGTAAAACGAGCATAAGGATAACATCTACATTATAAGGTTGTTGTGAACATGAAATGAGTTAATGTGTATGAAACATTTAGAGTTGTGTCCAGCATAGAGTCAGCATGAGTCATTATTCCTAATCAGCCCATGATTTGGCATTAGAAATTTTTATTCCTACCACATAAATTAAAAAATGTGGGAGCATTAATATACTTATGGGAGGAAAGATGGTGATATATAATACATTTTCCAAGCCCCAACTTGTAATATTAAACTATGTAAGCTTCATTTTAGTGGATACCAGCATCATCCATTCCTCCCTGCAATTGGAATGGGAGTCCTTAGACTCCAAGTCACTTGTGGTTGTTAATGCCATGAAGGCAAGCTTCAAAATTTGCAGTCAAAGAGAGGGTGAGGAAGGGTTGGAGACTCTGAGTACTTGGCATGTGGAAGCTGGGAGAGGGCATTGGGGACCTCCTGTGAGATGCTTGCTCCCAGGCTTATTTCTTGGTAGGCGTCTTTCTTTTCTCCAGTGGCGCAAGAGACAGAGCTGCCTACTTCTACTCCTTCCGGTACTACTCATTATTTCTGATCAGGGATTCTTGTCCTAGCCCAATATGGAACACAATATAGTCTACAGGTTGTCTCCATTCCTTTGAGGAAAACACACATTCATTTTTGGGATTTCTAAGCTTTAGAAAACATGCTGATAGTAGAGAAAAAGCAGGGAGTCAAAGCAGAATGTGGGGCTCCGCTCTTGTTCTCTCTTGCCTGGGATTCCTCCTCACTTCACAAAAGCTGTGGTTGCTCTATATTCTGTCCTCTGGCTTCTCACAGCAGAAGGATCGCAGGCTTTCTATTGGAATTTTAGCCACTCCAAAGGGATCTGTCTGGTGTTTTTCCACCAGCTAGGTAGAAATGGTAAAAAACAAAAAACAAAAAGCAAAAAAACCCAAAAAACCAAAAAACAAAAACTGGGCAGCTAGGTGCCAGTGCTTCCTTCCAAGTGTTGACTTGAGTCCCCTTTTGGTAACTCTCCAGTGCTTGCAGGCTGCAGGTAGTTGGTTTTTATAATTTGTTCAGAGTTTAGAGCTGTTATCTCTGAAATCTTTGATGTGACAGAAATTTACTTGGCCAGTAACAGAAATGAAACCCCTGTATTTGACCTAAAATTAAAAATCCATTCAGTGAGTTCGTAATATCATTGATTGCATTTTTTTCAGTTGTAAAATTTCACAGTTCTTTCAAAATGGTTGAATTTAACTGCTAAAATTCTCAATTTCATATTTTAATTTCCTGAATATATTAATCATAATTATTTTAAACTTTCTGATACTTTCTTTATTGAACACATTATGGATTTATTTTGTTTTTCTTTTAAAGTAAAATTACAATTTCACCATCAATTAAAATTACAAGACCGACATGGAAGAGGGAATACAGTCCATTTCTTGATTTTACTTATCTTGCTAGCTGTAACCCCAATTTATTTGCTTCCCTTTGCACAGTATCTCTGAAATAATTATTTATTCTTATTTTTTCCATTATCTTTATTCACTTGTTCATTAAACTTAGTCTGAGTAGACATTCTCTCCTGGCCCTTTACAGAAATGATTTTTATATGTTATTAATGGCCTCCACATTGCTAAATCCAATGGTTATTTGTCAGTTCTCATCTTATTTGACCTGTCAGTTGATGATTCCTTCCTCCTTAATTCACTTTCTTTACTTGGCTACCAGAACACTGAAACTCTTAACTTTACTGCTCACTGGTTGCTCCCTTTCTTTCTCCTTTACTGCTTTTTCATTGCCTGTCCTTCCTTCCTCCCTCCCTCCCTCCCTTCCTCCCTCCCTCCCTCCCTCCCTCCTTCTCCTCCTGCTCCTCCTCCTCCTCCTCTCTCCCTCTTTCTTTCTTTTTCTTATCCTGGATTGACCTAGTTCTAAGTTCTTGATACTCCTCTCTTCTGTAGATGCACTTACTACCTTGGTGATCTCAACATGTCTCATAGTTTTAAATGCCATCTATACATTATAACTTCCAAATTTCTATCTCCAGTCCAGATATCTCTTCTAAATTCTAGACTCATGTATTCAACTCTCCATTTGATATTTATGCTTGGATGTAAAATAGGCATCTCAAACTTAGTATGTCCAAAGCTGGGCTCCTAATCTTCTCCCCGACAAGACTAACTCCATCAACAGATTTCTCCATCTTAGTTTATGACATCTTCACTATTCCAGTGTCTTGGCTAAAATCCTCATAGTCATTGTTTTTTTCTCTTTAATTAGTTAATTTAAAAAATCTTTATAGAGATATAATTTACATTCCATGAGGTTTACTCACTTAAAGTGTACAATTCAGTGTCTTACAATATATTTAGAGTTGTATAGCCATCAGCACAATCTAATTTAGGGCATTTTCATCACTCTGAGAAGAAATCTTACGCTCATTAGCAGTCCCTCCCCATTCCCTGCCTACCCTCCACCCCAGTCTGTTTCTTTTTATCTGCTTTTATTTACTCTGGGTTTTAAATCATGTTGTCTTTTTGTACACTTTTAAAAATAGGAGTGTCAAACATTGCATATGAAAACCCAGTAAAGGTAATTTCAGATTCCTTACAATGGCATCTTACTCTAGAGAGGATTTCTGGTGTGCAGCTAGCTATGGCACTAGCAATCAAAGCAGTTCACCACACTCTAATCAGGACTGAATGATTCGAATTTGGTTTTCAGTTCCTTTGAGGACTGGTCTAGTTATAGTTCAGTTACCCTAGAACGTAGCTCTTTGGTATCATTCACGTAAATCTGTTATACTTGCCAGGGTCTTTCTGCCTGTGGACCATGAATCCTTCTGGCTTATGAGTTTACTGAAGTTGTGGAGGGGGAAAAATTCCCTCTACCTTATTACATTAAGTAATTGGGGGCATGTGAATTAAACTGACAAGACAGGTTTGCAAGGAAAAAAGTTCATTTATGTGTGCAATGTGGATGCAGACAGGAGTGCTCAATGATGAGTAACTCAGAGGGGAGATTAGAATTTGATGTTGATATATCTAACTTAGGAGGGGAAAGGGAGTAGGGAGAAAAGGTTCCTATGGGAAGAACAAATAGGTTCCTTTAAGAAAGACAAATGGGTTTTTAGAACAAATGAGAGATAAGAAAACTTCTGATGCTTATTTATGCAGACTGGTCTGTCTTCTTCAGGGCCACGAAAATCCCTGGAGAAGGGATTTATGGTGGGATTACTTTTGATCTCTCTCCTAGGAATAGACAACTTGAAGAGAAAATTTATAGCAGTTCTTATTTCTCAGAAAATTCTGCTTTTAGTCAGATTATAAGAGCTCTGATAAGTCTTCTTTCTGCATTTTTTGAATCTCAGATATCTCCAGTTTAAAATAACCTTTTTAAAGAAAACATTTACTTTAGGTTCTGGGGTACATGTGAAGGTTTGTTGCATAGGTAACTCATGTCACAGGGGTTTGTTGTACAGATTATTTATTTTATAACCCAGGAATTAAGCCCAGTACCCAATAGTTATTCAATAGTTATCTTTTTTTTTTTTTATTAAGAAAAATTTAAAAAACATAAAGACAGGGTCTCGCTGTGTTTCCCAGGCTGGTCTTGAACTCCTAGGCTCAAGCCATCTTCTTGCCTTAGCCTCCCAAAGTGCTGGGATTACGGGTGTGAGCCAGAGCACCTGGCCCCAGTAGTTATCTTTTCTGCTCTTCTCCCTCCTGCCATCCTCCACCCTCAAGAAAAACCCAGTTTTTCTTTTTTCCTTCTATGTGTGTACAAGTTCTCATCATTTAGCTCCCACTTATAAGTGAGAATATGCGGTATTTGGTTTTCTGTTACTGCGTTGCTTTGCTGAGGATAATAGCCTCCAGCTATATCCATGTTTCTGCAAAATACATGATCTCATTCTTTTTTATGGCTGCATAGTGTTCCATGGTGTATATGTACCACATTTTCTTTATCCAGTCTGTCATTGATGGACATTTATGTTGATTCCATGTCTTTGCTATTGTGAATAGTGCTGCAGTGAACATTTGCATGCGTATGTGTTTATGGTAGAATGATTTTATATTCCTCTGGGTATATAGCCAGTGATGGGATTGCTGGGTGAAATGGTAGTTCTGCTTTTGGCTCTTTGAGGAATTACTATACTGTTTTCCACAATGGTTGAACTAATTTATACTCTCACCAACAATATATAAGTGTTCCCTTTTCTCCACAATCTTGCCAGCATCTATTATTTAACTTTTTAATAATAGCCATTCTGACTGGTGTGAGATGACATCTCATTGTGGTTTTGATTTGCATTTCTTGAATGATGAATGATATTGAGCTTTTTTTGATATGCTTGTTGGCCACATGTATGTCTTCTTTTGAAAAGTGTCTGTTCATGTTTTTTTGCTCACCTTTTAATGGGGTTGTTTTTCTCTTGTAAATTTGTTTAAGTTCCTTATAGATGCTGGATATTAGACCTTTTCAGATGCACAGTTTGTGAAAATTTTCTGCCATTCTGTAGGTTGTCTCTTTACTCTCTTGGTAGTTTCTTTTGCTGTGCAGAAGCTCTTGGGTTTAATTATAAACCATTTGTCAATTTTTGCTTTTGTTGCAATTGCTTTCAGTGTCCTTGTCATGAAATCTTTGCCTGTTACTACATCCAGGATGGATACCTAGGTTGTCTTCCAGGGTTTTTATAGTCTTGGGTTTTACATTTAAGTCATTAATCTATCTTGAATTCATTTTTGCGTATGGTGTAAGGAAGGGGTCCAGCTTCAGTGTTCTGCATATGGCTAGCCAGTTATCCCAGCACCATTTATTGAATAGGGAATCTTTTCTCCATTGCTTGTTTTTGTCAGCTTTGTTGAAGATCAGATGGTTATAGGTGTGCAGCCTTATTTCTGAGTTCTCAATTCTGTTCCATTGGTCTATGTGCCTGTTTCTGTACTAGTACTATGCTGTTTTGGTTACTGTAACCCTGTAGTATAGTTTGAAGTTGGGTAACGTGATGCCCCCAGCTTTGTTCTTTTCGGCTAGGGGTTCCTTGGCTATTTGGGCTCTTTTTTGGTTCTGTGTTAATTTTATAACAGTTTTTTTCTAGTTTTGTGAAGATGTCATTGGTAGTTTGATAGGAATAGCATTGAATCTGTAAATTGCTTTGAGAAGTATGGGCATTTTAATGATATTTGTTCTTCCTATTGAAAACCCCCAAAATTTGAGACAGGTCTTAGTTAATTTTGCCAAGGTTGAAGATGCGTGCCCATAACACAGCCTCAGGAGGTCCTGATGACATGTGCCCAAGGTGGTCAGAGCACAGTTTTGTTTTATACATTGTAGGGAGACCTGAGACATCAGTCAGCATATGTAAAATGAGCATTGCTTCAGTCTGGAAAGGCAGGACAACTTGAAGCGGGGAGGGAGCTTCTAGGTCACAGGTAGATAAGAGACAAATGGTTGTATTATTTTGAGTTTCTGGTTAACCTCTCCAAAGGAAACAATCAGATATGCATTTATCTCAGTGAGCAGAGGGGTGACTTTGAATAGAATGGGAATCAGGTTTGCTCTAATCAGTTGTCAGCTTGACTTTTTCCTTTAGCTTAGGGATTTTCAGGGCCCAATATATTTTCCTTTCACCTTTCCTCCCTTTTCTTTTTAAAAATCTTTTGAAGAAAGCATTTTAGAAGAAAATGAGTCTCTGGTCCCAGGTTTCATCTGATCTCTCATGGATAGGATGATTTATTCCTAGACAGATAGGTCCTGAGTTATTAGGAAAGCTCATTTTTAGAAAGTTGTGAAGTCTCATGTCCTATGATGAGAAAATAGGGGGAGGAAGGGAGAAAAACAACAACAAAGAAAATAACAATACTGGAAAATTGACATAGGCCACATTACTCTGAAGTCCATACATCAGTAGGCAGGTATGAAAGTGACTTATGTGTGTAAATAGGTTGCTATTGTTTTCTTTTGAAGTTTAAATTGTCTAGCTTCAGTTAGTAGGGCTTTATGAAAGCACAGCTTAGTTTTCAGTGACTCCAAATTAGGAAAAATGAGGAAAAAAATTGAAAACATTGTTTTAAAAACTTATAGCCAAGAAAAATTAGGATTTGGTCCAAAGCATAGAAAATAATGAAATTGAAAAACATTAGGCAAGACTAGACTCTAACAACAGGTGTACTATAGTTTTTAAAACATAGTTTTCCCTTTCTAGTTTCCCATTTTTACTACCTACTAAATCATGGTAGGACTGCTTTGCTTTATTATACTTGGCCTAATTATTGGTATATAGTGAAGCAAGGATAATTATTTTTTACATAGGCTTTTAAACTGGTTTAGATGGAACTTTGTTCCATAGAAGGAATCTCAGAAAAGATTTTTTAAAGCCAAGCCCAGCCATGGATTTGTGCCATCAAATACCTGTGAGTTGGGTGGTCCTCTTCTTTTGAGGTTCCAAGGTAAACTTGGGGCTCTTGGGCCTGTCAGAAAGTGACATTCTTTACTTGCCATGGCTCAGGAACCCTGTACAGGGGCTGTATAGACAAAGGTATAAGGTCAGTTTTTCCTGAGTTCTTTTATTGGCTCCATAAGTCAAGTCTGATTCCTTAAAGGAAAGCACACCATTTCAGTCAAAGCCTTGGTAAAATAACCAGTTTCTCCAATTGTGTCCTGTTACAAATGAAAATGGCTTCTTATTGCACTTATGCAAATAGCTATATTGTCATAAGTTAAGAATACTCACAAATAGTTTCCAAATTCTGGAGAAATCAGGTAGAGAGAAACAAATGTACTCCAAATTTTGTTCATAGGAGTATTCTTTACTCAACTGTTAAAAGCTGTAAATAGCTTATATGTTTTCTTGACTCTGAAAAACAAAACAAAGGATCAGCAATGTTTTAAGCAAAATGTTAAAAAGATTGATTTAGTCTTCTGTTAGTTCAGTTCACACAGTTAACTCCTGTTCTGCTTGATATTCATGAACATTTCAGCTCTTCATGAGAGTCCTGAAAGTTTTTTCTTCTATTCTAATGTCACAATCTTCAAAGTTATCAGAATCCTGCATTTAAAAACACGTGTTAGAGTTCTATAGCTGATTATAAAACCACCTTCTAAGGAGGATCAAAACAAGACAATTGTCCATAGATGACAAAAGGTTTTAGGGAAGCCATAGTCAAAGATACAATTGACAAGGAAATTTGTTACCTCTGTGGCACACAATAATTTAACATAACAATTATAATTATTACTGATAATGTACACTAAGTCTTATCAGAACTTTAGGAGTTTCCCATGATTTTGGAACACATACCAATAACATATTTATACAAATACAGACTAAAGAAGACCAAACACCATTTCATATTTGACAATGTTTCCTGTATAATTTTTACACCAAATAAGCCAAATTATGTCATTTTTTGACTTTAGGGACCCTAATATCTTTTTTTTTTTGAGATGGAGTTTCACTCTGTCACCCAGGCTGGAGTGCATTGGCATGATCTCGGCTCACCACAACCTCTCCCTCCTGGGTTCAAGTGATTCTCCTGCCTCAGCCTCCTGAGTAGCTGGGATTACAGGCACATGCCACCATACCAGGCTAATTTTTGTATTTTTAGTAGAGATGGGGTTTCACCATGTTGGCCAGGCGGTCTCAAACTCCCGACCTCAGGTAATCTGGCACCCTCAGCCTCCCAAAGTGCTGTGATTACAGGTATGAGCCACTGCACCTGGCCAGAAACCTAATATCTTAAAGGGTTAATTAGATCAGAAAAAGACATAATTTATAATTTGATTTTGGAAAGTTTGTCAAATATAAAAGGTTTAAAACACTTGATATCACAGGTCATTGCAAAATAAGTCATTCATTTGACTAAAGTGATAACTCAAAGATTAAAAAAAAAAGGTGAAAACCTTCCTTCTTTGATAGAGGAGTCTTAATTTTCCAAACAATAAGTCCTAATAAAAACAGCATGAAGCCAATTAAATTTGTTTTTCAAAATTTTATAAACAATCTGTAAAATTTTAATCTTAATGATAAGATATAACTTCCGTAAGACCCTTTCATAACCTTTATAATCTTTATTTAGGAGTCAGTTAATACTTCAAGAAAACCTTGTTAATCTGACACAGGGGCCTATATGTAGGTCTTGCATCAATGGTCTTGACATTAATGATTAATTTATAGAGAAGCTGAACTTATTTTATCTTTCAAAATTGGCCCTTAGAATCTTACATGTCCACCTCTTCTGTGATAGTCCCTGGACCTTGAGGGGTTGAATAGCTTTAATTTCTATTCAACCCCCTGAATAGAGTGTTTGAGGAAGGCAGTTTATTTTGATTGGCATCTGCTACCAGGCCTGAAGATGGGGCTTTAATTGCCATCAGTGTTTAAAACTTAGAAGGACGTGGTGTCCTTTTTAGACCTGCAGTCAAAGCCCTGTAACTAAATGTCACAAATACTTTAAAAGTGCATACAGAAAGATACATGGATGTAGTAACCTTAAATAAAAAAAATTTGTAATCTGTTTTTTTCCTAAGCAAACCAAAACTTAATAATAGTGTGACAACTTTATCATATAAAAGTTTTCTAAAAAGTAAATCCTCTTATTGTGACTTACATAGACTGTTCATGACATGCTTGCAGTTTCTGGTTTGTGCTGAACATCCCTCCTTCTTAAACAACCAGTCATGTTACTCTAGGACTCAATTTACTATACAAGATTCTTTCTCATATGAAATGATTTCTCTTCAAGCTTTCTTACCAAAAAAACACCAAAACTCTTTATTTTTATAAGTTTCTTTACATATCTTTTATTTTCTGGTTCCTTTTACCTTGTTTCATACATGACCTTTAAATAAGCTTTGAACTAGACAAAAATTGTCCACCTTTTTTTTAAAAGGACACACCTTTTTTATTTTTAGAAAGAATGTTTTCCTACAAATATGTTTTTATTTGACAATATCCAAATAATGAAATATCTATTATTTAACTTAATATAACTTTAGAATCTAAATTATGATGAGTTGTCTACAAGTTTTTATCCTGCTACATTACCTAATTATTTTATTTTAATTGTTTACTTAGATTATAAAAACTGTGAATGCCATTATTTAAAGTTATGGAACTGCCATTGCAAAATTATAACTGAGACAGTGAAAAAGATTTGGCCTAACTGACTTCATCTTGCTTCTAACCTCCAGGCTGTCCTTGTTCATTCCTGGGCATAGGCTGAACTAACTTTGGGAGGAACTTAGTTTATAGTTTAGCTTTGAAACGAAGATGATAAACAGTCCTTTCCTAGAACAAATCTTACTGCCTGTGGACTAGACTGCCTAAAGCCACAAGATTAGAAGTTATGGTAATTTTACTAAATTCAAGATGTAGCTATTTTTATTAAACCAATATCAATATCTTATTTATTAAAAATTATACAAGCAAAGGTCATTCTGTCTTGGGCTGCATTTAGAGTTTTGTAACCTCTGTACCAAATTTTGACACCTTATGGTATTTGGCAGGGATAAATATGAAATTGCTTGATTAATAATTGTACATGAAAATGTATGCTGGCAATTTTTAAGATATTTCTAATATTTACTTTACCAATAATTTTAAAGCTACATTATTTATTAAGAT
The DNA here is from genome assembly GCF_000001405.40 of Homo sapiens. Taxonomy (NCBI): domain Eukaryota; kingdom Metazoa; phylum Chordata; class Mammalia; order Primates; family Hominidae; genus Homo; species Homo sapiens. The sequence goes on from NC_000014.9 coordinate 53,258,795, forward strand.
TTTACTTAAGTTATGTAAACTTGAAAAAGCATTCGACTAATCTTTTCTTGTTTCCAGATAAAGTGTTTCAAATACTTTATTTTCTTAAGCCAATTAATCAGAACTCCTTTATATATTTTCAGTAGTGAAACATTGTGTACACAACACATAAATACATAGATGTATTAGGCTTGCTGATAGAAGTACATCTTATAGATTTATTTATTTATTTATTTGAGATGGAGTCTCACTCTGTTTCCCAGGCTGGAGTGCAGTAGCATGATCTGTACTCACTGCAACCTCTACCTCCTGGTTCAAGTGATTCTCTTGCCGCAGCCTCCTGAGTAGCTGGGATTACAGGCACGTGCCACCATGCCTGGCTAATTTTTGTATTTTTAGTAGAGACTGGGTTTCATCGTGTTGGCCAGGCTGGTCTCAAACTCCTGACCTCAGGCTCAGGTAATCTGCCTGCTTTGGCCTCCCGAAGTGCTGGGATTATAGGCATGGAGCCACCGCTCCCAGCCAGATTTATAAAAACCTTTTTTTTTTTTTTCCCGTCTTAGATTTTCAGATTCTTGAAAACCTATTTCACAATCCTGGGCAGTTGTCAGCTAAACAGCCTTATATTTGCATGTTAAAGGAAACAACTCAGGTGAAAATCAAATAGTAAAATTTACATCATAAGGTACAGAGAGAAAAAGTCTGGTGGTGCTAGAAGGAGACTAAAGATGGATGCCAAACCAAACATAAAATTATAGAAATCTATGATAGGATTGTATAAGGAGTCCAATTTTATTTAGATAGAAACTATCTACCTTTTAATTAGGTATCTGAGCTCTGGGCAGAGCCCACATTGAATCCTGGGTCTCCAAAAAGGGAGAATTATTATGAGATTAGACCACATGATGCTTTTACAGTGCACTTAAAAAATTTTTTTAAAAACAAGACATTTCTAAGTGTCTAAACCACATTCTTCCTTAAAAAGCCAAGGATAACCTCTGTTGCAATAAGTATTTTAGTCAAAAAATATATGTACACAAACAGGTAACACAATACAAAAGTAAGCAGTTTAAGAGCTGAGAGAAACTTGACTGTTCACATTCTTGGGGTGCCATAAGGAAAAACAGGTTTCTCCCCCAAAGGGAGTCTATCATCTTCTTCATTTTCTTTAAGGAACCCAAGGCTATTATAAACTATTTTAGGTCCCACATGCAGCAGAGGGTACAAGAGAAAGGAGAGACATAATTTAGTCAACAAAGAAGAAATAAACTTTTGCTCAAAAAAAGAGACAAAGTCCTAGGAGAAAAGCAAAAGCAAAAACATGAAAGCCTTTTAAATACAAACACACACATATGCACACATACACACACACATCTTGGATGTTAGCTTTTAATTAAGCTGACTTTTAACCATTGAGCTCCTTTAAAAAATCTTTTTAAATCTCTTTACCCTATTTCAGCTAGGACAAATTGCTATTATTTCAGAAGTATAGCCATTGCTCTTTCAGTTTGGCCTGGCTAGCAAAAAGGTGGTCTTGTTATGTAAATAAAGCCCCTTAGTAGTCAAAATCAAAAATCTTTTTGTTGGGAGCCAAAAAGGCCAAAGGGATCATGACCAACTCAGCATTCCACTGGAGGCTATATGATCAAATAACAAACTGTTTATCATGAATGCAGGATGTGAGCGAACTCACACTGTGCCTGCCACCAAAAGGTTTGCTGAGGGCCATCACTCCCTGGCCCCGGGCTCCTTGAAGTTATCTACTGAGAAATCTAGCGCTTATTGTTCAAAGGATGCAGTCTCACAAGCCTGCTGTGAACCAAAAGCCTGACTGACAATTATCCGACAATCACCAACCCCCTTCTCGCTCTTTTGTCTAATAAATATGGAGGGCTGTGTAAAGCTCAGGGCCCTTGTCCACTAGAGGCAAGGTGCCCCCGACCCCTTCTTCTAAATATACTCTTTTGTCTTTGTCTTTTATTCCCACGTTCGCCCCCTTTGTTCAGTCCACCACTTTATTCAGTCCACCAGTGGCAGGCCACTAGTGGTGCCCTGAACAGAGACAGAATTGGGTGTTCTACATCTTTTTTCTTGTTTTTTTTTTTTTTTTTTTTTCCTTTTGCTGGCCATTTTTCTTCCTCCTCCCCACCACCTTGTGTGTGTGTGTGTTGGCAGAGGGGTGGGGTTGGGGGGAATTTAGCCACTTCAGAGGTCTTGTTCCCCATAATTTGGAACTCCCTTCAGATTTGATGAAGTTGGATAGAGTTGATCAAACCCAATGGGAAAAAAGACTGAAACAACAACAAAAACAGAAACAAATGACAACAACAACAAAACCAGTTAAGCAAAACAAATGATTGCACAACTTACATGATTACTGAGTGCTGTAATGGTAAGGAGAACTTAAGACCAGCTGGTTGTTAACTTTAGCAAAGACAAAACCCCAATTCAGGTACTTACCTAGGGATGTGTCTCATGCTGGAGACGGCTCTCTATCATCCTAGAAGCAGGAAACAAAACTCATCTTCCCTGTTGAAAATGAGCTCAAACTCCGTAAAGGAGTTTTCTGCCTTCCATCATTATGGAAGCAGGAAAACTTGCCTTCCTTGTTGGAAGCAAGTAAAACCCCCCAAAAAAGGGAGTTGTACAGCAAAATAAACTTTAGATCATGACCAAATTTGGGAGACCAGGATACTCTGGGGGGGTGCTCCCAGACCTCAGCAAATTGTAATATTGGTTTGAGCCATAAAGATAGCTCATGCTGGTACCAAGCACCAATAGAAGATTTCTCAAAGGTCAGGAGGGGCACCTCCACTCAATTTCTCCGTGGTTACCAAAATGAGAATCCCCAAAATTTGAGACCAGTCTTAGTTAATTTAGAAAGCTTATTTTGCCAAGATTGAAGATGTGCGCCCATGACACAGCCTCAGGAGGGCCTGACAACATGGGCCCAAGGTGGTCAGAGCACAGTTTTGTTTTATACATTGTAGGGAGACATGAGACATCAATCAACATATGTAAGACGAACATTGGTTCAGTCTAGAAAAGTGGGACAACTGGAAGTGGGGAGAGGGCTTCCAGGTCTTAGGTAGATAAGAGACAAATGGTTGCATTCTTTTGAGTTTCTGATTAGCCTCTCCAAAGGAGACAATCAGATATGCAATTATCTCAGTGAGCAGAGGGGTGACTTTGAATAGAATGGGAGTCAGTTTTGCTGTAATCAGTTCTCAGCTTGACTTTTACCTTTAGCTTAGTGATTTTGGGGACCCAAGATATTTTACTTTCACACTATTTAGCCATGAGCATGGGATGTGTTTCCATTTGTTTGTGTCTTCTCTGATTTCTTTGAGCAGTGTTTTGCAAGTCTCATTGTAGAGATCTTTCACCTCCCTGGTCACCTGGATTCCTAGGTATTTTATTCTTTTTGTGGCAATTGTGAACAGGATTGCCTTTCTAATTTGGCTCTTGGCTTGGCTATTGTTGGTATGTAGGAATGTTAGTAAATTTTGTACATTGATTTTGTATCCTGAAACTTTATTGAAGTTGTTTATCAGCTGAAGGAGCTTTTGGGCTGTGACTATGGGGTTTTCTAGATATATAATCATGTTGTCTACAAACAGATAGTTTGATTTCCTTTCTTCCTATTTGGATGGGCTTTATTTCTCTTGCATGACTGCTCTGGCTAAAACTTTCAATACTATGTTGAATATAAGAGAGAACATCCTTGTGCTGGTTCTCAAGGGCAATGCTTGTAGCTTTTGCTCATTTAGTATAATGTTGGCTGTGGGTTTGTCATAGATGGCTCTGATTATTTTGAGGAACGTTGCTTCAATATCTAGTTTATTGAGAGTTTTCAACATGAGGGCATACTAAATTTTATTGAAAGCCTTTTCTGCATCTTTTGAGATAATGATGTGGAAAATGTCTTTAGTTTTGTTTATGTGATAAATCACACTTACTGATTTGCCTATCTTGAACCAACCTTAAATCCCAGGGATGAAGCCTTCTTGATCATGGTGGATTATCTTTTTAATGTGCTGCTGGATTCTGTTTGTAAATATTTTGTTGAGGAGTTTTGTATCAATATTCATCAAGGTTATTGGCCTGAAGTTTTCTTTTTTTGTGTGTTTCTTCCAGGTTTTGATATCAGCATGATGCTGGCCTCATAGAATGAGTTGGGGAAGAGTCCTTTCTCCTCAATTTTTTTGGAATAGTTTCTGTGGGTGTGGTACCAGCTCCTGTTTGTATATCTGGTAGAATTCAGCTTTGAATCCATCAGGTCCTGAGCTTTTTTTGGTTAGTGGGCTATTTATTACTGATTCAACTTTGGAGCTCATTATTGGTCTGTTTAGGAAATCAGTTTCTTCCTGGTTTAGTCTGAGGAGGATGTATATGGTTTTTTAGTTGGTGTGCATAGAGGTGTTCTTAGTAGTTTCTGATGGTTATTTTTATGTCTTTGGGGTCAGTGGTAACTTTCCTTTGTCACTTCTAAGAGTGTTTATTTGGATCTTCTCTCTTTTTTTCTTTTATAGTCTAGCTACTGGCCTATCCATTTTATTAATTTTTTCAAAGAACCAATTCCTGGATTCATTAATCTTTTGAATTCTTTTTGTGTCTCTGTTTCTCTCAATTTAGCTCTGATTTTGGTTATTTCTTGTGTTTTGCTAGCCTTGGGGTTGATTCTTGAACGAATTCTTTCAGTTGTGATGTTAGGCTGTTAATTTGATATTTTTCTAACTTTTCGATGTAGGCATTTGGTGCTGTGAATTTCCCTCTTAACACTGCCTTAGCTGTGTCTCAGATATTCTGGTATGTTGTATCTTAGTTCTCTTTAGTTTCAAATAACTTCTTGATTTCTGCCTTAATTTCATTATTTACCCAGAGTCATTCAGGAGGATGTTGTTTTCATGTAATTGCATGGTTTTGAGTGATTTTCTTAGTCTTGACTTCTATTTTTATGGTTCTGTGGTCTGAGAATATGTTTGGTGTGATTTCAGTTCTTTTGCATTTGCAGGTAATTGTTTTATTTCCAGTTATGTGGTCACTTTTAGAGAATGTGCCATGTGGTGATGAGAAGAATATATATTCTGTTGTTTTGGAGTGAAGAGTTCTATAGAAGTCTATCAAACACATTTGGTCCAATGTTGAGTTCAGGTCCTGAATATTTTTGTTAATTTTCTGCCTCAGTGATCTGTCTAATACTGTCAGTGGAGTGTTGGAGTCTCCCACTACTATTGCATGGGAGTTTATGTTTCTTTGTAGGTCTCTAAGAACTTACTTTATGAATCGGTGTGCTCCTGTGTTGGGTGCATGTATATTTAGGATAGTTAGGTCTTCTTGTTGAATTGAAACCTTTACCATTATGTAATGCCCTTCTTTGTCTTTTTTGATCTATGTTGGTTTGAAGTCTGTTTTGTCTGAAATTAGGATCGCAACCCCTGCTTTGTCTATTTTCCATTTGCTCGATAGATTTTCCTCCATCCCTGTATTTTGAGCCTATGGGTGTCATTTTGTGTGAGATGGGTCTCTCGAAGACTGCATACCATTGGGTCTTGCTTTTTTATTCAGCTTGCCACTCTGCCTTTTAAGTGGGGCATTCAGCCTGTTTATGTTTAAGATTAGTATTGACATGTCTGGATTTGATCCTGTCATTGTGATGTTACCTGGTTATTATGTTGGCTTGTTTGTGTGATTGCTTTATAGTGACACTGATCTGTGTGTTTAAGTGTGTTTTTGTATTAGCTAGTAGTGATCTTTATTTGCTATATTTAGTGCTCCTTTCAGGATCTGAAAAATAACCTTTATATTAACCCTGATGTCCTGAATGTTTCCCCACCTAGTCTTTGTTCAACTACTCAGCTTCTCAGATGTTGATTTTGGAATCAGAAAATTTGGCAAAACAGTCTCAAATGCTTTGCTTAACTTATTTGTCTCACAGGAAGAAATTCTTGGATTTTGATTTTATAATCCTCAGGCTAGAGAGCTCTCCAGTGCTTTTCAACAGATAAAAATTTTTTTCATCTAGCTTTTCTAGTTGCTCTCTGCAGAAAAGTAAGTTTACAAATGGCCTACTGTGTCCTTGCAAGAAGGAAAACATTCTAGGTATCATTTGAAAGACTCAAAAATAGGAACACAAATAGGTCTCAGTCCAGCTATGCCTTTTTCTACTTCCACTTGTAGAGGAATCCCTAAAAAGTCTACAACTCTCAAAAAGTCTACAACCCAATGGTTAAATTCCTCAAAAGTCTACAACCTGATGGTTAAATATGTTGCTTGAGTTCCGACTAGATGTGGTCCCAGGCTCAGTCAACTGGAAGTAGTATAAAGACATCCTCAGTTTCATGTGGGAACTAACCTGAATCTTCTACTCTAGTTACCCTCCCACTGTAGGGTTACAGGACAAGGAATGGAACCTGTGAAACCACTTTGTCATGCTTACTGCAGCTGATCGAGCCAGTCATGCACTGGAATGCGGGAGGTTATCACATGCCTCTCTCCATCCTCTGGCAAAACAACCTTTATTCCACTTATGTCTCTGCTTTCCTCTCATTCCTTTGTTGATCTTTTGTGTTTACAAGGGTCTGGATGCTTAATATATTTGGGTTTTAAATACGCCTTTAATTTAATCATTGTTTTCAAATCTGGTTTACTCTTAAATGTGGAGCAGTTTTTGTGGTGATGTTTAATATATGATTAATAAATTATTTTGGAAGTTATTAAGTTGATCATAAGAAGATCTATTTTATGACTTGGTTCCATTTATTACTTTTTAATTTCTACTGGAAGCTGATTGCTTGGAAAAACGACATTTTTTTTTCCTCTGCTGCTTTGCTTTTGGAATGGTACTTGTCCAGAAAAACAAATCCAATTTCAATTGCTCAGAAAACTTATCTTTTCATGTTATTGGCAAAATTGTACAAAATTAATAGCCAATGTAATTAGCCAATTAAGTCTGACCTTTTCTGCATTTGCATTTTCTCCATCAGATTTTGTTATCTGTACCTGGTCTGCCTTTTTTTTCACACAAATAATTTCAGATTTCAAAGTTACAGAACTAACAGTTGTTAAATGTTAAACAATTTATGTTGTCACACATTCCCTTAAAAGAAAATGAAGTCTTCAGCACATCATCCCCCGCCCCCAAATCCTTATCTCAATTTAGAAACAATAACAACTAAATTTATTTATTACCTGCCCTGTTACTCCTCTTACTCAAATGCTGTTGTGGGTTATGTCTCTGGTCTCAACTCATTCCCTGTGGGTTGAAGGCATCCTCAAGGACCTGAAATGATATTCTGTGTGTAGGTTCTAATTACTCCTTTGGCCTAATGATATGCTTCAAATCAGGTTATGTCTTGAATGTGTTCTGATTATCAATAACTTTTTGTTTTTCTAAGTTTATGTTGAATACATTTAAACTTATCATTGTGTTAAATGCTTTACATACATTATCCTATTTCATTCTAATTACAGTGCTATTTACTTCGTTTTAAAAATAAGGAAATGGATTTAGAGATACATCTTGTTTAAGCAAGATAAAAGACCATCATTGGAAAATGGTGGAAGAAAGAATAAAGCCCATGTATTTTAAAATCCAGAGCCTTAATATTTATGCTATATTGCAAGTCTGTTGTTTTTTTTTTTAATTATACTTTAAGTTTTAGGGTACATGTGCACATTGTGCAGGTTAGTTACATATGCATACATGTGCCATGCTGGTGCGCTGCACCCACTAACTCATCATCTAGCATTAGGTATATCTCCCAATGCTATCCCTCCCCCCTCCCCCAACCCCACCACAGTCCCCAGAGTGTGATATTCCCCTTCCTGTGTCCATGTGATCTCATTGTTCAATTCCCACCTATGAGTGAGAATATGCAGTGTTTGGTTTTTTGTTCTTGCGATAGTTTACTGAGAATGATGATTTCCAGTTTCATCCATGTCCCTACAAAGGACGTGAACTCATCATTTTTTATGGCTGCATAGTATTCCATGGTGTATATGTGCCACATTTTCTTAATCCAGTTTATCATTGTTGGACATTTGGGTTGGTTCCCAGTCTTTGCTATTGTGAATAATGCCGCAGTAAACATATGTGTGCATGTGTCTTTATAGCAGCATGATTTATAGTCCTTTGGGTATATACCCAGTAATGGGATGGCTGGGTCAAATGGTATTTCTAGTTCTAGATCCCTGAGGAATCGTCACACTGACTTCCACAATGGTTGAACTAGTTTACAGTCCCACCAACAGTGTAAAAGTTTTCCTATTTCTCCACATCCTCTCCAGCACCTGTTGTTTCCTGACTTTTTAATGATTGCCATTCTAACTGGTGTGAGATGGTATCTCATTGTGGTTTTGATTTGCATTTCTCTGATGGCCAGTGATGATGAGCATTTTTTCATGTGTTTTTGGCAGCATAAATGTCTTCTTTTGAGAAGTGTCTGTTCATGTCCTTCGCCCACTTTTTGATGGGGTTGTTTGTTTTTTTTTCTTGTAAATTTGTTTGAGTTCATTGTTGATTCTGGATATTAGCCCTTTGTCAGATGAGTAGGTTGCAAAAATTTTCTCCCATTTTGTAGGTTGCCTGTTCACTCTGATGGTAGTTTCTTTTGCTGTGCAGAAGCTCTTTAGTTTAATTAGATCCCATTTGTCAATTTTGTCTTTTGTTGCCATTGCTTTTGGTGTTTTGGACATGAAGTCCTTGCCCATGCCTATGTCCTGAATGGTACTGCCTAGGTTTTCTTCTAGGGTTTTTATGGTTTTAGGTCTAACGTTTAAGTCTTTAATTCATCTTGAATTGATTTTTGTATAAGGTGTAAGGAATGGATCCAGTTTCAGCTTTCTACATATGGCTAGCCAGTTTTCTCAGCACCATTTATTAAATAGGGAATCCTTTCCCCATTGCTTGTTTTTCTCAGGTTTGTCAAAGATCAGATAGTTGTAGATAGGCAGTGTTATTTCTGAGGGCTCTGTTCTGTTCCATTGATCTATATCTCTGTTTTGGTACCAGTACCATGCTGTTTTGGTTACTGTAGCCTTGTAGTATAGTTTGAAGTCAGGTAGTGTGATGCCTCCAGCTTCGTTCTTTTGGCTTAGGATTGCCTTGGCAATGCGGGCTCTTTTTTGGTTCCATATGAACTTTAAAGTAGTTTTTTCCAATTCTGTGAAGAAAGTCATTGGTAGCTTTATGGGGATGGCATTGAATCTGTAAATTACCTTGGGCAGTATGGCCATTTTCACGATATTGATTCTTCCTACCCATGAGCATGGAATGTTCTTCCATTTGTTTGTATCCTCTTTTATTTCCTTGAGCAGTGGTTTGTAGTTCTCCTTGAAGAGGTCCTTCACATCCCTTGTAAGTTGGATTCCTAGGTATTTTATTCTCTTTAAGCAATTGTGAATGGGAGTTCACTCATGATTTGGCTCTCTGTTTGTCTGTTGTTGGTGTATAAGAATGCTTGTGATTTTTGTACATTGATTTTGTATCCTGAGACTTTGCTGAAGTTGCTTATCAGCTTAAGGAGATTTTGGGCTGAGACAGTGGGGTTTTCTAGATATACAATCATGTCGTCTGCAAACAGGGACAATTTGACTTCCTCTTTTCCTAATTGAATACCCTTTATTTCCTTCTCCTGCCTAATTGCCCTGGCCAGAACTTCCAACACTATGTTGAATAGGAGTGGTGAGAGAGGGCATCCCTGTCTTGTGCCAGTTTTCAAAGGGAATGCTTCCAGTTTTTGCCCATTAAGTATGATATTGGCTGTGGGTTTGTCATAGATAGCTCTTATTATTTTGAAATATGTCCCATCAATACCTAATTTATTGAGAGTTTTTATCATGAAGGGTTGTTGAATTTTGTCATAGGCTTTTTTTGCATCTATTGAGATAATCATGTGGTTTTTGTGTTTGGCTCTGTTTATATGCTGGATTACATTTATTGATTTGCGTATATTGAACCAGCCTTGCATCCCAGGGATGAAGCCCGCTTGATCATGGTGGATAAACTTTTTGATGTGCTGCTGGATTCGTTTTGTCAGTATTTTATTGAGGATTTTTGCATCAATGTTCATCAAGGATATTGGCGTAAAATTCTCTTTTTTGGTTGTGTCTCTGCCCGGCTTTGGTATCAGAATGATGCTGGCCTCATAAAATGAGTTAGGGAGGATTCCCTCTTTTCCTATTGATTGGAATAGTTTCAGAAGGAATGGTACCAGTTCCTCCTTGTACCTCTGGTAGAATTCGCCTGTGAATCCATCTGGTCCTGGACTCTTTTTGGTTGGTAAACTATTGATTATTGCCACAATTTCAGAACCTGTTATTGGTCTATTCAGAGATTCAACTTCTTCCTGGTTTAGTCTTGGGAGAGTGTATGTGTCGAGGAATTTATCCATTTCTTCTAGATTTTCTAGTTTATTTGCGTAGAGGTGTTTGTAGTATTCTCTGATGGTAGTTTGTATTTCTGTGGGATCGGTGGTGATATCCCCTTTATCATTTTTTATTGTGTCTATTTGATTCTTCTCTCTTTTTTTCTTTATTAGTCTTGCTAGCGGTCTATCAATTTTGTTGATCCTTTCAAAAAACCAGCTCCTGGATTCATTAATTTTTTGAAGGGATTTTTGTGTCTCTATTTCCTTCAGTTCTGCTCTGATTTTAGTTATTTTTTGCTTTCTGCTAGCTTTTGAATGTGTTTGCTTTTGCTTTTCTAGTTCTTTTAATTGTGATGTTAGGGTGTCAATTTTGGATATTTTCTGCTTTCTCTTGTGGGCATTTAGTGCTATAAATTTCCCTCTACACACTGCTTTCAATGCGTCCCAGAGATTCTGGTATGTTGTGTCTTTGTTCTTGTTAGTTTCAAAGAACATCTTTATTTCTGCCTTCATTTCGTTATGTATCCAGTAGTCATTCAGGAGCAGGTTGTTCAGTTTCCATGTAGTTGAGCGGTTTTGAGTGAGATTCTTAATCCTGAGTTCTAGTTTGATTGCACTGTGGTCTGAGAGATAGTTTGTTATAATCTCTGTTCTTTTACATTTGCTGAGGAGAGCTTTACTTCCAAGTATGTGGTCAATTTTGGAATAGGTGTGGTGTGGTGCTGAAAAAAATGTATATTCTGTTGATTTGGGGTGGAGAATTCTGTAGATGTCTATTAGGTCTGCTTGGTGCAGAGCTGAGTTCAATTCCTGGGTATCCTTGTTGACTTTCTGTCTCGTTGATCTGTCTAATGTTGACAGTGGGGTGTTAAAGTCTCCCATTATTAATGTGTGGGAGTCTAAGTCTCTTTGTAGGTCACTCAGGACTTGCTTTATGAATCTGGGTGCTCCTGTATTGGGTGCATATATATTTAGGATAGTTAGCTCTTCTTGTTGAATTGATCCCTTTACCATTATGTAATGGCCTTCTTTGTCTCTTTTGATCTTTGTTGGTTTAAAGTCTGTTTTATCAGAGACTAGGATTGCAACCCCTGGCTTTTTTTGTTTTCCATTTGCTTGGTAGATCTTCCTCCATCCTTTTATTTTGAGCCTATGTGTGTCTCTGCACGTGAGATGGGTTTCCTGAATACAGCACACTGATGGGTCTTGACTCTTTATCCAATTTGCCAGTCTGTGTCTTTTAATTGGAGCATTTAGTCCATTTACATTTAAAGTTAATATTGTTATGTGTGAATTTGATCCTGTCATTATGATGTTAGCTGGTGATTTTGCTCATTAGTTGATGCAGTTTCTTCCTAGTCTCGATGGTCTTTACAATTTGGCATGATTTTGCAGCGGCTGGTACTGGTTGTTCCTTTCCATGTTTAGCGCTTCCTTCAGGAGCTCTTTTAGGGCAGGCCTGGTGGTGACAAAATCTCTCAGCAGTTGCTTGTCTGTAAAGTATTTTATTTCTCCTTCATTTATGAAGCTTAGTTTGGCTGGATATGAAATTCTGGGTTGAAAATTCTTTTCTTTAAGAATGTTGAATATTGGCCCCCACTCTCTTCTGGCTTGTAGGGTTTCTGCGGAGAGATCCTCTGTTAGTCTGATGGGCTTCCCTTTGAGGGTAACCCGACCTTTCTCTCTGGCTGCCCTTAACATTTTTTCCTTCATTTCAACTTTGGTGAATCTGACAATTATGTGTCTTGGAGTTGTTCTTCTCGAGGAGTATCTTTGTGGCGTTCTCTGTATTTCCTGAATCTGAACGTTGGCCTGCCTTGCTAGATTGGGGAAGTTCTCCTGGATAATATCCTGCAGAGTGTTTTCCAACTTGGTTCCATTCTCCTCATCACTTTCAGGTACACCAATCAGACGTAGATTTGGTCTTTTCACATAGTCCCATATTTCTTGGAGGCTTTGCTCATTTCTTTTTATTCTTTTTTCTCTAAACTTCCCTTCTCGCTTCATTTGATTCATTTCATCTTCCATTGCTGATACTCTTTCTTCCAGTTGATCGCATCGGCTCCCGAGGCTTCTGCATTCTTCACGTAGTTCTCGAGCCTTGGTTTTCAGCTCCATCAGCTCCTTTAAGCACTTCTCTGTATTGGTTATTCTAGTTATACATTCTTCTAAATTTTTTTCAAAGTTTTCATCTTCTTTGCCTTTGGTTTGAATTTCCTCCTGTAGGTCGGAGTAGTTTGATCGTCTGAAGCCTTCTTCTCTCAACTCATCAAAGTCATTCTCCATCCAGCTTTGTTCCGTTGCTGGTGAGGAACTGCGTTCCTTTGGAGGAGGAGAGGCGCTCTGCTTTTTAGAGTTTCCAGTTTTTCTGTTCTGTTTTTTCCCCATCTTTGTGGTTTTATCTACTTTTGGTCTTTGATGATGGTGATGTATAGAGTCTGTTTTTTTTTAAATAGAACTTTGTTTTTCTGTTCTGCTACCACTGCCCTCATCTCACATCCTCCCCCACCCGCCTTGCCAAGTAAGTTGCAAAAACAGTGGGAGGATCTTAAATAAAAAGACAAATCCAAACCATGTGTATTAAAACATCAAAGGGGAACAAAGAACTGGCAGCAAGATTGTTAATATATCTATAACTTCAGAAAGTCCACAACCATCTCAAGATTTCAACAACAGTAGTACTAACTTTAAAAGAAAAAAATTATGAAGTAGTTATGTGAGAAAGTTATCTACTATGATGCTCTAAGACTATTTAGATCTTGAAAGCATAATAGGGGAATAAAAATGTCATTGGAAGTGATAAATTGCATAATTTACTCAGAAAAAAATTAGTTATAATAGAAATATATTTCCAAAGGAATATGAAGTCACAGCTAAAGCATACAAAGATAGTGCTAAAGAAATTGATTTATTCATAAAACAATTCTTCATTGAGTACTTACTACTAAGCTCTGGGTCCTGGGGATACCACAGTGAACAAAACCGTGAAAGCTGCTTCTCTTACATAGCTTATATCCTAGAGAGGGAAGATAGATGACAAACAATTTAAAATATATATATCAAATTTTAGGTAATAATGAGTGCTATAGGAAAAAATATCATGATAAGAGAAACATTATCCTTGGGTTGGGTACAAGGTTGCTATTCTGTATAGGGTTGTCAGTAAAGGCTTTGTTGGTAATGTGACCTTTGCACAGATAGCTGAAGGAAGTGAAGCAGCAAGCCATGTGGACACCGAAGGAAGAATGTATTAGCCAAAGTGATCAGTAAGTGCAAAGCCTGTGAGGCAGGAGCATGTGTGCCTGTTTGAGGAATGTCAAGGAGAGCTTACTCCTATAAAGTGAAAGGTATAAATACAGGAAGTGAGAGAGATACAGAAAACATGTCGCGTAGGGCCTTGAGGTCATTGTAAGGATTTTACTATAAGGAAGAGGAGATGCATTTGGAGGGGTTTCAACAGGGGAATATCATAAGCCAATGTATGTTTTAACAGGGTCATTCTGGTTGCTATGTTGAAGATCAACTGTGGAGGGCAAGGGAAGAAGCAGAGAAATCCTCTAAGAGGTCATTGTAAAAGTTCAGGAAGGAGATGGTTGGCCTGGGTGGGGTGGAAATGGTGAAATTTTTGAAATACTTAAGAAGAATAGAAAGGTTCCTTGTGAGATGTGAGAAGAAGAGAAGCTGCAAAGATTACTCTAAGGTTTGTAATGAGATTGACTTAACAGATTTGCCATTTACTGAGATGGAGGAGACAATGGAAAGAATAGGTTTGGGTACTGGATATCCAAAGAGGAGATGTCTCTGCAAGCTGAAAATTCAAGAGAAATGCCAGGGATTGAGGGAAAATGTGGGAACTGTCAATATATACATGAAATGTAAAGTTACAGGACTGTATGAGATCATAAAGGGATGGGTATAAATAGAGCAGGAAAGAGGTCCATTGGCTAAGTCTGTGGAATTCTAACACTCTGTGGAGTGGTTTCAAGAGAGAATAATAGGAGAGAAAGTGGAGACAGCCAGTGCATATAGATAGCTTCTTCAAGAAGTGTTTATAAAAAGGGAAGCATAGAGGTGGGATGCTAACTAGAAGGGGAAGTAGGGTAATTGTTTTTTCTTTTTATAATGGGAGATAGTATAGTATAATTACAGAATGATCTAGTAATGAGGAAACATTTAATGACTTGGGAGTAGGAGGGGACATTTCCTAGTGTGATGTCCTTGAGTTGGTGAAAGGGGATGTGTCCTGGTATACAAGTTAGGGTTAGGAAGGAGCTAGGGGTTGGTTAGCTAGGAGTATGTATGATTCTTTTACAGTAACAGGAAGAAAGTCAGAGTACAGTAAAGGGGAGATGTGATAGAATGATAGGGAAGTTCTCACCGTGAAGTTTCTCTCTGAAATACATAGCATATTGTCAGGTCCAGGGTCAGGTTCCAGCCCATGCTGAGGTCTGAAGAGAGGGGGTGGATGGGTGGAAAATAGCTTAAAGAACACTTGGGGGACCATAGGTAGGTGAGATATGGCTTTATTCAGCAGCTCTCTTACACTGTCTGTCTCTGTCTCGGCTGCTTGCTCCAGCCGCTCCCACGCACAGCTGCACGGCTGGCTCTCCCTTCAGGGTCAGCAGCTTAACTCTTTCCCTTTGGGTGCAGGCAAACTGAGCTGTGTCCTGACTCTCCCCTGTCTGTCTGCAAGACCAACAGCTCTGGCTCTCTCTCTCTCTCTCTTTCTCTGGGCATGAGCCTGCCAGTACGTCAGCAGGGCAATTATACCTTTTACAGACAATAGTGGCTTAGAGTCAAATGATGAGCCTCACCATGTTATGGCTACATAGTGTGCGCCTGTGCTCCAATCCTGCTGAGTCATGCAGGGTGTTCACCTTGCCTATGCCTGCTGGGCTGCAGCACAGCCATGTTTCTTACACTCCACCTGCTACTGGGGGAGTCCTTTTAGTGGGGACCCATGCACATAGGGCAGCACCCTGGACCCATAGACCACAGCAACAATACAGGGAGCAACAACCTAATAATAATATTCCTGCTATGGTACTTATGATTATGAGAGCCCAACATAGATTAGAGTCCAGAGATGCCCACCATCTCTGCAGGGGGTCATCAGTAAGGTGTTTAATCACCTTAGCCTCCTCCGTCACCCCTTGTAAAGCTGCTGTTATGTTCTGGTGGTTATCAGGAATAAATGTACAACATTGTGTCCCTATAAGGGCACAGGTGCCACCTTGGGCAGCTGTTAGTATGTCTGAGGCCATCCAGTTTTGCAGCACTACCTTCCTGATCTGATCAACCTTATCAGTTAGCAAACGGAAAGCAACTTGGGTATAATTCAGGACCCAAGCTGTGTGCTCTGCAAGGGCTGTAACTTGCATTTCTGCAGTAATGACACCTGCTCCAGGGATAGTTATTGCTAAGGGGTAGAGCCGCCAGGGGGCCCGCTGTACTCACAAAAACCAGGAATGTGGCACCTCTGTTATATGGGTGACTAGGCAATGTGGGACGCACAGTGGCAGGCACATAAGGGCACCCCCAGGTACAATGTCCAGTCCAATTGGCTGGCAGATATGGCCATCCTGTGTCCCCACAGACCCATAAACTCCCATGGGGCACAAAGCCTGGGGCCCGGCCTTGATAAGGCCACTTGTTCCACCACATCCTCGGTGTGGTAACATGTGTTATGTTTACACAAACCTCAGCAGGCAATCATCCCACAGTGACTTTACCGCCAGTGTTGCTCTATACATTGTGGTACCTGCAATGGGGGCATCACGTGTTCTCCCCTTAGCCAGCACTATTCATCATGGACACTACTAGTCAGCCAGGGGACAGGCTTACCATGGGTTTTGTGACATTCCCTATCCAAAGTTCACCGTGTTACATCCCAACCATTGTCCATGGGACCCCAAGTTTCCAGCCATGTCCAGTTCTTCACAGAAGCTGAATTCATGTACCAGGGCAAGCTGTCTGCAGCTGCCGCTGGAAGAGTGGTGCAGATCCAACAGCTGGAGACATTGATCACCTTGGCGTAAGTGTGGGCCCAGTCCATGATGCTGTTGGGGCATGTCAACCTACAGCCGAAATGACAAAGCAGTCACAGGTACTAACAAGGATAAATTATGTCCCTCAGGCAAAATACAGCCTAAGTTTTCATCTCTGGATAACAATGCGGCTGCCAAGGGCTTCTGCCCTGTGCGATGGTACCACAGCTTATCAGCTTCCCATGGTTCTTTTGGGTTCTGTACGCATGGCAGAGTCACAGGAGAGCTCACGATAGGCCACACAGAAAGTACATATGTCCCCCAGAAGAAGGTCCCTTCCCTGGCTGTTCCTCTACAAACAGTTAATTGTGTAGACTACACATTAAATACCCAAGGAGTAACATGTAAGTCATACTGCAGACCCTCCCTCTAGGGGGCTTTGATAGCCAGCCATCTTCAGTGAGGGGCTTGGAGGGTCCATGGGCAACACCAAATTTTTTTTTCTTTGTTTCCCTACCTTTAGGGGTATCGGGGCAGGCAATAACAGAGTTCGTCCCCATACACCTGGTTGGAGAAGGTCATTCTTGCTCTCATAGATCTGGCCACATGGCCTGGCTCTACATGGTCTATGACTAACTAGCTAATTCTGTAACTTTCAGGTAATTAACCACAAGGTTAAGCCTTGATAAACTGCCCAGCTATTGACATAGATTACCATAGGTGTCACCTCCTTGGTGATTGCCATCCACACTGCTCTAAGTTTAGCTCATTGGCTGCTTTGTCCAACACTTGGTATCAAACCATGTAGTGTCAGTACTAGGCTGGACTGCAGCAGCAACCCAGGCAGCAGCAGTACTATGGCTAGACCTGTCTGTATACTATGCTCCATCAGGAATGGGGAGGTAGCTCAGGTCCCACGGCCTTATCTTGCATTAGGACTATAGGCTTCAAGACCTCTTGTAACTCTGCTACTAAGGGACTTGCACTCAGTGTACTTTGCTGCTCCAAGTAGGCACCCCACTTTGCTCAAGTGGATGTCTGTGCCATCCCAGTCTGCAGGGTTGTTACCCATGAACGTACCTACCCTGCTGTTGGGTAAGTCATCTACGTGATGACTGTAGCCTGTCTTGCCATGTTCTTATGAGCCTGAAGGGCAGCATATGCAGTTACTGACTGTTTTCCCAGTCCGGGGGGTTGTTATCCATGAATGCACCCATTTTGCTATTACTAACTGCTTTTCTATCAAGGAATACCAGAGCTCAGCTCCCTTCCATAGTTGGGACCAAAAACCTACTGGCATATTCAGGTGCCCTGTGTGCTGCTATAGGCCCTAACTGAAACTATCTGTGGTCACATGCACATCAAGTTCAAATGGGCACTCCTGGCTAACTACCCGTAAGGCTTTGTGCCTGCTAAGTATCCCGCTTGGGTACCAGAAAGACTGTCTCAGCTGCATCATCTCAATCCCAGGCAAGAGGGGAATTGCCATTTCTAAACCTGCAAGAGAATCAGAGGTTAGCATAACATCATTAACAAGACCATGACATATGATGGTGCTATGCATATAGCGCTGCAGGAACACTGTGAAAGTCCATTGTCGCCCTCCCATAAAGGCAAACTGTTCTTGGCTCTCTGGAGCAATGTTAATGGAGAATAATGCATTAGCTAAGTCTACCACAAAGTGATACTGTTCCAATTTCATTGTCAAGTGGTCCATCAAATAAATGATGGAGGATACAGCTACATGCAGAGGGGGTGGTACTTTATTCAGTTCCTGATAATCCACTGTCATCTGCCAAATCCAATTAGGCTTTCTGACTGGCCATACTGGGAAATTATAGGGGTATGGGTGCTACACACAATTTGCACCTCCTCTAACTTCTTAATAGTCTCAGTTATCTCCATATGCCCCCTGGCAAATGGTATTGACAAGTGGAGGTAACTCATAAGGGTTGTGGCAGAACTTGGGGCTGGTGATGTGTATGCCCATGCAGTACCAGCTTTACTACATGAACTCAGAGTCTGAATTCTCTGGCTGTGGTGTGTAAGTCCATGCAAAATGTCTGCCCCTAGAATATAGTCAGGTATGGGAGAGACATACACAGCATATAGGCGGGCAGCCAAGTGGCCATTGCCAAGATGCAGAGACACAGATTTCACTTTCACTGACTGGCCCTCATAACCATCAATAAATGCAGCTTTGCCCGGAAACCTACCCAGGTTCCCATAAACAAGACTGCAGTCTGCACCAGTATCTACCAGTGCTAGGACCCACTGTACATTAGTTGGGGACCAGAGGATTGCCAGCTCCACATATGGCCTCTGGTCATCTGGTTCCCTCACAAGCCGGCCATCTCGGCCGGTTCCCTAATCAAACAGGAATGGCCCTGCATCTTTGTCTGTCTGCAAATAGTCCTTGAGTTGAAGCGTCCAGGTGGGGCTGGTTTGAGCAACATTGTTTTGCCCCCTCTTGGGCATTTTCCAGAATTGCTGCTCCAGGGAAAGTTGCCTCCACAGAGCCAATAGCATTGCATTGGGTTGCCTGTCAATTTTCTCCTGAGCAACCCTTGCTGCAATTAAATCAATCCACATCTGCATGTGGGTCACCTGCTGGGACCCCTTTTTATCTCATGGGGTGGTTACCTGTGGATGAGGAGTGTTCACCTTCTTTATGGTACAAACTCCCCAGTCCTGCCAATGGCCTTCTGTCTCCCCGAGAGTTGCCATAGTAATAGTCACTTCATGTATGCAGCCCTCCACATACAGGGTGAGAACAGTGGCTAGAGAGGCAAAAGCACTCAGTGGGGCTGAGCCCAGCATAAGATCCCTCATGTGGGAGACAAAGTGTTCATCATCTGGCCCCAGGTATTTGGATCAAACATAGCCTGCCGCATACCCAGCTCATGGGGTACTTGCACCAAATCAGTATACGACTGCTATCTACTGACAGTTTTTGCTATTTCACGTGCATCAGTTCAGACTGTAATTAAAGAAGCCAGCTTTTTCATCTTGGAGGTGGAGCAGGAAACGTGTCAGCTCCTTCATCGCAGAGATGGAGCATTCAGGCAGAGAGGGGCTCCCCTGGATGTTGCTGGCATTGCTTACCTAACTTCCACAACTCAGTGGGGGTGTAAGCACAATAAGAGGTGTGTTCCACCACTGTGAGGGGTCCCTGGGCTCTCCCCTGGGGTCCCATCAGATGCTCATGTTCTATCTTCTGACAGATCACGGGGTGAGCCCGCAGCTGGGGAGCCTCCTCCTCCTCCTCAGCATCAGACCTAACAGGTGTTTCCAGCCGGGAGGATGGGCTCAAGGTCGCACTCACAGCTGTTGCTAACTCCTGTTCTGGACTGTTTCTCTGGGCCTCTAAGTACCCTGCTTATGCCTAGAGGTCCTTCACCCCCAGGTTTTGCTCCAAGCTGTGAATTTGGGCCCCCAGACATGTGGCTTGTGCCTGGAGGTCCCTTACCTGGGAAGCCTCTGGTAGAGACTGGCAGTGCCATCAAAAACAACCATTCAACTGTGCCAGCGAAGGTGCGTTCCTTCTCAGTGCTGCATGCTTCCAGCTGCTTCAGTACTTTCTCTATACTCTCGGTAGACCTGTCCACCGCCTCCCACATTTCCACTGGGGCCTATCCTAGCAGTACCACTTCCACTGGGTACCACAGCCAGTGCTGCGCTACACAGCTGACCTGGGAGCCCTCAGTGGCTGAAGACCTACTCATCTCATCCTGCCGACTATGCCAATTTTCAGGTCTAGGGTCAGGTTTCAGCCCATGCTGAGGTCCACAGGGAGTGGGTGGATGGGTGGCAGATAGCTGAAAGAATGTATGTAGATGAAATATGGCTTTATTCAGCAGCTCTTTTACACTGTTTTTACTATCTCGGCTGCTTCCTCCGGCCACTCCCATGTACAGCTGCATGGCTAGCTCTCCCTTCAGGGTTAGCAGCTCAACTCTTTCCCTCTGGGCACAAGCAAGCTGAGCTGTGTCCTGGCACCCCCCTGTCCACTTGCAAGACCAACATCTCTGACTGTTTCTCTGGGTGTGAGTGTGCCTGTACAGTGTCAGCAGGGAAATTATACCTTTTACAGACAATAGTGGCTTACAGCCAAATGATGAGCCTTCCCATGTTATGGCTACATAGTGTGCGCCTGTGCTACAATCCCGCTGAGTCATGCAGGATGTTTACCTTGCCTATGTCTGCTTGGCTGCAGCGCAGCCATGTTCCTTACACAAGGTCATGAACTGATTTATGTAGAGAAGGAAAGAAGTTTAAGGTGAGAAGAGGAGTGATCAGTGGAGTAGAGAAATGCAGTAGGGTTCCCTACTTGAGGTCAGGCATCAATAATTTAAATAAAGATCAATCAGCGGGTTTATGTGCTTTTCTCTACCTTCATTTAGCTACAGGTGCAGAGTAGCTCACAGTTTACATCACAAATGGATTCAGGATTAGAGGACAAGAAGGTTGAGGGTATATGGTAGGGATTGATTATAATAGTTTACGGCAGCTAAGATAGGTATAGGGGGAAGGGAAGCAATGAATAAAAACATGATCTATGGTTATGGCTAAAAACATGGCCTCGGGTAGGTCCACAAGAGTGTTTAACTGAGGCCAGGAGCAGTGTGGTTCATGCCTGTAACCCCAGCACTTTGGGAGGCCGAGGCAGGTGGATCACTTGAGGCCAGGAGTTTGATACCAGTCTGGCCAACATGGTGAAATCCCGTCTCTACTAAAAATACAAAAATTAACAGGGTGTGGTGGCGCATGTCTGTAATCCCAGCTACTAGGGTGGCTGAGGCAGGAAAATCGCTTGAACCCAGGAGGTGGAGGTTGGAGTGAGCTGAGATCATGTCACTGCATTCCAGCCTGGGAGACAGAGTGAGATTCCGTCTCAAAAAAACAAAACAGAAACAGAGTGTTTAACTGAAGTAGAGTGGAGAACAAGATTGGGAAGCAGAGGCTAATGAACTGAAAAGCTAGAGGTTAGAAGAATTATCACCCTGGACATTGAAATTGCCAAGTAATGTGTCAGAAATATTATGAAAAAGTGATAGTGGCCAGGTGCTAATATTCTTCAAGACATGTTAGGGATGATTCAGGGGTCTGTAAATGGCTACAAAAAGGAAGGGTAGAAAGTAGTGGAGTCTGAGACATGATTTTCAAGACAGGGATTTTTAAAGAAAGTAGGGACCATGTTAGAGAAGTGGTACTGAAGAGGAAGCTGAACATTTATCCACATTCTAGACACAGGTACAAGGACTGTGGGAAAGAAATCAGCTGTCATCTGAGAGGGCTGAAGGGAAAGCAGTAGCCTCAGGAAAAAGATAGTTTTCTTATTTACTTTTTTAGAGACAGGGTCTCACTCTGTTGCCCATGCTAGAGAGCAGTGTCATGATCATAGCTCACTGCAGCCTCAGACTCCCAGGCTCAGGTGATCCTCCCACCTCAGCCACTAAGTAGCTGGGACTATAGGTGCATGCCACCACTCCCAGTTTTTTTTTTTTTTTTTTTTTTTAACTTTTGTAGAGACAAGATCTCACTATGTTACTCAGGCTGGTCTTGAACTCCTGGATTCAAGTGATCTTCCCACCTCAGCCTCCCAAAGCGCTAGGATTATAGGCATGAGCCACCGTGCCTGGCCTAGAGACAGTTTTCAATTAGAGCAACAAGGTAAAAGGATTATTCAGAGAAGAGATTGTGTTTACAGGTGGTTCAGCTGATAGTGGCCTGTCAATTCCAGAGGGAATAGTTGAAAGGTTTTGAAAATTGGGGAAAGGAAGACATGGAATCCAATTAAGAGATGTACAGCTCTATAAGGAGATGAAAGTGTGGGGAGATGATCTTGGGCTCCAGAAGATGACTTACATAAATGGAGATATTGGAAATGATGGCATTGGTCATTGTGGTCTCAAAGTGAAGCACAACGGTGAGGATCTGAGCATTGAGGTGGCAAGGTCAGGATATGACAAGGTTGTGTGGAGCTCTGGGGCACATTTGGAAAATTTGTTAGCAAAGCCATCAAGGCTTAGAGTTTCTTTGTTGGAAGGTTTTCAATTATGGATTCAATTTCTTTGCTAGATCTAGGACTCTTCAGATTTTCAATTTCTTCTTTTGTCAGTTTTGGTAAGTTGTATTTTTCAAAGAATTTGTCCATTTTATCTCATTTTTCAAATTTGTTGGCATTAAGTTATTAATAATAGCTTTTTTTTTTTTTTTGAGATAGGGTCTCACTCTCTCACCCAGGCTGGAGTGCAGTGGCACCATCTTGGTGCAATGCAACCTCCGCCTCCCAGGTTCAAGCAATTCTCCTGACTCAGCCTCCTGAGTAGCTAGGGAGTTTTTGTATTTTTGTGTTTTTAGTAGAATCAGGGTTTCATCACTTTGGCCAGGGTGGTCTTGAACTCCTGACCCCAGGTGATCCACCTGCCTTGACCTCCCAAAGTGCTGGGCTTACAGACGTGAGCCATCGTGCCTAGCTATATCATTTTTTAAACCCCTTACTTATATATAGTATATGCCCAGTAAATATTTATTGAATGAATGTTGTTCACTAATATAAAGTCAGAAAAATGTTCGATCTGCCAGTAAGTAATTTAGTGTTGATAATTTAGGTTTACCTTGTAAAATTGCTTAGGTTTATAGAAAAGGAAACACAAAAGATGGAATGGAATATAATTTCTATTCAAGATCACATAATTTATATTTCTTAATATCGTCTATTATGTTTATACATTTCAGTTGCATAAAATAAACAGAAAACTCTTTAGATTTGAATATTACAGATCTTTAAATGGAATTTTTGAAAAATATTTTGGAAAATACTGTCCTTGCATTTAGGGAGGGTACCTCACATTTAGAATTGTTCAAAAGTTAAATTCTGGTGTAGTTCTAGTAATTCTAATCACATATTAGAACTACTTATGACTCTTTGAATGAGAGTCAGTATTAACTACAAGAATGTGCCACCACACCCGGCTAAGTTTTTTATTTTTAGTAGAGATGGGGTTTCACCATGTTGGCCAGGCTGGATCTTTTTAATGTCTGTAGATTTAATAGTAATCTGTTTTTTTAAAATTTATTTAATTAACATTTTTCTCTTTATTTGATCAGTGTTACTAGCACTTTATCAATTTGATTGACCTTTTCAAAGAATCAAATTTTGTCTTTGTTATTTCTATTACATGTATGTTTTCTCTTTCATTAACTTTGCTATTTTATTTTATTATTTCCTTCTTTCTCCTTTGTTTGGGTTTAATTTGTTGTTCTTTTGCTTGATTATAGAGTTCTATTACAGATTTACAACCTTGCTTTTTTCTCATAAATGTGTTTAGAACTATATAATTTTCCCTAAGTACTGCTTTGGCTGCATTCCATGTTTTTATATTTCATGTTTTCATTATCATTCTGATCAAAATATTTTCTAATTTTCCCCTTGATTACTTGTTTAATTTATGGGTTATTTAAAAATATGTTACTTAATTTCTGAACATTGGAGATTTTAGGTTTTTTTTTTGTTATTGAGTTCTGATTTAATTTCACAACATGGATAGTGTATACTATATGATGTATTAATATATGTATATTGACTATATTGACAATATACATCAATCCTTTGGTTATTTTGCGTGATATTTTTTAAAAAACTAATTGGAGATATGTCTTATGAGTAGAAGGCATAAGAATTAGTGATGGATTATTGGGATGAGGGTGAGGCAGATAAGGAGGTCAATACTAGGTCATATTTTGTGTTTTTTACGGTCCTTGACACTTGTGATCATATATTAGAATTACCTATGACTCTTTGAATGAGAATCAGTATTTACAAAACCTACTGGCCATGAAATTCCCCAAGTACTTTGGGAAATGCCTACTAGACCCTTTCTTTTACATGTAGGGAGGGTATCTTATATTTATAATAGTTCATATATTAAATTCCAGTTATGAAAACTTGTATTTAAAGCAATTTGCTTTTTCCTTTAGGGCACAGTTTATATTATTTTTTTGTTTTGTTTTGTTTTTGTTTGCTTGAGATGGAGGTTTGCTCTGTTGCCCAGGCTGGAGTGCAGTGCCATGATTGGGCTCACTGCAATCCCCACCTCCCTGGTTCAAGCGATTCT
Organism: Homo sapiens; assembly: GCF_000001405.40. Taxonomy (NCBI): domain Eukaryota; kingdom Metazoa; phylum Chordata; class Mammalia; order Primates; family Hominidae; genus Homo; species Homo sapiens. The sequence continues at coordinate 53,283,251 of NC_000014.9, forward strand.
CCTGCCTCAACCTTCCATGTTGTTGGGATTACAGGTGCCTGCCATCATGCCCAGCTAATTTTTGTATTTTTAGTAGAATCGGGGTTTCACCACGTTGGCCAGGGTGGTCTCAAACTCCTGACCTCAGGTGATCCGCCCACCTTGACCTCCCAAAGTACTGGGATTACAGACGTGAGCCACCGTGCCCAGCTATATCATTTTTTAAACCCCTCACTTATATATAGTATTTGCCCAGTAAATATTCATTGAGTGAATGTTTTTCACTAATATAAAGTCAGAAAAATGTTCGATCTGCCAGTAAGTAGTTTAGTGTTGATAATTTAGGTTTACCTTGTAAAATTGCTTAGGTTTATAGAAAAGGAAACACAAAAGATGGAATATAATTTCTATTCAAGATCACATAATTTATATTTCTTAATATCTTCTATTATGTTTATACATTTCAGTTGTATAAAATAAACAGAAAACTCTTTAGATTTGAATATTACAGATCTTTAAATGGAATTTTTGAAAAATATTTTGGAAAATGCTGTCCTTGCATTTAGGGAGGGTACCCCACATTTAGAATTGTTCAAAAGTTAAATTCTAGTTATGAAATCCTCCATTTAAAGCAATCTTTGTTTTCTTCAGCTCTTCTCTTTACATTTAATATAAATTAGTTTTCTGAAATCTAACATTTTAAGCTAAAATTTCAAGAGTCACCTCTTTTTGCCAAATAATACCTTCTTCCTTACACGTAAGCTTAAGTATCACTATTAATGGAAAAGAAAATGTATGTTTCTAATGCTGCAGTTATGGTGCTTGATTTTGGAGGAAAGTCATTGATTTGGCAAGAAAATTCTACAGCAATAACTGTCTTTCACTAGATAGTGGACAAAACACTGTCTTTGTGTTCAAGATCAAAATGTTACTGCTTTCCTGATGTAAGTTTCCTCTTTCATTTTTAAAGGCATGATCCAATTATTTTGATATGTTGTTAGCAAAGTGGCTTTGGTGTGTCAAGTATAATGCTTAATTGTTTGCATCCTATCAAATGTAATGCCACCATTAAATTTTTCCCTTAAGTCACTCAAGTACTCAAGCAGCTAATAAAAAGCCCAATTCTTAGTCTTATTGTAAAAACAGTCCCAGGCAGTTGAATTGGCAATCAATTGTTTCTGTAAATTCCTTCTTTACCAAATAATTTCTTAAGTTCACATATATCTAGTAGAGAGAAGATACAGGAAGCTCCCTGAATTTTCTGAAAGGCAGGAACCTTAAACTATTCAGGGTGATAAACTACATGGTTCTATGTTATTATATACTATATAATTTATTTTTTTTACTCAATGTATGGTAATGGTCCTGTTGTGGTCTGGCATCTTCTGGGCACTTACTTCAACTTTAGAACCTAATACTATTCCAGGGTTAGATTCCAAAGGTAACATAAGGACAAAAGTAATGAGGGTGGCCGGGTGTACTGGCTCATGCCTGTAATCCCAGCACTTTGGCAGGCCAAGGTTGGTGGATCACCTGAGGTCAGGAGTTTGAGACCAGCCTGGCCAACATGGTGAAACCCTGTCTCTACTAAAAATACAAAAATTAGCCAGGTGTGGCAGCACGTGCCTGTAATCCCAGCTACTCGGGAGGCTGAGGCAGGAGAATCGGCTTGAACCCAGGAGGCGGAGCTTGCAGTGAGCCGAGATTGCACCACTGCACTCCAGCCTGGGTGACAGAGCAAGACTCTGTCTCAAAAAAAAAAAAAAAAAAATTATCAGTATCATCTGAGAGGTTATTCAAAATGCAAATTTTTAGGCTTATTGAATCAGGGTCTATGGTGGTGGATTCTAAGAATCTGGTTTTAACAAGCTGTTAAATCAAGTTTAGCCTAAAGCTGCCTCCTTACATAGTTTAAGTTCAGTTTAAAGGCTTCTCTAGACATCGTGAACTGTAACCTAAATGGAATTGTAAACCCACCGTACCCTACTCTCGTGCCAACCACTGAGTTTTGGCCAATCAAATGTGGCCAACTGCTCAAACCATGTTCAAATAAGGCAAACACCAAGCTGTAACCAGCTTGGTGGTTACAGTTTCTGTAACTTGGTGGGTACAGTTTCTGACTGTTTCTGTACCTCACTTCTATTTTCTGTATTTAACTTTCCTTTTTCTGTCTTCCACTATGTGGCTGCGCTGGAGTCTCTGAGCCTACTCTGGCTCAGGAGACTGCCTGATTCACAATTGGTTCTTTGCTCAAGTAACTCCTTTAAATTTAATTTGGATAAAGGTTTTTTTTTTTGTTTGTTTGTTTGTTTTTTTAACAAAGCTCTTTGGGTGATTTTGATGTATGCTTAAGTTTGAGAATCTTTGCAGCATTCCCCACCCCTTATTCTAGCAAAGGGTTTGATGGTTATGTTTATGGAAAATTGGTTTGTAGGCCCAGATATCCAGATGTTCCTATTGTTTCAGAATCTCAAACTTGAGTGACCATGGAATTATGTAAATAGAGGACTTGTCTTAGTCTGTTTTGTGTTGCTCTAACAAAATACCAGAGACTGGGTAATTTATAAAGAAAAAAAAATTATTTTCTTATAGTTCTGGAGGCTGGGAAGTCCAAGATCAAGGTGCTGGCAGGTTCCATGTCTCGTGAGGGCTGCTCTCTGCTTCCAGGATGGCACATTGATGCTTCATCCTCTGGAGAAAAGGAACATTGTGTCCTCACGTGGTGGAATGTGGAAGGGCAATAAAAGACAAACTCCCTCCAAGCCCTTTTATAGGAGCCTTATGTATTCATTCATAAGGGCGGAGTAACTCAAGGGTTTTTCTTTAAGGGCTTTCTACTTTTGCCATCCATCTATGATGCCTTTGCAATCGAATCTTGCATAATATATAATCTCACACTGTCATTACAACATCATGATTTACTAGAGTGATTAAAACTTTGTGGTATACTGCAGTATTTCTAGTTAAACTGAGGGGTAAACTGCAGATGCTTTTAATGTCAACCATAATTGTAAGACATTTTTTCTAAAATATATCTTTCCCCTGATTTATTTAGTAGATTGTAATAATGCTAGGTACTTCCTTTGATAATTTGAGATATTAACATATTTCAAAATGATCCTTATGGATATCATTGTGTACTAGTATTTATAAAGAATATTTATATTAATGGGCTGAATCTGTACAAATTAGGAAATATTTTAAGGATACAGCAATTTGCTTACCAGTTAAGGACTGGGACTGGTGGAAGTTGTTTGCACAGCTGGGAAAAATCTTTTATCACTGATATTAAAATTGCCAGCTCAAGGGGATATTACAAAACAGGCCAACTTCTAGTTTGTTTTACCATTGTTTTAAACTTCTGTACAAAAAAATACAGCCCTTTGTTGACTATACTCATGGCAGACTAATCCCATGGCCCCATCCTTGGTATACCACTAGAATACAGAGTACTAGAGAGAATAATATAATGAATATCTTTCTACTTATCTTCTGGCTTAGTCAAATCTTAATATTTTATCATAGTGACTTTAGATTTTTATTATAATGAAATAAAACATTACGTTTATAACTGAAACTCCTGTGTAATTTTTTCCTCTGTTCTCTTCCTAGAGGTAGCCACTATGTTAAATTTCATTTTCTGCATTCCTATGCGTATTTTTATCTTTTATCTTGGTGTACATATGCGTGTACTGCAAAACAATATGGCTTCTGCATATCCATAAACAATACAGTATTATTATTATTAATTAGGCTTTTAATTTTCAGGTAATTGTATGTTCACATGCAATTGTAAGAAATAATACAGAGATCGCTTGTACTCTTAGCCCAGTTTCTCCCAGTAGTTCTCCCAGTTTCCAATTGCAAAATTATAGAGCAATGATTACAACCAGGATGTTGACATTAATATGGTGAAGATATAGAACATTTCTATCACTAAAAGGATTCCTCATGTTGCTCTTTTACAGCCACACTTACCTTCCTCTTGCCCCATCCATTCTTTAACCACTGGCAACCACAAATCTGTCCTCCATTTCTAGAATTTTATCATTTCAGGAATGTTACGTAAATGTAATCATATGGTATGTGTACCTTTTGATATTGGCCTTTTTTCACTCAGTGTATTTCTCTGGAGATTCATCCAGGTTGTTTCACATATCAAAAGTTTGTTCCTTTCTAGTGATGGGTAGTATTCCATGGTATGGCTATACCATGATTGTTTTGTTTTCAGTTTGAGACTATGAAGAATAAAGCTATAAACATTTGTGTACAGGTTTTTATGTGAACAGATTTTCAATTTTCTGGGATAAATGCCCAGCAGTTAATGCTGGGTCAAGTGGTAGTTGCATGTTTAGTTGTTTCCCCTTATTTAAAAAAAAGTGGTGAAATACACATAACATTAAATTTACCATCTTAACTATTTTAAAGTGTACAATTCAGTGGTATTAAATACATTTATAACGTTGTGCAACTATCACCACTATCTTTGGAACTCTTATCAGCGTGTAAGGCTGAAATTATATCCATTAAACATTCATCCAATCCATTAAATTGTTTCCAGTAAATCCCCATTACCCCGGTAACCACCCTTCTACTTTCTGCCTCTATGATTTTAACTACTCTAAGAACACTAAATGGAACCATGCAATACTTTTCTTTTTGTGACTTGCTTATTTCCCTTAGCTCAGGTTTCATCCATGTTATAGCATATGTCAGAATTTTCTCCCTTTTTAAGCCGGAATAGTATTTCATTGTATGTACATACCACGTTTTGCTTATCCATTCATTCATCAATGAACACTTGGGTTATTGCCATGTTTTAGCTATTGTGAATAATGCTGCTATCAACATGAGTGCACAAATACATGTTGGAGTTCTGCTTTCAAATCTTTTGGGGATATATATCCAGAAAAGGAACTGCTGAATATATGGTAATTCTTTTTAAATTTCTGAGGAATTGCCATTTGTTTTCCACAGAGGCTCCACTATTTTACATTTCCACCAATAGTGCACCAAAGTGCTGATTATTCCACATCCTTGCCAACACTTGCTATTCTTTTTTTTTAGAGTAGCCATTTTAATGAGTGTGAGGTGGCATCTCACTTTAGTTTTAATTTGCATTTCCCTAAAGATAAGTGGTATTGAGCATCTTATATGCTTATTGGCCATTTGTGTAACTTCTTTGAATAAATGTCTGCTCAAATCCCTCATCCATTTTTGAATTGTTTTTGTTGTTGAGTTTTAGGAGTTCTCTATACACTGGATATTAATCCCTTGTCAGATATAGAATTTGCAAATATTTTCTCCCTTTCCGTGAGTTCCCTTTTTACTCTGACAATGTTTTTGATGCTTAAACATTTTTCAATTTTCATGAAGTTAAATTTATCTATTTTTTCTTCTGTTGCCTGTGCCTTTGGTGCCATATCCGATAAATTATTGTCAAATCTAATGTAAAGCTTTTCCTTATGTCTTCTTCTAAGAACATCATAGTTTTAGGTCTCACATTTAGGTATTTGATTCATTTTGAGTTAAGTTTTCTGTACGGTGTTTGGTAAGGGTTCAACTTCATTATTTTGCATGAGGATATCCAGTTTTCCTACTACCATGTGCTGAAAAGACTGTCCTTTCCCTATAGAATGGCCTTGGCACCTGTGATATTGTGATTTATAACAAGAAATAAATACAGTATTAGGTTTTCATCCTTATTTCCTGGCATACAACTCCTAAAATCCTTGGAATCTCCAAAGTGGTGTGTCTTTTTGTATCCCCGTGCATAGACTGATGACTGGAAGTCCCTAGGTAGTTTTAGGATGGGGGCTGGTCACCAGAAGGACCAAGGCATGATTAGAGGATTGGAACATTTGCCTCATCTCCCAACCCTCAGGGAGAGGAAAGGGGCTGCAGGTTAAGTTGATCACCAATGGCCAATAATTTAGTCAATCAAGTCTATTAAATGAAGCCTCTATAAAATTCCAAAAGAAACTGAATCGGGGGAGCTTCCTGATAACTGAACATGAGGAGGTTCCTGGAGGGCGGTGCCCCAGAAAGGGCATGGAAGTTCTGTACCCCTTCCCCCCGCCTTTCCTTATGTATCTCTTCATCAGGTGTCCATCACATCCTTTGCACTGTCCTTTATAATAAACTAGTAAACATGTTTTCCTGAGTTCTGTGAGCCATCCTGGCAAATTAATCAAACTTGGGACATGGGTCATGGGAACTCCAATTTATAGTCTATTGGTCAGAAGTATAGGTGACAATCTATTACTTGTGTCTGAAATGAGGGCACTCTTGTGGAACTGAGCCCTCAACTTGTGGTATCTGATGCTATCTCCAGCTAGATAGTGTCAGAATTGAATTGAGCTGGGGGACACCGAGCTGGTGTGCCATAAAGAATCTGCCAAAGACTTGGTTGCTTGTAGGGAGAAATCCCTACCCACATTTTGGTGACTAGAGCTCACAGAAGTGATCTGTGTTGTGAGTAGAGTAAAAAATCAAGTGTTTTTCCTCTCAGAGCACCCTTGTTAAAAAAATCATTTGACCAAGTATGTGAGGGTTTATATGCCTGCCTTTATGCCAGTGCCACACTGTTTTGATTACTGTAGCTTTGTAGTAAGTTTTGATATTAGAAAGTGTGAATCCTCCAGCTTTGTTCTTCATTTTCAAGATTGTTTTGACTATTCAAGGTCCCTTGAAATCCCATATGAATTTTAGAATTTAAAAAAAATTCTGCAAAAACTGTCATTGAAATTTTAATAGAAGTACATTTCAACATGACATTTGGGGGGACAAATACCCAAACTGTATCAATATGCATTTAGGGATGATGGCCACCACCTACTCTAGTGTTATAAGATTTAAATGTCATCAGAGACAAGCCATTCATACAAAGACTTGGAAACACCTTTCCTAGCTGTGGTCTCTGGGCAGCTGCATCTTGCAGGAGTGACTTGTTCCACCCGGGTCCACCATTTCAATGCATTTGTCATCATCTATCATCATGACCATCACAGCAGCTAATATTTACTAACCCTTACTGTTTTCCAGGCACTATGTAAATTACTTTACATGCATTATTTTACTTGTTTCTCATAACAACCTTATAAAGTAGGCACTATAATTTATCTCCAGTTTATACTCAAGGAAACCAAAGCCTAAAACAAATTAAATGCTTGCTCAGAGCAACTAGCCAGGATTCAAACTCAGGAAATCACAGCCCAGCTTCTAAGCTCTTAACCACTGTGCTGCATTGCATTTCTTTATTACTTTATGATTATTTTTTAATTTGCAAAAGGAAGAGATAGAAGTCTAATTATAAGAATGCCATTTATATAGCATCAAAGAAAAATCAGGAGCATTTTCGATAAAAATCTCTATATTGTGTGTGATTTAAAATCCTCAGTCATTGACTTGGGCTCAGGATAGTGTGCTTATCCATTAGTTATTTTTCCTCCCACCTTCAAAAATTATTAATATGTAAACATTCTTAAAAGTGTGGAAACATGCCATAATGTAACATTATTTTTGCATATTCCTACCTTTATTCTTGTGGATGTCTTTTGCTTTTGCTTGTTGTAGTTTTAGTGTACATATAACTTAACTTTTTTTAAGATTAGCATTATAAGCATGTTTCCATACTATATAATCTTTATAATGATCATTTGAGTAGATGTGTTATAATTTACTTACCCATTGTCCTACTGTTAGACATAATACTTGCACAAATCACTTTCAAAGAACATTTTCATGCATATTACTTTTTCTATCATTTGAGTTATTTTCCCAAGATAAATTTCTTGTGGGGGGAAATTACTAGGCCAGTGGGCTGATCATTTCTATGGTTTCTTATACTGTTTAATATCAGACACATGGTTAGAATTGGGAGTGCTGACTGAATCAGAGCCAAATGAGGTCATTACAGCACTGTCTCTATAGAGTATTTTCATGACATATCAATATATTGCTGACAATTGATGTTAATTAGAGGTTTACTTGCCGAATGTCTTAACTTCTTGGCGTTCTCTATGGTTGTTCTAATGGTTAATGTGGTTAGGTCTGGTGCATGACCCCACATCTATCTGAGATTTATACTCCTTGAATTGCAGTAATGTTCAGTGTACATTTTAATCATTGAAATAATTATAGGTTTTTAAACTTCCTCTGGAAAACAATTATTTGTTAGCATTTCATGCATATTACTTTTTCTTTCATTTGGGTTATTTTCCCAAGATAAATTTCTTATGGGGGGATATTACTAGGCCAGTGGGCTGATCATTTCTATGGTTTCTTATACTGTTTAATATCAGACACATGATTGGAAATGGGAGTGCTAACTGAATCAGAGTCAAATGAGGTCATCATAGCACTGTCTCTATAGAGATATTTTCATGACATATCAATATATTGCTGACAATTGATGTTAATTAGAGGTTTACTTGCTGAATGTCTTAACTTCTTGGCGTTCTCTGTGGCTGTTCTAATGGTTGATGTGGTTAGGTCTGGTGCATGACCCCACATCTATCTGAGATTTATACTCCTTGAATTGCAATAATGTTCAGTGTACGTTTTAATCATTGAAATAATCATAGGTTTTTTTTTATTTCTCTAGAAAACAATTATTTGTTAGCATTTTTAAAACCTCAGAGGACAAAATAGAATTTAATGAAGGGAAAATAGAACATAGAGATGTGGACAAAGGGAAGTATCATGACATGCTTATGATCTTTGTCCAATTGTGCCCACCCTGCTATGCTGCTGACCGTCACACTAATCCATTAGGGCTTCACAAGGGAGCACGAGCCGGGTGTTCATGACTTGCTGAACTGATTTCTGGGAGAGTTTGGATGATGTACAAGTGACTAGCTATATATGCATGTGCCGAATTAGACAAACCTCCTTCAGTTTCAATTGGATGGTACTACCTACCCCTTTTCTGCTCTTGCACTTCTTCAGCTTAGCCAGCAGGCCTTGAACCCTAATGTAGTACCCCAAGCGAGCCACTCTCTTGGTGCTGTGGTCATGGCCTCTGTTGAGGCACCCTGGATCTCATCACTCATCCCTTTGCCCCAGAACCTTGATAGGCAACTCTTCCTTATTAGGGAAAGCATGTATCACTAAATTCTTGATGGAGACTGAAGCCAATATTTTATTACATATTGATATTTTTAGAGATACCAAACTTAAGATATTAAGCAATGACATCAGACCCAATATCAGATTTCTCAATGAGACATTTTGAGTGTGGCTGTTTGTTTGTTCCCTCATTTTACACTCTGTGAAGGTTAATATCGCATGTTGCCTCATACATTGCCTAAGCTCACCTGTTCTGCCTGCCAGTGACTGTGGCTTCGGTTGTTGCTCACAGCTGTTCAGGTGCAGATCACCTGCTCTTAACTTCTCCATTGGCTACTTGCTCTGTCTTTTGTACTCAAAACCCAAGAGTTGGATATTTTATCTTTCTAGTTCCACTTCTCACTGGGTCCATGGAGGTCTCCTGGCCTGACGCTCCTATGGGCAATGGTGACAAGGCAAAAATGAGGTATGAAAGAGACACTGGTGAACATCCCATCACATAACTGCCTGTGTTGATTTACTGTTTCTTGCCTCTTTGTTGACAATTGATGCTTCACTCCATTTCCTCAGCTGCTGCTTTGCATTATTATGGTGGTGATTATGGTATTCTAGCCTGGCTACGTTGCTTCTAAGTAAACACCTCTCTCGTTTCAGCCTGGCCCCAAATTCTTCCTACCCTGATGCTGTTGCTGATATGGCCAGTGTTTTTCCTGGGCTGGCATAGCCTTGGTCAGCTAGAGCTGAGAAGCACTTGCCAATTTACTTCAGGCACCACCCAGTCCATATTGCTTATTTAGGATACAAGTTTGGTCCACAGGTGTTTGAGTTTGCAACCCTTGAACAGGCTTTTTAGCCTCATACCTGCGTGCCTGCAGGCTCTCTGCCCACTTGTATTTTCCTGAGTTCCCAGGACTATATCTTATATTTGCGAAAGTTGTTTTGTGGCCTTGTTTTTGGCACCCTGAGCTAGATGCTGCCACCACAGTTGCTGTTATTGGTGCTCTCTTGGGTACAGATCTTTACCAATGACCCCAGCCACTGTCAATTTGCTCAGAGCTGTAATGGTTCTAACTTTCCCGAAAGTACAGGGACACACTCTTTCTTTCTTCAGTACCATGATCTGTTAGAGGGGTCTCCAAGTAAAATTGCTGGGCCTTGCGTAGTTTAATGAGAGCTCTGCAGTTTCACACGCCTAGGGGTACCTGGACTCCTCCATGAGGCTGGGTTAGGCCAGGATCAAGCAACAGTAGCCATTTCTGCATCTTGAAACCAGTGCTCCCTTCTGTGTATTAACCCCGTGGAGGAGTCTGGATTCTTTAGGATGATTTTTTTTCAGAGGTCCTGAAATGGGACACTTTACAGTTTGAATCTGTTGGATCTCCCTGCTCCACTTCGGAGTTCCCACAAGTTTATGTATTTCCGAACGCCACTTGCAGTTTTCAACTTTCTCCCCAGGAAGCCTCTCAACCTCCCCGAAAACTGGAGAATGCAATAGATACGGTGAAGGAGGGTTGTCTAGCCTTACCTCCGTAGTCCTGAAATATATTTACATTTTAATCTCAACCCCAGACAGAATGCCTTTATGAAGTTTAGCACCTGGCTCCCTCAAACATAACTGTAATGATGTATCTGATTTGCATTGGTGCCCCCTAAATGCCTGGCACAGGACTTTGTGCATAATTGGTGTTCGGTTATGTTTTAATTGAATGATTAAAGATTTGATGGGATAAAGATGTTTAAAGACAAAGAAAAAATTTGTTTACAGCAAAGTTGAGGTTGGACTGCACAAGTTTTCAGTCTGCACCTTTACTTTCAGAACTATTCATTTTCCAATTGGAAATGCTTGAGGGGCTTTAAGGCATCTGGATAACAATCTTTTCTGGACTGTAAAGATGGAGACCAACACCCAAAGATGTCACAACAAGTGCATATCACCTGATATGAAATAAAAATTAAGCTTAAAAACAGTTTGTTAGCATAATCTTATTTTAAAAAGGAATTTGCATAGAGAAAAGACTGAAGGACATATGGCATGACTATTAATAACATTCCTGTGAGCAATAATACTATGGTGAACTTTTATCCTTTCTTTTTGATTATTTCTTCCTTTCCTTTCTTTCTTTCCTTTCTTTCTTTTTTTTTTTTTGACAGAGTCTCGCTCTGTTGCCCAGGCTAGAGCGCAGTGGTGTGATCTCGGCTCATAGCAAGCTCCACCTCCCGGGTTCACGCCATTCTCTCCCCTCAGCCTCCAGAATATCTGGGACTACAGGCGCCCGTCACCATGCCTGGCTAATTTTTTGTATGTTTAGTAGAGATGGGGTTTCACTGTGTTAGCCAGGATGGTCTCGATCTCCTGACCTTGTGATCTGCCAGCCTCGGCCTCCCAAAGTGCTAGAATTACAGGCATGAGCCCCCGTGCCTGGCCGATTTCTACTTTCTTAAAGCTATGACAATGAACATATTTTTGTAACACAATATTAAATATAATGTCTTACTATTTTATTTTATTATACTTGTATGTGATTTTAATTAAAGGAAGCAAACAGAATGCACAATATGGAGCCCTCTGAGTTACTCTTGGTAACAGATTGACTTGAAAACAAATGCATGCCTAAGTGAATTATATTCCTGAGAAATTCTAATGGAAAAGTATATGAGCCATCTCAGGTATTCCACCAGGAGGAGACTATCTGGAGGTAATAACACTTGTCAAAGGAATAGAGTGTTGGCATCCTTTTTTTTTTTTTTTTTGAGACAGAGTCTTGCTCTGTTGCCCAGGCTGGAATGCAGTGGTACAATCTTGGCTCACTGCAACCTCTGCCTCCTGCGTTCAAGCAATTCTCCTGACTCAGCCTCCCAAGTAGCTGGGATTACAGGTGCCTGTCACCACGCCTGGCTAATTTTTTGTACTTTTAGTAGAGACGGCGTTTCGCCATGTTGACCAGGCTGGTCTCAAACTCCTGACCTGAGGTGATCCATCTGCCTCTGCCTCCCAAAGTGCTGAGATTACAGGCGTGAACCGCCGTGCCTGGGCTGGCATCCTTTATATAACAGAGAATGGGTAGCTTTTCATTATGCCGTATGTACACAGGGGTAAGAAAAAACAAAACAGAGAAATGTTCACATGGAATCTCAAAGGACCTTTGTGCCAAGGAAAAGTTATTTTTATTAGGGGAATCCTATGAAATACTTTTTCTCATTGTGATCCCCATCACTGTTGTTGTCATCATTTGTGATAATAGCAGTATATCATGGCGAGGAAGGCCTTGACCTTGGCATTCCACAGGCAAGTTTGAATCCTGGCTCTGTTACTCACCCTGTGACTCTCAACCAATCATTTAACTTTCTTATTGTCAGCTTCTTAATTTTTAAACTGGTAGATAATAATGCCAACTTGATATGGTTCTTATGAGGATCGAGGTAACATCAGTAAAGAACATAATGCTTTTGGCATGTAATAAGCATTCGATGCAGACAAGTGCATATTGCTATTAAGGATAACGATAGGAATTGTTGGTATCATTTATTGATACCTGTTATATCCAGGGAATTATTTTTATTTCCTTTATGCCTTTCTTTCACTTATTCCTTAAATCAACTTTTGATATGAATGAGAAAACTGGAGCCCCACAGAGTTTAAGTTAACCTGCCTAAGGTAAAGAAAGTGGCAATAAAAAAAAAGCTACAGCTGAGATTTGGACCTATATTGATGTGATTCAGATTTTTACTCAGGTGGCTCAATATTCCACAGAATTAAGGTTTGATGATGTACTATTTATATAGTGATTTATTTTTGGTAATTACCGATAATAAACTTTGACTAGCTTTTCAGCAAAACTTTATGGTAGAAAAAAATATTTATCTGACCACCAGAGGGCGCTTGACCAAAGTTCTGTAATTACACTCACCACTCAGAACCTCTCACATCGTTACATTCTACAGCGAAATAATTTGCCAGGTTCCATGTAGGTAAAACAGCAAAAGGCAGCAGTCCATACAATGAAGTAAATGTGTTTATTTTTGAAATAGAGTTGTCTTAGGTAGTCAGACTACGGGAATCCGGGAATACGGGAATCCCCTTTTGGACTATTTTCGGACATCCGTCCTTAGGCACACAATTTATTTAATGAATGTAATCCATTTTGATTTGTATTAAAGTAGCATCTGATTTAATAATTTGATGGTAACTTTCAGCTTAATCAGATTTTCATTAGTTAATTATTTGAAGGTATTTAGTTAAATACTTGAAATTTGAGGTTTATGGTAGAAGTGGCAAGTAGCCATTCATTCTGGCTGCACAGTAAGCAAGGGCATCTACTTCATTGTCCCCAAAGGAACTGACCTATGTTTTGTGAAGACGGTTTGATTAAATAAAAGCAATTTTGTCATCATTTAACAAGCAGTTTACCAATTGAGCACGTGTAGGGAGTATTATTTTCGCTCTGTCAGTCTTGGGAATTTCTGTAGTTTATAAAGTGTACAAAATCTGTTCTTCTAGGCACTTAACATGTAGCACTTTGTGTCAATTGTAATTACAAGGACATGCACAGCCATTCCTGTATTTGAAACCTGCTCAGAATATCTGCAGTTTAAATTTGCCAATGGAGAAATCATCCTACAATTTTAACAGAGTAAATATGAAATGAGAAGGATAAATTCTTATTTATTAAGGATCCAATTATTCAGTTTTTAGATCACATGAGTTATTTTGCTCCTCATTCACTCGACAGTTATGAATTGGTGCACAGTTTAATAAATACACACTGAATGGATAAATAATTAAGTGAATGAGTACTTCTCATATGCAAGGCACAGGTCTAGGTGCTGTGGGTCGTGTAAAACGAAGTTTATATGGTTTCTGATCTCTAACAAGTTTATGACATGGCTGGAAGATCAGGTGCATGTAAAAACAAGTGAAATAACACAAGAGTTAAGTAACAGTAAAAGGCATCACAAGAAAGATATAGTTAAATTCCAACTGAATGCTACAAAGAATGAGCGCCATGAATTTGAAGAAGAAGTTACGGTCAGGGTGGGCCTTATGGAGGAGGTGAGAGATAAGCTGGGCCTAAAATGTGAGAAAATTGGTGGAAGCAGAGGGCACTTTCAAATGGTGAAGGAAGTAGAATGAAAAAAAATGGAGCGAACCAAAGCAAGGAAGATGGATGGGAATGTACAGCGTATTAGTACATGTGGAGTATGAGAAAGTATACAGGCCCAGGCTTTTCAAACTAGGGCACTCACCTCCCTGGTGGAAGAGTTGTCCCCACAGTATAAACGGGGAGCACTCCCTCCAATGCCAGTTTCAACTGGAAAATATGAAGAAGGAATATTAAATAATTTAACTGGCAGATAAATTAAATGTTTAATATTAAAACAAATGTGGATGTATTATAACAGAGAGTTGATGAGATGGAAGCCCAGAAAGTTTGTGACTTGTTCAAGGTTGTGTAACTTGTTCAGAGGACAAGTCTAGCTGGAAGGCAGCATTGGGCAGGTTGTTCTCAGTCTTGAATATCATGGTCAAGTGTGTACTTTGCTTTTGCTCTACTATTATGTCCTTTTATATCACTTGACTGCTCATTAACTTCCCTGCCAAAAGGTGGTCAGGAAAAATAATAAAAGGAATTTGAACAAACTCATCACTTTTTTCCTTCTTGTTGATAGTGCTTATATGAGGATTAAGAAAAAATGATATCAAAGCTTTCAAATGAAGTTTGAAAATCATTTGTTAATTGAAATCATTTCAGTGTTCCCTGAACCCTATTGTTAACAGAGATAATATAGTTGGATATAAATAAAATGTACTGTGATGGCTAACAGGGGGACTATATGTTTTTCAGATCTGGGACACATTTGATTTTTGAGAAGAAATAGATTATTCATTTGGCAGGAAGTACTGGTTGAGTACTGCCAGTACAAATACTTTTTTAGGCCCTGAAAAATAGTCTCCCATCTTTAATGATGACCTGGCTGAAAAGAAAGCCTTGAACCTCAGGTGGGTGGGCTGGATTTCTTTTGTAGTCATAGGGCAAAGCTCTGAAGACATTTCCAGAATATCTCATCAGCAGAATGATTTTTTTAAAGTTTATTTTATTTTATTTTATTATTATTATTATACTTTAAGTTTTAGGGTACATGTGCAAAATGTGCAGGTTAGTTACATATGCATACATGTGCCATGCTGGTGTGCTGCACCCATCAACTCATCATTTACATTAGGTATATCTCCTAATGCTATCCCTCCCCCCTCCCCCCACCCCACAACAGTCCCCAGAGTGTGATGTTACCCTTCCTGTGTCCATGTGTTCTCATTGTTCAGTTTCCACCTATGAGTGAGAACATGCAGTGTTTGATTTTTTGTCCTTGCGATAGTTTACTGAGAATGATGATTTCCAATTTCATCCATGTCCCTACAAAGGACGTGAACTCATCATTTTTTATGGCTGCATAGTATTCCATGGTGTATATGTGCCACATTTTCTTAATCCAATCTATCATTGTTGGACATTTGGGTTGGTTCCAAGTCTTTGCTATTGTGAATAGTGCCGCAGTAAACATATGTGTGCATGTGTCTTTATAGCAGCATGATTTATAGTCCTTTGGGTATATACCCAGTAATGGGATGGCTGGGTCAAATGGTATTTCTAGTTCTAGATCCCTGAGGAATCCCCACACTGACTTCTACAATGGTTGAACTAGTTTACAGTCCCACCAACAGTGTACAAGTGTTCCTATTTCTCCACATCCTCTCCAGCACCTGTTGTTTCCTGACTTTTTAATGATTGCCATTCTAACTGGTATGAGATGGTATCTCATTGTGGTTTTGATTTGCATTTCTCTGATGGCCAGTGATGGTGAGCATTTTTTCATGTGTTTTTTGGCAGCATAAATGTCTTCTTTTGAGAAGTGTCTGTTCATGTTCTTCACCCACTTTTTGATGGGGTTGTTTGTTTTTTCTTGTAAGTTTGTTTGAGTTCATTATAGATTCTGGATATTAGCCCTTTGTCAGATGAGTAGGTTGCAAAAATTTTCTCCCATTTTGTAGGTTGCCTGTTCACTCTGATGGTAGTTTCTTTTGCTGTGCAGAAGCTCTTTAGTTTAATTAGATCCCATTTGTCAATTTTGGCTTTTGTTGCCATTGCTTTTGGTGTTTTAGACATGAAGTCCTTGCCCATGCCTATGTCCTGAATGGTATTGCCTAGGTTTTCTTCTAGGGTTTTTATGGTTTTAGGTCTTTAATCCATCTTGAATTGATTTTTGTATAAGGTGTAAGGAATGGATCCAGTTTCAGCTTTCTACATATGGCTAGCCAGTTTTCCCAGCACCATTTATTAAATAGGGAATCCTTTCCCCATTGCTTGTTTTTCTCAGGTTTGTCAAAGATCAGATAGTTGTAGATAAGCGGCATTATTTCTGAGGGCTCTGTTCTGTTCCATTGATCTATATCTCTGTTTTGGTACCAGTACCACGCTGTTTTGGTTACTGTAGCCTTGTAGTATAGTTTGAAGTCAGGTAGCGTGGATGCCTCCAGCTTTGTTCTTTTGGCTTAGGATTGACTTGGCGATGCGGGCTCTTTTTTGGTTCCATATGAACTTTAAAGTAGTTTTTTCAATTCTGTGAAGAAAGTCATTGGTAGCTTGATGGGGATGGCATTGAATCTATAAATTACCTTGGGCAGTATGGCCATTTTCATGATATTGATTCTTCCTACCCATGAGCATGGACTGTTCTTCCATTTGTTTGTATCCTCTTTTATTTCATTGAGCAGTGGTTTGTAGTTCTCCTTGAAGAGGTCCTTCACGTCCCTTGTAAGTTGGATTCCTAGGTATTTTATTCTCTTTGAAGCAATTGTGAATGGGAGTTCACTCATGATTTGACTCTCTGTTTGTCTGTTATTGGTGTATAAGAATGCTTGTGATTTTTGCACATTGATTTTGTATCCTGAGAGTTTGCTGAAGTTGCTTATCAGCTTAAGGAGATTTTGGGCTGAGATGATGGGGTTTTCTAGATATACAATCATGTCATCTGCAAACAGGGACAATTTGACTTCCTCTTTTCCTAATTGAATACCCTTTATTTCCTTCTCCTGCCTGATTGCCCTGGCCAGAACTTCCAACACTATGTTGAATAGGAGTGGTGAGAGAGGGCATCCCTGTCTTGTGCCAGTTTTCAAAGGGAATGCTTCCAGTTTTTGCCCATTCAGTATGATATTGGCTGTGGGTTTGTCATAGGTAGCTCTTATTATTTTGAGATACATCCCATCAATACCTAATTTCTTGAGAGTTTTTAGCATGAAGTGTTGTTGAATTTTGTCAAAGGCCTTTTCTGCATCTATTGAGATAATCATGTGGTTTTTGTCTTTGGTTCTGTTTATATGCTGGATTACATTTATTGATTTGCGTATATTGAACCAGCCTTGCATCCCAGGGATGAAGCCCACTTGATCATGGTGGATAAGCTTTTTGATGTGCTGCTGGATTCGTTTTGTCAGTATTTTATTGAGGATTTTTGCATCAATGTTCATCAAGGATATTGGTCTAAAATTCTCTTTTTTGGTTGTGTCTCTGCCTGGCTTTGATATCAGGATGATGCTGGCCTCATAAAATGAGTTAGGGGGGATTCCCTCTTTTTCCATTGATTGGAATAGTTTCAGAAGGAATGGTACCAGTTCCTCCTTGTACCTCTGGTAGAATTCGCCTGTGAATCCATCTGGTCCTGGACTTTTTTTGGTTGGTAAGCTATTGATTATTGCCACAATTTCAGAACCTGTTATTGGTCTATTCAGAGATTCAACTTCTTCCTGGTTTAGTCGTGGGAGAGTGTATGTGTCGAGGAATTTATCCATTTCTTCTAGATTTTCTAGTTTATTTGCATAGAGGTGTTTGTAGTATTCTCTGATGGTAGTTTGTATTTCTGTGGGATCGGTGGTGATATCTCCTTTATCATTTTTTGTTGTGTCTATTTGATTCTTCTCTCTTTTCTTCTTTATTAGTCTTTCTAGCAGTCTATTGATATTGTTGATCCTTTCAAAAAACCAGCTCCTGGATTCATTAATTTTTTGAAGGGTTTTTTGTGTCTCTATTTCCTTCAGTTCTGCTCTGATTTTACTTATTTCTTGCCTTCTGCTAGCTTTTGAATGTGTTTGTTCTTGCTTTTCTAGTTCTTTTAATTGTGATGTTAGGGTGTCAATTTTGGATCTTTCCTGCTTTCTCTTGTGGGCATTTAATGCTATGAATTTCCCTGTACACACTGCTTTGAATGTGTCCCAGAGATTCTGGTATGTTGTGTCTTTGTTCTCGTTGGTTTCAAAGAACATCTTTATTTCTGCCGTCATTTCGTTATGTACCCAGTAGTCATTCAGGAGCAGGTTGTTCACTTTCCATGTAGTTGAGTGGTTTTGAGTGAGTTTCTTAATCCTGAGTTCTAGTTTGATTGCACTGTGGTCTGAGAGACAGTTTGTTTTAATATCTGTTCTTTTACATTTGCTGAGGAGAGCTTTACTTCCAACTATGTGGTCAGTTTTGGAATAGGTGTGGTGTGGTGCTGAAAAGAATGTATATTCTGTTGATTTGGGGTGGAGAGTTCTGTAGATGTCTATTAGGTCTGCTTGGTGCAGAGCTGAGTTCAATTCCTGGGTATCCTTGTTAACTTTCTGTCTCGTTGATCTGTCTAATGTTGACAGTGGGGTGTTAAAGTCTCCCATTATTATTGTGTGGGAGTCTAAGTCTCTTTGTAGGTCACTAAGGACTTGCTTTATGAATCTGGGTGCTCCTGTATTGGGTGCATATATATTTAGGATAGTTAGCTCTTCTTGTTGAATTGATCCCTTTACCATTATGTAATGGCCTTCTTTGTCTCTTCTGATCTTTGTTGGTTTAAAGTCTGTTTTATCCGAGACTAGGATTGCAACCCCTGCCTTTTTTTGTTTTCCATTTGCTTGGTAGATCTTCCTCCATCCTTTTGTTTTGAGCCTATGTGTGTCTCTGCACGTGAGATGGGTTTCCTGAATACAGCACACTGATGGGTCTTGACTCTTTATCCAATTTGCCAGTCTGTGTCTTTTAATTGGAGCATTTAGTCCATTTACATTTAAAGTTAATATTGTTATGTGTGAATTTGATCCTGTCATTATGATGTTAGCTGGTGATTTTGCTCGTTAGTTGATGCAGTCTCTTCCTAGCCTCGATGGTCTTTACAATTTGGCATGATTTTGCAGTGGCTGGTACCGGTTGTTCCTTTCCATGTTTAGTGCTTCCTTCAGGAGCTCTTTTAGGGCAGGCCTGGTGGTGACAAAATCTCTCAGCATTTGCTTGTCTGTAGAGGATTTTATTTCTCCTTCACTTATGAAGCTTAGTTTGGCTGGATATGAAATTCTGAGTTGAAAATTCTTTTCTTTAAGAATGTTGAATATTGGTCCCCACTCTCTTCTGGCTTGTAGAGTTTCTGCTGAGAGATCCGCTATTAGTCTGATGGGCTTCCCTTTGTGGGTAACCCGACCTTTCTCTCTGGCTGCCCTTAACATTTTTTCCTTCATTTCAACTTTGGTGAATCTGACAATTATGTGTCTTGGAGATGCTCTTCTTGAGGAGTATCTTTGTGGCATTCTCTGTATTTCCTGAATCTGAATGTTGGCCTGCCTTGCTAGATTGGGGAAGTTCTCCTGGATGATATCCTGCAGAGTGTTTTCCAACCTGGTTGCATTCTCACCGTCACTTTCAGGTACACCAATCAGACGTAGATTTGGTCTTTTCACATAGTCCCGTATTTCTTGGAGGCTTTGTTCGTTTCTTTTTATTCTTTTTTCTCTAAACTTCCCTTCTCGCTTCATTTCATTCATTTCATCTTCCATCACTGATACCCTTTCTTCCAGTTGATTCCATCGGCTCCTGAGGCTTCTGCATTCTTCACGTAGTTCTCGAGCCTTGGCTTTCAGCTGCATCACCTCCTTTAAGCACTTCTCTGTATTGGTTATTCTAGTTATACATTCGTCTAAATTTTTTTCAAAGTTTTTAACTTCTTTGCCTTTGGTTTTAATTTCCTCCTGTAGCTCGGAGTAGTTTGATCGTCTGAAGCCTTCTTCTCTCAACTCGTCAAAGTCATTTTCCATCCAGCTTTGTTCCGTTGCTGGTGAGGAACTGCGTTCCTTTGGAGGAGGAGAGGTGTTCTGCTTTTTAGAGTTTCCAGTTTTTCCATCAGCAGAATGATTTTAAGGACTGAACTAAAATCTAGAGAAAATGATTGAGAAATTTTGAGTAATTAGTCTCCAAAAGTTAAGGATGAGCTTTGGCCTTAGGATATTAAATGACTTGGGATAAGGAGCAGCAGCTCATGCCTATAATCCCAGCACTTTGGGAGGCTGAGATGGGCAGATCACCTGAGATCAGGAGTTCAAGACCAGCCTGGCCAACATGGCAAAACCCTGTCTCTACTGAAAATATAAAAATTAGCTGGATATGATGGTGCATGCTACTCGGGAGGCTGAGGCAGGAGAATTGCTTGAACTTGGGAGATGGAGGTTGTAGTGTGTGGAGATTGGGTCATTGCACTCCAGCCTGAGCAACAGAGCAAGACTCCGTCTCACAGAAAAAAAAAAAGACATGGGACACGTAGTATCCTTTGAAGTACTTATGGCACAACTTGCCTCTTAGAAGTTCTTGAAGATATGGAAGGAGAGCAAAGTGATGTGTGTTGTAGAAAACAGATGCTGCTGATTTGAATGAAGGTTCAACGTGAGAGCTTGGTCCATAAAGCAGACCCATGGACCTAGTCTACCCTACACTAACCTGCCTCCCCCACACGCACAAACTGTGGAGGAGAACGCCCCCACACATTCTGGCTCTGTTTCCCCTTGTACTGTGGGAATTTGAGCCTCCTTATCCTCACAAATGGTTCTGAAAGCCCTCAAAAGAGTATATCACCAGTGTATTATTTTCCAATTTCTGCTGTAACACATTACCACAGTCTTAGTGGCTTAAAACCACACACACTTATCTTATATAGTTCTGGGGGCTGTAAGTCTAAAATGGGTCGGCAGAGCCATGCTGCCTTGGGAAGCTCCACGGGAAAACCCATTTCGTTGCCTTTTCCAGCTTCTGAAGACTTCCTACATTTCTTAGCTTGAGGCCTCTTTCTTTATCTTTAAAGCCAGCAGTGCAGCATCTTTGTATCTCTCTCTGACCACTGCTTCTGTTGTTGTATCTTCTTCTCTGATTCTGACTCTCCTTCCTCCCTTTTCTAAGGACCCTGTGATTGATTGTCTTGGGCCCACCACATAATCCAGGATAATGTCCCCATCTCAACGTCCTTAATCACATCTACAATGTCCCTTTTGCCCTGTAAGGTAATGCACTCACAGCTTCTGGGGTTTAGGACGTGGGCATCTTTGGGGGGTCTTTATTCCACTACCGCAGCCAGTTCTCTGAGAACTAGTTGTTTTTGTCACAGCAGGAGGTCTGTGATTTTTCTTCTTCTGATACTGGGTCATTAAATGCTGGCTTCATTTGCAGCTGGGGCCTCTTCTTCATGAATGGCAGATGCAGCAGCAGTGTCACAGATGCCTCCCAAAGGCACCCTCTCTCTGTGGATGCTGCCAGTCTCCAAGATTGAGGATGGTGATGTCAGCCCTACGGCTGCCCAAGGCCAGTGCTGTTTTTATTGTTTCCACCACCATCAACACAGCCAGCAGCATGAGGGGGGCCAATAATGTCAACAGGTTTCAGCATTTTCTCCATCATCACCCTTGGGACTTGGATGTGAGTCTCCTGGATAAGCTGAGCGATGGTCACCCTGCTTTGTTAATGACCACACCACCCCTTGAACCCTGGCCCATTGGTTTTGAACCAGCTTCTCTCTTTCCCTTTGGGGTCATTCTGTCCCAGGAGGCTCCTCTGTTCCTCCTTACACCACAGCTGTCCTTCCAGGCTCAGATATTTTGGAATCTCAGTGTAAACACAGCTGGGACTCAGGCTGCCACGTAACACATGCTTCTCTTAGGCTACCTTCCCAAGTGTTTACATTCCATGCTGGAAGAACTTGGCTCCTTCAACAAACTCAGAGAAAGAATCAGTACAGTTCCTAATTTTTCACACTTTCTACCTAGTCTAGGATTGAGCATCTGGATCCAATTGGAGGCCACTTGTCCTAATTTAGCACTTCCTATTAATTTGTAAGGAATTACTATTGAAATACATAATTTAGCAACTTCAGATTTTACAAGCTATGGCAAGTGCCATACCAAATAGGATTTGACTGGATTTATTGCTGTTGAAAAGGAAATCTTTGATTTTTCTCCTCCTAGCTACTATTGATTCATTTCATACCAGAGTGTATAAAATTGGACCTATAGAAAACATTTTCTTCCCTCCCTTGATCTGGTTGGAAAAAATGTTTTCATTTCATGAAATAAACAGTGAAAGAATTTTCATGAATATGTATGTAGTTTTAATGAGTTTTGTTTCTCATGATGAAATGTATTAATATTTTATATGTTGCCCTCCCGGGAAATGGAGGAATCTGAGATCCTAGACTAGCTGCAGTTTGTCCAACAGGAATCAATATTCATAATGCTCAGGACAGTGGAACCTAATTCCCAGAACCTCTGGTTGTGGAGGCTGACCTGGGCAGAGGAGGCAGGCTGAGGAGGCATTGTTGCAGTAGGGAATATCCTGCACATACCCAGCTTCTTCACCTGGGTGGCGAGGACACAGGTTGCTGAAGACTCAGGAATGTGTATGCAAGTCTTTAAGGAGTAGGAAATGGGAGGGAGATGAGGGGTGGGCATGGTGGGAGGCTCCTGAGAGATATAAAAACAGGGTTCCAGTAGTTGGACTGTCGTCCTTCCACAGGCCTTTTCATTGATGTGCAAGAGTCATCTTTTGGTACCACTTCCTGGGGACGTTTCCTCCCTCGAGATTGATAACTGAGAATAACCCTAGCCATACTGGAATATAATTCCTGATATCCTGAAAGTGTATTTTCACATTCAGATATACAACTATACCCAGGTGTACCTATTCCCGTTAATTTTGGGCATGGCGCGGTAGCTGAGGCCCATGGATTGAAACAAAGACCGCTTCTGCCATCTGCTGGGCACTCTGAGGAACTCAAAGGATTTTTCCACAGGAAGAGGGGGAGTTTGATGAATTTCGTTTCAAATTTACTTTAGCACTTGAGAATTTAGCCAAGTATTAAACAGATTAATTTTTGCCTTTGTGAAGGCTTGCATGACTTTGATCATTCAGTCGTTTTAATGAACTCAACGTGGTTGTTTCCGATTTGGCCTTGAAAGCCTTGGCATGTCGCCGTGCTCTGAGTGGGAGCCTCGCTGCCTCCAGCTTGGGTTTCTCAGTTTTGGCAGGGCTTTCCTTCCCACTGATGGAAGATTTACAGAGGAAAAAAAAATCATTATGTCTGAAATTCTGCCAGGATACATCAGCGTATTTCCAGGCTGCCATCTACCGTGTAACTCTCTGAAGATTTAATATGAAAATTAAAAAAAAAATTGCAGTGCACCTGCTCCTAAGGAAAACTACCTTGTCGTAGGATCGCATGCTTTTATTAAATTAGAGAATTTTAAATTGTATTTATGAGGATGTACAACTTGGGTTTCTTCCCTTAGGCTTCCTGGTCTCTGTGTTAAGTACAACTTGCCTCCAAGGTCACCCTCCCACCCTCCATAATTAGCCCAGAAATTTAACAGGGGCTTCTGGCAGCAGTTTTACCCAGCAAGCTTAGCGTAGCACTATTTGTGGTCAGATCCTGAGTGATTCAGCAGCTCTACTATCCTTAGAGTCTTGTCTCATCCCACACAAAGCCCTTTTCAGACCCAGTTTGACATTCTGATATTGTACCATGGCCCCGCAGGGTCAGGGAGTATAATGTGGTGATTCAATAGCTGTCTTGGAGCAGAAAAAGGGCATTCAGTGGTGGGTTAAAGGGCAGGCTGGTGACAAGGAGGGAGCAAGACAACATTCTACAGATTCTGCAGCTTTGCTTGGCTAGGAGCGAAACATCTCACCTCGAAAAATGGCTTCAGAGGCACAAAAATTATTTTCTTTGTTACTTAGCTTTTTAGTATCAGGACCTCAGACCTGAGTTGGTAGGGTATGACTAGATAGGAGAAGTTCCTCTCTGTGGGGTCCCTTCCTTGGCATACTGTTTTGTGGTAAATGGACTGAAACAGAATTCATTGAAGTCAACTGAAGTCACTGAGAATGTCTGCTTAAGTTGTTGAACATTACAGTTTTGGTGATATGCTTGGAAGCTAAAATCCATGACGGGCTTCTCCAAATTTTATCCTCTTATTTTCTTTGACTGGTTTCTGTACCTGGTCCAGTTTTAAAAGCTATTTGTGACCATGCTGGATGTCAGAATAAGAGAGCACTCAAGAGAAGTGAGATTATTGGGTTTGGTCCATGGGATATTTCATACCTAGAGTAGCCTTCCATTTCAGAGCTATTTTAAAGCTGGTTCCTCACTTTGTTGAGAGCAGTTGAGAGCAAACTGATGGATGGGGATGTGAGAAATAAGTTCTCCTGGACATGATTTGCAGTCTATACATATTTACCTTTTAGAGAAAAAGGAAATGACAGCCACAATTTGTCCTTCGCTGATTAACATGCCATTTCTCACTGTTTTGATAAGCAACAACAACAATAAATCCCACCTCTTGCCATATTTCTCAGACCTGGGAAACTTGTGTTAAGTCAAACTTTGTTCCAAGTTGACTGTCCCACTCTGAGGGCAACTTGAAGGGGTGACAATGCCTAGATGATCTGAGTTTTACTAATACTAAGCAAATTGTGGTTATTTGCTTCGGGCAGACTGAAAGGAAATTTATCCTTGCAACATTTATGAAGATCTTGTTTGCTAAGCAACTTAGTATTATCAAGGAAGGTGGGATTGTATTGTAGAGAACTGCTTTGCTAGATAGCAGGACATTTAGGATCTGGTTTCATTCTGGCACTCACCAACTGTGTGATCCTGGCTTTTATCTTTTTAGCCTAAGTTTCCTCATCTGGAAAGTGGTTGGCATGATGATTTCTGTAGTCCTTTTAAGTTTTAGAATACCATAATCTACCTTTGCAAGAAGAAGAGTCATTTTTGAGGAATATAGATAACATTCTAATTAATCTCGTATCTTCATTTAAATAGACTTTGAAATATTATGTGAGCAGTTAAAATATAGCCCCTATTCATCTATATGTCTATCTCTCATCTACCTCTTTTTTCATTCTTTTCATTCATCTGCCTACCTGTATATATAATATTGGGTTATCAAGTAGGCAGATTAAGCCTGTACTCAAGCAGTGGTACCAAAAATATTTTGGAAATAATTTGATATATGAAAAAACTTATCAAAATGGTCATTCTGAGAAAAATTACCTTTATTAATTTCTTTATACCGATTTTATGTGTTAACATTGTATATATGGGAAGTAGTAGTCTTGTAACCTTTTAGTTTTTAGGGCTTCTATAGGTATTTATTTATTTATTTATTTAATTAATTTCAATAGTTTTTTTTGGGGAACAGGTGGTGTTTGGTTGCATGGAAAAGTTCTTCAGTGGTGATTCTGAGATTTTGGTACACCTGAGCAGTGTACACTGCACCCTATTTGTAGTCTTTTATCCCTTACCCCCCTCCCACGCTTCACCCTGAGTCCCCAGAATCCATTATTTTATTCTTAGGTGTTTGGGTCCTCATAGCTTAGCTTCCACTTATAAATGAAAACATGTGACTTTTGGTTTTCCATTTCCGAGTTACTTCATTTAGAATAATGGTCTCCAACTCCATCCAGGTTGCTACAAATGCCATTATTTCATTCCTTTTTATGGCTCAGTAGTATTCCATGGTGTGTGTGTGTGTGTGTGTGTGTGTGTGTGTGTATGTATGTATCTCACATTTTCTTTATCCACTTGTTGGTTGCTTTCATGTTTTTGCAATTGAGAATTGTGCTGCTATAAACGTGTGTGCAAGTGTGTTTTTTCATATAATAACTTATTTTCCTCTGGGTAGATACCCAGTAGTGGGACTGCTGGATCAAATTGTAGTTCTACTTTTAGTTCTTTAAGGAATCCCCATACTATTTTCGATAGTGTTTGTACCAGTTTACATACCCACCAGAAGTATAAAAGTGTTGCCTTTTCACCACATCCGTGCCAACATCTGTTAACATTGTTTTGGTCAATCTTTCCCACTTGGAATGGCTGTATTTGCCCAATGCCTGTACCCCTGTTGTATCTAGGAAGTAATTAACATGCTTTTAATTTTACAAGCTTATAGGTGGAAGGGACTTGCCTTTTCTCAGATGAGACTTTTGACTGTGGACTTTTGAGTTAATGCTGAAATGAGTTAAGACTTTAGGGGACTGTTGGGAAGCCATCATTGGTCTTGAAATGTGAGGACATGAGATTTGGGAGGGGCCAGGGGTGAAATGATATGGTTTGGCTGTGTTGCCACCCAAATCTCATCTTGAATTCCCATGTGTTGTGGGAGGACCTGGTGGGAAGTAATTGAATCATGGGGTAGGTCTTTCACATGGGAAAGAGGTTTCCCTGCACAAGTTCTCTTTCCCTGCTGCCATCCATTTAAGACATGACTTGCTCCTCCTTGCCTTCCACCATGATTGTGAGGCCTACCCAGCCATGTGGAACTGTAGTCCATTAAACCTGTTTATTTTGTAAATTGCCCAGTCTCAGGTATGTCTTTATCAGCAGCATGGAAACAGACCAATACATCACCCTAATACCAAAACCAGGAAAGGACATAACAAAAAAAGGAAAACTACAGACCAATATCCCTGATAAAAACAGATGCAAAAATCCTCCACAAGATACTAGCTAACCAAATTCAACAGCATATCAAAAAGATAATACACCGTGATCAAGTGGGTTTCATACCAGGGATGGTTTAACATGTGCAAATCAATAAATGTGATACATCACATAAACAGAATTAAAAACAAAAATTATATGATCATCTCAACAGATGCAGAAAAAGCATTTGGCAAAATCCAGCATCGCTTTGTGATTAAAATCAGCAAAATCGGCATATAAGAAACATACCTTAAGGTAATAAAAGCCATCTAGGACAAACACACGGCCAACATTATACTGAATGGGGAAAAGTTGGAAGCATTCTTCTTGAGAACTGGAATAAGACAAGGATGCCCAGTTTCACCACTGCTATTCAACATTGTACTGGAAGTCCTAGCCAGAGCAATTAGACAAGAGAAACACATAAAGGACATCCAAATAGGTAAAGAGGAAGTGAAACTGTCACTGTTCTTTGATGACATAATTATATACCTAGAAAACCCCAAAGACTCACTCAAAAAGCTCCTAGGTCTGATATATGAATTCAATAAAGTTTCAGCATACAAAATCAATGTACACAAATCAGTAGCACCGCTATACACCAACAACGATCAAGCTGAGAATCAAATCAAGAACTCAACCCCTTTTACAACAGCTGTGAAGAAAAATAAAGTACTTAGGAATATACCTAACCAAAGAGGCAAAAGATGTCTACAAGGAAACCTACAAAACACTGCTGAAAGAAATCATAGATGACACAAACAAATGGAAACACATTCTCTCATGGATGGGTAGAATCAATATTGTGAAAATGGCCATACTGCCAAAAGCAATCTACAGATTCAATGCAATTTACATCAAAATGCCATCATCATTCTTCACAGAACTAGAAAAAACAATCCTAAAATTCATATGGAACCAAAAAAAAAAAAAAAAAAAAGACTGCACATGGCCAAAGCAAGACTAAGCAAAAAGAACAAATCTGGAGGCATCACATTAGCCAAATTCAAACTATACTACAAGGATATAGTTACCAAAACAGCATGGTACTGGTATAAAAGTAGGCATGTAGACCAATGGAACAGAATAGAAAACCCAGAAATAAAGCCAAATATTTATAGCCAACTGATCTTCAACAAAGCAAACAAAAACAAAGTGGGGAAAGTACACTGTATTCAACAAATGATGCTGGAATCATTGGCAAGCCACGTGTAGAAGAATGAAACTAGATCTTCACCTCTCACCTTATACAAAAATCAACTCAAGATGATCAAAGAGTTAAATCTAAGACCTGATACCATAAAAATTCTACAAGATAACATCAGAAAAACTCTTCTAGACATTGGCTTAGGCAAAGAGTTCATGACCAAGAACCCAAAAGCAAACAAAACAAAAACAAAGATAAATAGACAGGACCTAATTAAACTAAAAGTCTTCTGCACAGCAAAAGAAATAATCAGCACAGTAAACAGAGAACCCACAGAATAGGAGAAAATACTTGCAAACTGTACATCTGACAAAGGACTAACATCCAGAGTCTACAAGGGACTCAAACAAATCAGCAAGAAAAAAACAAATAATCCCATCAAAAAGTGAGCAAGGGGCATGAATAGACAATTCTCAAAAGAAGATATGTAAATGACCAACAAGCATATGGAAGAATGCTCAACACCACTAATGATCAGAGAAATGCAAATCAAAACCACAATGAGATACTACCTTACTCCTGCAATAATGGCCATAATTTTAAAAATAAAAAATTAACAGTACACGAAACCATCTTTTCCTCCTAGGCCTCTGGTCATGTGATCGAAGGGGCTGCTGTGAAGATCTCTGACATGCCCTGGAGATGTTTTCCCCACTGTCTTGGGGATTAACATTTGGCTCCTCATTACTTACGCAAATTTCTGCAGGCGGCTTGAATTTCTCATCAGAAAATGGAATTTTCTTTTTTATTACATTATCAGGCTACTCATTTTCTGAACTTTTATGCTGTTTCCCTTTTAAAACTGAATGCCTTTAACAGCACCCAAGTCACCTCTTGAATGCTTTGCTGCTTAGAAATTTCTTCTGCCAGATACCCTAAATCATCTCTCTCAAGTTCAAAGTTCCACAAATCTCTAGGGCAGGGGCAAAATGCCGCCAGTGTCTCTGCTAAAACATAACAAGAGTCACTTTTGCTTCAGTTCCCAATAAGTTCCTCATCTCCATCTGAGACCACCTCAACCTGGATTTCATTGTCCATATCACTGTCAACATTTTGGATAAAGCCATTCAATAAGTCTCTAGGAAGTTTCAAACTTTCCCACATTTTCCTGTCTCCTTCTGAGCCCTCCAAACTGTTCCAACCCCTGCCTGTTACGCAGTTCCAAAGTCACTTCCACATTTTCAGGTATCTCTTCAGCAGAGCCCTACTCTACTGGTACCAATTTACTGTATTAGTCCATTTTCAAGCTACTGATAAAGACATACCTGAGACTGGGCAATTTACAAAAGAAACAGGTCTAATGGACTTACAGTTCCACATGGCTGGGGAGGCCTCCCAATCATGGAGGAAGGCGAGGAGAAGCAAGTCACATCTTACATAAATGGCAGCAGGCAAAGAAAATAAGCTTGTGTAGGGAACCACCCCCCCCCGCCTTATAAAACCATCAAGTCTCATGAGACTTATTCACTATCACGAGAAGAGCATGGGAAAGACCTGCCCCCATGATTCAGTTACCTCCCACCAGGTCCCTCCCGCAACACATGGGAATTCAAGATGAGATTTGGGTGGGGACGTAGCCAAACCATATCAGGTGATATTGGCTTCATAGAATGATTTAGGGAGGATTCCCTCTTTGTCTGTCTTTTGGAATAGTTTCCAAAGATTGGTACCAACTCTTCTTTGATTGTCTGATAGAATTCAGCTATGAATCTATCTGGTCCTGGACTTTTTTTTTGTTATTGGCAATTTTTAAATCAGTGTTTCAATCTTGCTATTGTTATTGGTCTGTTCAAAGTTTCTATTTCTTCCTCAATTAATCCAGGAGGGTTGTATATTTCCAGGAATTTATCCATATCCTCTAGATGTTCTAGTTTGTGTGCATAGAAGTGTTCATTGGAGTCTCAAATGATCTTTTGTATTTCTGTGGTATTGGTTATAATATCTCCTGTTTGTTTTTGGATCTTCTCCCTTTTTTTCTTGGTTAATGTTGCTAATGGTCTATCAATTTTGTTTATCTTTTCAAAGAACCAGCTTTTTGTTCCAGTTATCTTGTGTATTTTTTTTGTTTCAATTTCATTTAGTTCTGCTGTGATCTTGGTTATCGCTTTTCTTCTGCTGGGTTTGGGCTTGGTTTGTTCTTGTTTCTCAGCTCCTTGAGGTGTGACCTTAGATTGTCTATTTTTGCTGTTTCAGACTTTTTGATGTAGGCATTTAATGCTATGAACTTTCCTCTTAGCACCACCTTTGCTGTAGCCCAGAGGTTTTGATAGGTTATGTCACTATTACTGTTCAGTTTAAAGAATGTTTAAATTTCCATCTTGATTTCATTGTTGACCCAAGGATCATTCTGGAGCAGATTTTTTAATTTCTTTCTTTCTTTCTTTCTTTTTGAGGCGGAGTTTCGCTCTTGTTGCCCAGGCTGGAATGCAATGGCGTGATCTCGGCTCACCGCAACCTCTGCCTCCCAGGTTCAAGTGATTCTCCTACCTCAGCCTCCTGACTAGCTGGGATTACAGGCATGCACCACCACGCCTGGCTAATTTTGTATTTTTAGTAGAGACAGGGTTTCTCTATGTTGGCCAGGCTGGTCTTGAACTCCTGACCATAGGTGATCCGCCTGCCTCAGCCTCCCAAAGTGCTGGGATTACAGGCGTGAGCCACTGTGCCCAGCAGATTATTTAATTTCTATGTATTTGTATAGTTTTGAGGGTTCCTTTTGGAGTTTATTTCCAGTTTTAGTCTACTGTGGTCTGAGAGGGTACTTGATATAATTTCAACTTTCTTAAATTTATTGAGTCTTGTTTTGTGGCCTAACATGTGGTCTCTCTTGAAGAATGTTCCATGTGCCGGATGAAAAGAATGTTTATTCTGCAGTTGTTGGGTATAATGTTCTTTAAATATCTGTTAAGTGCATTTGTTTTAGGGTATAGTTTAAGCCCATTGTTTCTATGTTGCCTTTCTGTCTTGATGCCCTGTCTAGTGCTGTCAGTGAAGTATTGAAGTCTCCACTATTACTATATTGCTGTCTATCTCATTTCTTAGGTGTAGTAATAATTGTCTTATAAATTTGAGACTCCAGTGTTAGGCGCATATATATTTAGGATTGTGATATTTTCCTTTTGTACTTATTTTATCATTGTAAAATTACCTCTTTGTCTTTTTAACTGTTGTTGCTTTAAAGTCTGTTTTGTCTAATGTAAGAATAGGGACTCCTGCTCACTTTTGGTTTGTGTTTGCATTGAATATCTTTTTCCACCGCTTTACCTTAAGTTTATGTGAGTCCTTATGTGTTAAGTGAGTCTCTGGAAGACAGTAGATACTCGGTCAGTAGATTTTTATCTATTCTGCCATTCTGCATCTTTTCAGCGGAGCATTTAGGCCATTTACATTCAACATTAGTATTGACATGTGAGGTAC
Organism: Homo sapiens; assembly: GCF_000001405.40. Classification (NCBI taxonomy): domain Eukaryota; kingdom Metazoa; phylum Chordata; class Mammalia; order Primates; family Hominidae; genus Homo; species Homo sapiens. The sequence continues at coordinate 53,314,740 of NC_000014.9, forward strand.
TGTTTTACTCCCCATGCTAGTTGTTACCTGAATACCTTTTGTGTGTTTTTTTTTCATTGTGCTGTTGTTTTATAGACCCTGTGAGATTTATGCTTTAAGGAGGTTCTATTTTGGTGTACTTAGAGGTTTTGTTTCAAGATTTAGAATTCCTTGTGGCATTTCTTGTAGTGCTGCTTGGTAGTGGCGAATTCTCTCTGCATTTTTTTTTTGTCTGAAAAAGACTGTATCTTTCCTCCATTTATGAAGCTTAGTTTTGCTGGATACAAAATTATTGACTGGCAATTACTTTTTTTGAGGAGGCTAAAGATAGAACCCCAATACCTTCTGGCTTTCAGGGTTCTGCTGAGAAATTTGCTGTTATTCTGATATGTTTTCTTTTATAGGTTATCTGATGCTTTTGCCTCACAGCTGTTAAGATTCTTTCCTTCGTCTTGACTTTAGATAACCCGATGACTGTGTACCTAGGTGATGATCTTTTTGTGATGAATTTCCCAGGTTTTCTTTGAGCTTCCTATATTTGGATGTCTAGATCTCTAGTGAGGCCAGGGAAGCTTTCCTTGATTATTCCCTCAGATAAGTTTTCCAGACTTAGATTTCTTTTTTTCAGGAACACCAGTTATTCTTAGGTTTAGCCATTTAACATAATCCCAAATTTTATAGAGGCTTTGTTCATTTCTTAATATTCTTTTTTCTTTATCTTTGTCTGATTGGATGAATTCAAAAGCCTTGTCTATGAGTTCTGAAGTTCTTTCTCTACTTGTTCTAGTCTATTATTGACACTTTTCAGTGCACTTTTGTATTTTTCTGAGTATGTCTTTCATTTCCAGAATTTGTGATTGTTTTCTCTCTATGATATCTATTTCTCTGGAGAATTTTTCATCCATATCCTTTATTTATTTATTTTTTAAATTTCTTTAAGCAGGTTTTCACCTTTCTCTGGTATCTCCTTGAACAGCTTGATAATCAACCATCAGAATTCTTTATCTGGCAATTCAGAGATGTCTTCTTGGTTTGGATCCATTGCTGGGGAGGTAATGTGGTCTTTGGGGGGTGTTGTAGAACCTTGTTTTGTCATATTACCAGAATTACTTTTCTGATTCCTTTTCATTTGGGTAGACTATGTCAGAGGGAAGATCTGTGACTCAAGGGCTGTTGTTCAGATTTTTTTGTTCCAAGGGGTGATCCCTTGATGTGGTGGTGTCCTACTTCCCCTAGGGATGGGGCTTCCTGAGAGCCAGACTGCAGTAATTGCTGTTGCTCTTCTGGGTCTAGTCACCCAGTGGGGCTACTAGGCTGCAGGCTGCTGCTGGGCAATGTCTGCAGAGTCCTATGATGTGATCCGTCTTCTGGTCTCCCAGACATAGATACCAAGACTTGCTCTAGTGGAGGTGGCTGTAATGTCCTGAGTTGGTTGGCCTTCAGCCAGGAGGTGGTGCTTTCAAGAGAGCACCAGCTGTAATAGTAGAAGAGAGACATAAGCTCACCCTAAGTTGGCCAGGATTAGTATTTGGGTTATGGGCAGGGCCATAAAGTTCCCAAGAGTTTATGTTTTTTGTGATCAGCTACCAGGGTGGATAGAGAAATACCATCAGGTGAGGGAAGGGTTAGGTGAGTCTGAGCTCAGACTCTTCTTGGTTAGGGCTTACCATGGCCACTGTGGGGGTTGGGGACTGGTTCTCAGGGGTTATGTTCCAGAGGGGATTATGGCTGTCTCTTTTGCCAGGGATATGGGGGAAAGCTGGTAGCAACAGGCCTCCTCCAACTCCCATGCAGTCAGTGAGGCCAGTCTTGCTCCTGCAGTGCCCAAGTAACAGTTTATCTCTGGGCAGCCTGCATTCTGGGCTCAGACCTTGCCCCAGGCACAAACTTCTTCGCTGACAAAGCAAGCACAGCTTTCAGGCCTTGCTCCTCCTCGTCAGCCCACATTGTTGGCCACAGCTCCATTGTTCCTCTGTGCAGCAGTTCCCATTTGCTCCTTGGATTCTGCTCAAGAGAGTTCATGCCCAGTTGAAATTATTACAAAGTTCAGTTGGAAGCTTGTTTCACCCTGTGACCCCTCCCAAATTCCACTGGCTGCCTTCCCTGACGGCCCCTGTGAGATAGAGCCAGGGATGGCTTCCCTGGGCTCGAGCTGGAGACTGGAGTGCCTATAAGACTCTTCCCGCTGCTGCTTCTACTTTTATATTTCACACTAAATCCATTTCAGCTCCAGGTAAGGTTAAATCCTTCTCCCGTAATCTGGATTTTCAGGTTCCCCAGTGGGGGTGTGTGTTCAGAGGCAGATTTTTCCCTTCTCACACTTTGGAAACTCACAGTTTTTCATCTGTCTTGTGGAATTTTCAGTGGTGTGCTGCTTCTTTCAAAGGATGTGTGAACTCTTTCGGTTTTCCTGGTACGTTCCTGTGGTGGTTCTTGGAGCAAAAGTCCATGGTGTGAGTCTCTTCATGCCGTTCTGTCCATCCAAATGGGAGCTACATGTTAGCCCTTTCTCCTATCCTCTATCTTCTTGAAAATCCCCCTCTTGTATAGGTCTTAAATTGGAAATTGTACCTCTGTCTCAAGCTCTTTATCTCTATATCTCTTGACACACACACTGTCACACACACAAGTATTTGACACATCTGCCAGGTGTTTATTAGCACTTTATGTACATTCAGTCCTCAGATTGACTCTAGGAGATGATATGAAGGATTTGAGGATTGTGGTTGCCTCCCTAGTATCCATTCTGCCCCTCTCCTATTGCAGTTTGTTCTAATTCCCAGATCCCATTTCTCTTGCCAACAGGTGAACAAAGATGACCCAATTAAAGGGAGGTCCAGGATTTTTGTTAGATGGTTAGGGAAGACACTCCTGTTTATTGAATATGAATGGGGAAATATGAAAGTCCAGAAGCTTCTGGCAGCCACCTTTTCCATCACAGTACAGCCAGCCTTGGGGTGTGTGGATGTTCCCAAGAGCAGAGCAGACAATGGAAAGAGGCTGGGTATTTAGTGAGATTGCTGAGCCACTGAAGATTTCCCTACTATTGGGCTTTTCAGTTTTATGAGACATTAAATTCCCTTATTCATTTGGGTCTTGCGTTCTATTACCAAAGGCATATTAACTGAAACATGTAAACATTTTCTGCATTTTACTGGTGAAACCAAATCTCAGAAAGCCTGGGAATGGCTAGATACACTGATCCTTTAGAAAATGTCCAAGGCACAGTTAGGACCAAACGGGGATTGGAACCCAGGATATCTGACTCTAACCTCCATGCATGTAACAGCTACATTATTTTTTCTCTTCAAGAAAACTACTGGAGGGTGGTTCCAAGATGGCCAAATAGGAACAGCTCCAGTCTACAGCTCCCAGCATGAGTGATGCAGAAGACGAATGATTTCTGCATTTCCAACTCAGGTACTGGGTTCATCTTATTGGGGATTGTCAGACAGTGGGTGCAGGACAGTGGGTGCAGCGCACCGAGCGTGAGCCGAAGTAGGGCAAGGCATCACCTCACCCAGGAAGCGCAAGGGGTCAGGGAATTCCCTTTCCTAGCCAAGGAAAGGGGTGACAGATGGCACCTGGAAAATCGGGTCACTCCCACCCTAATACTGCGCTTTTCTGATGGTCATAGCAAATGGCACACCAGGAGATTATATCCCGTGCCTGGCTCGGAGGGTCCTACGCCCACGGACCCTTGCTCATTGCTAGCACAGCAGTCTGAGATCAAATTGAAAGGCAGCAGCCAGGCTGGGGGAGGGGCATCTGCCATTGCTGAGGCGTGAGTAGGTAAACAAACCTGCCGGGAAGCTCAAACTGGGTGGAGCCCACCGCATCTCAAGGAGGCCTGCCTGCCTCTGTAGACTCCACCTCTGGGGGCAGGGCATAGCCAAACAAAAGGCAGCAGAAACCTCTGCAGACTTAAATGTCCCTGCCTGACAGCTTGGAAGACAGCAGTGGTTCTCCCAGCATGCAGCTGGAGATCTGAGAATGGACAGAGTGCCTCCTCAAGTGGGTCCCTGACCCCTGGGTAGCCTAACTGGGAGGCATCCCCCAGTAGGGGCAGACTGACACCTCACACGGCCGGGTACTCCTCTGAGACAAAACTTCCAGAGGAACGATCAGGCAGCAGCATTTGCTGTTCACCAATATTCGCTGTTCTGCAGCCTCAACTGCTGATATCCAGGCAAACAGGGTCTGGAGTGGACCTCCGGCAAACTCCAACAGACCTGCAGCTGAGGGTCCTGTCTGTTAGAAGGAAAACTAACAAACAGAAAGGACATCCACCCCAAAAACCCATCTGTACGTCACCATCATCGAAGAACAAAGGTAGATAAAACCACAAAGATGGGAAAAAAACAGAGCAGAAAAACTGGAAACTCTAAAAATCAGAGCGCCTCTCCTCCTCCAAAGGAATGCAACTCTTCACCAGCAACGGAACAAAGCTGGACGGAGAATGACTTTGACGAGTTGAGAAAAGAAGGCTTCAGATGATCAAACTACTCCGAGCTACAGGAGGAAATTCGAACCAATGGCAAAGAAGTTAAAAGCTTTGAAAAAAAATTAGACAAATGGATAACTAGAATAACCAATGCAGAGAAGTCCTTAAATGACCTGATGGAGCTGAAAACCAAGGCACGAGAGCTATTTGACAAATGCAGAAGCCTCAGTAGCCAATTCGATCAACTGGAAGAAAGGTTATCAGTGATGGAAGACGAAATGAATGAAGTGAAGTGAGAAGAGAAGTTTAGAGAAAAAAGAATAAAAAGAAACGAGCAAAGCCTCCAAGAAATATGGGACTATGTGAAAAGACCAAATCTACATTTGATTAGTGTACCTGAAAGTGACTGGGAGAATGGAACCAGGTTGGAAAACACTCTGAAGGATATTATCCAGGAGAACTTCCCCAATCTAGCAAGGCAGGCCAACATTCAAATTCAGGAAATACAGAGAATGCCACAAAGAAGCTCCTCGAGAAGAGCAACTCCAAGACACATAATTGTCAGATTCACCAAAGTTGAAATGAAGGAAAAAATGTTAAGGGCAGCCAGAGAGAAAGGTCGGGTTACCCACAAAGGGAAGCCCATCAGACTAACAGCTGATCTCTCAGCAGAAACTCTACAAGCCAGAAGAGAGTGGGGACCAATATTCAACATTCTTAAAGAAAAGAATTTTCAACCCAGAATTTCATATCCAGCCAAACTAAGCTTCATAAGTGAAGGAGAAATAAAATCCTTTACAGACAAGCAAATGCTGAGAGATTTTGTCACCACCAGGCCTACCCTAAAAGAGCTCATGAAGGAAGCACTAAACATGGAAAGGAATAACCGGTACCAGCCACTGCAAAAACATGCCAAATTGTAAAGACCATCGAGGCTAGGAAGAGACTGCATCAACTAATGAGCAAAATAACCAGCTAACATCATAATGACAGGATCAAATTCACACATAATAACAATATTAACTTTAAATGTAAATGGGCTAAATGCTCCAATTAAAAGACACAGACTGGCAAATTGGATAAAGAGTCAAGACCCATCAGTGTGCTGTATTCAGGAGACCCATCTCACGTGCACAGACACACATAGGCTCAAAATAAAAGGATGGAGGAAGATCTACCAAGCAAATGGAAAACAAAAAAAGGCAGGGGTTGCAATCCTAGACTCTGATAAAACAGACTTTAAACCAACAAAGATCAAAAGAGACAAAGAAGGCCATTACATAATGGTAAAGGGATCAATTCAACAAGAAGAGCTAACTATCCTAAATATATATGCACCCAATACAGGAGCACCCAGATTCATAAAGCAAGTCCTTAGTGACCTAAGGACTAAGGACCTAAGGATAATAAGTGATTATTATCACACAATAATAATGGGAGACTTTAACACCCCACTGTCAACATTAGACAGGTCAACGAGACAGAAAGTTAACAGGGATATCCAGGAATTGAACTCAGCTCTGCACCAAGCAGACCTAATAGACATCTACAGAACTCTCCACCCCAAATCAACAGAATATACATTCTTTTCAGCACCACACCACACCTACTCCAAAACTGACCACATAGTTGTAAGTAAAGCACTCCTCAGCAAATGTAAAAGAACAGAAATTATAGCAAACTGTCTCTCAGACCACAGTGCAATCAAACTAGAACTCAGGATTAAGAAACTCACTCAAAACCGCTCAACTACATGGTAACTGAACAACCTGCTCCTGAATGACTACTGGGTAAATAATGAAGTGAAGGCATAAATAAAGATATTCTTTGAAACCAACGAGAACAAAGACACAACATACCAGAATCTCTGGGACGCATTCAAAGCAGTGTGTAGAGGGAAATTTATAGCACTAAATCCCCACAAGAGAAAGCAGAAAAGATCTAAAATTGACACCCTAACATCACAAGTAAAAGAACTAGAACAGCAAGAGCAAACACATTCAAAAGCTAGCAGAAGGCAAGAAATAACTAAGATCAGAGCAGAACTGAAGGAAATAGAGACACAAAAAACCCTTAAAAAATTAATGAATCCAGGAGTTGGTTTTTTTGAAAAGATCAACAAAATTGATAGACCGCTAGCAAGACTAATAAAGAAGAAAAGAGAGAAGAATCAAATAGACGCAATGAAAAATGATGAAGGGGATATCACCACCGATCCCACAGAAATGCAAACTACCATCAGAGAATACTACAAACATCTCTACGCAAATAAACTAGAAAATCTAGAAGAAAGGGATAAATTCCTCGACACATACATCCTCCCAAGACTAAACCAGGAAGAAGTTGAATCTCTGAATAGACCAATAACAGGATCTGAAATTGAGGCAATAATCAATAGCTTACCAACCAAAAAAAGTCCAGGACCAGATGGATTCACAGGCGAATTCTACCAGAGGTACAAGGAGGAACTGGTACCATTCCTTCTGAAACTATTCCAATCAATAGAAAAACAGGGAATCCTCCCTAACTCATTTTATGAGGCCAGCATCATCCTGATACCAAAGCCTGGCAGAGACACAACAAAAAAAAAGAGAATTTTAGACCAATATCTTTGATGAACATCGATGCAAAAATCCTCAATAAAATACTGGCAAACCAAATCCAGCAGCACATCAAAAAGCTTATCCACCATGATCAAGTGGGCTTCACCCCTGGGGTGCAAGGCTGGTTCAACATATGCAAATCAATAAATGTAATCCAACATATAAACAGAACCAAAGACAAAAACCACATTATTATCTCAATAGATGCAGAAAAGGCCTTTGCCAAAATTCAGCAATGCTTCATGCTAAAAACTCTCAATAAACTAGGTATTGATGGGATGTATCTCAAAATAATCAGAGGTATCTATGACAAATCCACAGCCAATATGATACTGAATGGGCAAAAACTGGAAGCATTCCCTTTGAAAACTGGCAGAAGGCAGGGATGCCCTCTCTCACCACTCCTATTCAACATAGTGTTGGAAGTTCTGGCCAGGGCAATCAGGCAGGAGAAGGAAATAAAGGGTATTCAATTAGGAAAAGAGGAAGTCAAATTGTCCCTGTTTGCAGATGACATGATTGTATATCTAGAAAACCCCATCATCTCAGCCCAAAATCTCCTTAAGCCGATAAGCAACTTCAGCAAAGTCTCGGGATACAAAATCAATGTACAAAAATCAGAAGCATTCTTATACACCGATAACAAACAGAGAGCCAAATCATGAGTGAAGTCCCATTCACAATCACTACAAAGAGAATAAAATACCTAGGAATCCAACTTACAAGGGATGTGAAGGACCTCTTCAAGGAGAACTACAAACCACTGCTCAATGAAATAAAAGAGGATACAAACAAATGGAAGAACAGTCCATGCTCATGGGTAGAAAGAATCAATATTGTGAAAATGGCCATACTGCCCAAGGTAATTTATAGATTCCATGCCATCCCCATCAAGCTACCAATGACTTTCTTCACAGAATTGGAAAAAACTACTTTAAAGTTCATATGGCACCAAAAAGGAGCTCACATAGCCAAAACAATCCTAAGCAAAAAGAACAAAGCTGGAGGCATCACGCTACCTGACTTCAAACTATACTACAAGGCTACAGTAACCAAAACAGCATAGTACTGGTACCAAAACAGAGATATAGACCAATGGAACAGAACAGAGCCCTCAGTAATAATGCCACATATCTACAACTATCTGGTCTTTGACGAACGTGACAAAAACAAGCAATGGGGAAAGGATTCCCTATTTAATAATTGGTGCTGGGAAAACTGGCTAGCCATATGTAGAAAGCTGAAACTGGATCCCTTCCTTACACCTTATACGAAGATTAATTCAAGATGGATTAAAGACTTAAATGTTAGACCTAAAACCATAAAAACCCTAGAAGAAAACCTAGGCAATACCATTCAGGACATAGGCATGGGCAAGGACTTCATGTCTAAAACACCAAAAGCAGTGGCAACAAAAGCCAAAATTGACAAATGGGATCTAATTAAACTAAAGAGCTTCTGCACAGCAAAAGAAACTACCATCCGAGTGAACAGGCAACCTAGAGAATGGGAGAACGTTTTTGCAACCTACTCATCTGACAAAGGGCTAATATCCAGAATCTACAATGAACTCAAACAAATTTACAAGAAAAAAACAAACAACCCCATCAACAAGTGGGCGAAGGATATGAACAGACACTTCTCAAAAGAAGACATTTATGGAGCCAAAAGACACATGAAAAAATGCTTATCATCACTGGCCATCAGAGAAATGCAAATCAAAACCACAATGAGATACCATCTCACACCAGTTAGAATGGCAATCATTAAAAAGTCAGGAAACAACAGGTGCTGGAGAGGATGTGGAGAAATAGGAACACTTTTACACTGTTGGTGGGACTGTAAACTAGTTCAAACATTGGGAAGTCAGTGTGGCAATTCCTCAGGGATCTAGAACTAGAAATACCATTTGACCCCGCCATCCCTTTACTGGGTATATACCCAAAGGATTATAAATCATGCTGCTATAAAGACGCATGCATACACACGTATGTTTATAGCGGCACTATTCACAATAGCAAAGACTTGGATCCAACCCAAATGTCCAACAACGATAGACTGGATTAAGAAAACGTGGCACATATACACCATGGAATACTATGCAGCCATAAAAAGTGATGAGTTCATGTCTTTTTTAGGGACATGAGGATGAAGCTGGAAACCATCATTCTCAGCAAACTATCGCAAGGACAAAAAACCAAACACTGCATGTTCTCACTCAGAGGTGGGAATTGAACAATGAGAACCCATGGACACAGGAAGGGGAACATCACACACCAGGGCCTGTTGTCGGGTGGGGGGAGCGGGGAGGGATAGCTTTAGGAGATACACCTAATGTAAATGATGAGTTAATGGGTGCAGCACACCAACATGTCACATGTATACACATGTAACAAACCTGCACGTTGTGCACATGTACTGTAAAACTTAAAGTATATAAAAAAAAAAAACTATTGCACAGTTCACATGCCAGCCATTTAACATTGGTTTACTCTCTACTTGGGGATGACATCTAGAATCTTAAAAGCGAAGCTAGGCAATTGGAAAGAATGAGACTTGGGCTGCCTGGTTCAGGGGCTCTTGTTTCTTCCTGCCAAAACCTCTTCTCTCCTTTTCTGCTAATAACCCTCCCACTCTCCTGTCTTCCTGCACGGCCTCTCCTTGGCCATGTGTGGATTCCTAGCCCCAACCCCTCTGGAATCTGGAGTCTCCCTTTAGGTAGAGAATGAATGGAACAGTGATCTGCCTGAAGTATCTCAGAGGGGCACCCACACACTGCTGCAGGTGCAGCCGAGGCTGTTCATGTTCTTCCTGAAGCCTGATTGTTCATCTCTTCTTACAGTTCTGTGAACTCTTGCCACATCCCTCTCACAAATCCCCTTTGGCTTTAAGTTAGCCAGAGTTGGTTCCCGTTGCTTATAACAAAACATACTCAGCTTATATGTATGGCAATATTCAAGATATCATTCTCAAGGCCACTTAGGCATTTGACATTCGGATAATTGGTAGACTTAAGGATCGTGAGATTGTTTCCAGGCACCAAGAAGATGGTACCAGCTGGCAATTCAGTCTGTCTATCCTCAGGAGTTTCCATTTTAGTAACATTTGAAAGGATTCTTTTAACACGGATTGTGAAAACTTCGAATTTATTGAAAAGACAAAATTACAACGAATGAATTGTATTTTATACTTAATAGTCAATGTAGCTATACTATCACTAATGAGTGAATCATGTATTTTATACTTAATCAATGTAGATGAACTGTCATTAATTATAGTATTGGGAGTATGGTTATTTTTAACTTTTATTTTAGGTTCAGGCTACATGTGCAAGTTTGTTATATTGGTAAATTATGTGTCATGGGGCATTGGGTGTACAGATTATTTCATCACCCAGGTAATGAGCATAGTACCTGATAGGTAGTTTTTCAGTCCTCATCCTCCTTCCACCCTCCACCCTCAGGATGAAATTGTGCTGCCACCAGGTGAGGTATGTAGTGAGCAGGGATGAGCTCTAGGAGCCTATAGAGACTTCTGATTCACAGTGTTAGTTTCCTGTCTTTTTAAACCTGGTTTAATTTCCTGCTCTCATAGAGGATCTTTTTTCAGGAGGCTTGGTGGTCTTTACTGCCATCTAGCTTCAGTAAGGGGCACCCTAGTCTCAGAGAGATTTTAACAAATTTAAACCTCAGAGTAAAGGGATTGGGGTCCCTGTTTCTTTTATCTTTCAGAAAGCCCCTCTATTTCTACCTACATTATTGAGAGCAAACTGAAACTGAGGTAAAGCAGCTCTGTTAACTTCCCCAGGAGCATCTGCTCTATGTTGAATTAAAAAGTCCTGTTATACCAGTGCCTTGTAGCATTAAGTGAACAAACTATTCTTTACTGCAAACATTCTGATGATGTAGTTTCCTATGACACACATGCCTCATCTCACATAAAAGAGCTAAATCCTTTTATTTTAGAAGGTGAATAGATGATATCTAACCTGAAAACATTCAGAAATATTGATATAGGCATATTAGAAATATGAAGATAATAATAATAGCTCAAAGAGCTAAAAATGCTTGCTGCTGAAAAGTTATTTTTACATATCATGAGTTATTTTAGTTTTTAAACTTATAGCTTTGAGGAAAAATAACTTTAAAAAAAAACAGCATCTTTTCTTTGGATGAATGCAAAGTTTGCATTGGCTCCATGGAGTATGTATGTGGTTTCAGAGCCCTAAAATTTTTCAATCTCATGCTTCCATGTTTGTAGCTTTCCTTAAGTATATGATGGTTCATGGATCTTAGCTTTTATTCAAAAGCTTGATGATTGAAAAAAAAGAGGGCTGGATGTTAGTTCTGTGTGGTGTGGGCAAGCCTTGTTGGGAGGTAGCCTGACCTGTGGAGTAATTGAAATGGGCTTCCTCATTGAGGTCCTCGAAATGACAGTACCTATAGGCTTCTTTTCTTTAGGCTGGTCAGTTTTTTCAGAGAGGTTTTCTCTCCTCGGGATATGAGCGTAGCTGCTAGCATTCTGGGGACAAGTAATGAGGAAATGGGAGTTAGGGGTTTCACTATTCATCCTATAAACTTTGCTTGTTTTTTTATTTTCCATTCAGCATTTCTACCTTCAACTTAGCCTGCTGTCCCTGAATCCAGAGACCCTCTCTAGAGAATCTCTCATTTTTTCCTTGGGTGAATGAGAGATGGTTCCCTGACTGTAGGGGAGTGGTCTAACTGCCTGTGGCATATGGTCTTTTCTAAAATGGCCAGAACAATATTTCTCATTCTATATGCTGTGTGTTGTATGTTGGGTATTTGTGGGGGACAGATGACTTATGTCTATAGTTCACAGATCTTCAACTCCAGAGAACTGAGTTTAAGGAGCTGTACCTGGGAAATTGTGCCTGAAGCTGTTCCTGAGGAATCTGCACCTGGATCTAATGTACATGCTGAGATCCTGGATTTGAGCTGATGCCATAGTGGGATGAGACTTTGCCGTCTTGGGTGTGGGATGAATATATTTTGCACTGGGAAGGATGTGAAGTATTGTGGTTAAAAGGTGGACTGTAGTTCATTGCATTTTTCAACAATGGCCACAACAGCATCTCTTATCCTATGTGCTCTTCTTCCAATGTGACTGTGTCCTCTCTCATTAAGATGCGGAGTCTATTTCTCCACTCTCTCAAATCTGGTGGACCCTGGGACTTCTACCAACAGAGTACAGTGGAAATGATGCTGGGCCACTTCCCGGTTTGGTCTTTAACTAGTCTGGCAGCTTCTCCTTTCTGCTTCTTGGAAGCCAGTAAGAAGTACAACTATCCTGAGGCTTCTGCTGTGAGAAGCCCAAGCCATGGGAGAGGCTCTGGAGAATGAGACTTCACTGGGAGAGTGAAGAGAGGAGCGAAGAGAAAGAGAGAGGCACCAAGGATCACTGAGTTGCCAGAACATGAATGCTAAGGCCATATTGGAAATGGATTCTCCTGCTTCAGCTGCCCCAGCTGATGCCACCAGGATCAGAGATGATCTGGCCAGCTGAGCCCTTCCTTAATTCTAACCCATAAAATTGTGTGCGAAACAAAATGGTTGTTTTCAACCACTAAGTTTTGGGGTAGGTTTTATGCAGCAGCAGATAATGGAAATACTGCTTGGTTTTGACTTTCAAAAAAATCCATTTGTTTTCAGGCTTGTCTGCACTCCTTCTTTAAGAGGTGCTAAGAGACTGGACTTAGTTCTTTGTCCAGATAAATGTGTTTTTCCCACTGCTAGCTTAGGTTTTATTTTTTTCACGTCTGCTAAGTCAGTAGTCCATTTGCTTTTCAGCTTCCAAAACTTAATTATTCTAATTTTCCTTATTGTTCTCTTCCTTGTGGATTTATGCATTTTATTTGCTCCTTTCTGTAATTTTTGTGGTATTTGGCAAACAGTGAAGGTAAATATACACATTCAATCTGCCACATTTAACTGAATGTCCCCTATGCCTTTTATTGACTGCTTAGAATGGCAATGGTAATTTTGGCCTCTAGGCACAGAGAAATAAGAGTTTTTTTGTGAGTCACATTGGCCCAGAGCTCCTCCACTCCTCCACAAAAGGTGAGAACTTTGTAGGGCTGACTCAGAGATCAAGGCTGATTCTGATTCTGGCTGGAACATTCCTTGGGGGTGTGATTACTATGGGGACATAGTAGGCGCTACAGCTGGCTCTGGGAAGTAGACTCTGGGTTGCCAAAAATGGACATACACACACACACTCTCTCTCTCTCTCTTCTTCTCTTTCTGTCCCTCTCCCTCTCTCCATTATATGGTCACATTTGGGTAAGTTAATGAAGATTCTTGAAGAAGAAAGCAGTATGGTGAGGCTTTCTAGTGTCAAGGTCACTTGACATTCAATTGTGAGCTCACTAGAAGAGAGGGAGACATGACATATTAAATGTTACCATGGAAAAGAAAAAGTCACTCCCAATTAAAAGGATTGAAAAAGGAGAACCAAAGTAAAATAGGATTTTGTAGGTCAATGAAAAAGCCGAAAACAAAAGCTCTGTCACTTGGACTGTTCCAAGTTCTCAGGCAAGGATCTGAGAATTTCCCTGAAAATATGGTTTAGGGTTCTGAGAGGAAAAGGAATCAGGCTTTTGTTATTGAAATAAACAACCAAAGATCTGAAATGGGTCATTTACACATTTTTTTATACTTCAAAAAGGGAGACTGAAACTTCCATTGAATTTATGTAAAAGAGTCCTTCACATTGGCTGGTTGAATTGCCTCACAATAAAAAACAAATCTGCCAAACTGAAGACATTTGCAGCCCCCAGTGTTACTAATTTTTTCCCCAATTTCACCCTAGCCTCTTCAGCGTGAAGGTCACGTGGACCTAAGTACGAGCAATTTTAAACATAAGTGTTAGGTTTTGAAGGTGTTATTTCTCAAGGGAGAAAGAAAAGTAATAGATCGTAAGACAGAGCCTTAAAACAGAGTTTTAGGGAGTGAGTAGGAGAGATTTGTGACATCTCAGAGTTTGAGAGAGCCCTGTGGAAAGTGGCAGGACATTTTTGAGAAACCTTCTTTTTGGACAGGCTCTAAGTTTAACAAAAAATACATTCAATGACTCAGGCAAGTTCATTAAGAAAGACTTGGGTGTGAGGAGCAGCCCCGGGGAGCTGACCTGGGGCTGTGCATCCAAGAAATAAGAGAGCCCAGTTTAAGCAGGTTTTGATGAGTGGGAGATCCAGGGATCATTTCACGGAAAGAAAGAATTGGCTTCAAGCTACAAAGGAATTTTATAGACCCTAGACAATTCTCAAACTTGTAGGGAGTTCCAAGTTCTGTGGTGAGTAGAAACTTCTCTGGCAGTAAGATAAACAACTCAAAGAGGAAAAAAACTAATCAAGTCACTATAGCCAAACGTAACGGAAGCAGTGTGGAGTAGTGCTGGAGAACGTGGGCTTTATGGTTAGATAGTCTGGGATTTTAGCCTTTGTTTCTTCCTGGCTACTCAGGTGATTTTGGGCAACTAACTTATTCTTCTCTGAGCCTCAGCCTCCTAGTCTTTAAAAGTGGGATAATAAAATGTATTTCATAGGGTTATTTTGAGGATTCGGGGAGAGGCTATTTGTCCAGCACTTATCAGGGGCCTAGAACACAGTAAATGGTGGTTGCTACCACCAGCTACCACTGTCTTCATTGTAGCAGATCTAGATTGCTGTCCACACATGACGCATGCTTCTCTTCCATAGAGTACTGTTTCTGGGAAGTTGCTACTGAAATGGGGACTGCATTTCCCAATGACCTTTGCATTCAGGAGGGACCAGGTTACTGAGTTCTGGCCAATGGAATGCCAGTTGAAGTCATGTACATCACTTCTAGGCCTGGCCCATCAATGCTTCCTAGGTGACTGCCATCCTCATTCCCCCTCTGCTGGCTATATGTCAGTGGTTAGGGTGACCTTGGAAACCAGGTGCTGAAGTCAGCAGAGCCTTTGACAGTCTGGTTCCTGAGTAATTGCATGGAACAAAATTTCTGAGTTTATCTGTCATAGCAATTAGTGTTACCTTAATAACGCAAATAGCATCATCGTGGCTTAGGATTGCAGTAGCCTGGTTAAGTCTGAGCTCAAGAATAAACCCTGGAGAAATCAGCCAGGAGGAATATTACCTTACTAGGGACCAGAATGGCCCAGGAAGGGGCTGTGGCTCATATTGAAAGATAAACCGTAGTTGATCTGTGTACTTGTACATTACTCATTGTAATTAGTGTTTTGTCATGAAATTTCTCTATACTGTGTCCTAAACTGGTGACTGAATGTTTATCTGGTAGATCTATCACTATAGATAAGCCCCAGAAGAACTTAGTGAGGAAAAAAGAACATGACCTTTGTGGGAGAAAGCCCAATTTCCTTGAGTGTTTGAACATTTATTGCTAGTTACTAATGTCAGGGAGATTTTGATTTTTAGATCTCCCTTGGTTGACTTAAGGGCACTGCAAATCTTTCTACTCTGTTGGTTGACAGTTCAGATTTTCTTAAAAACTAAGCAACTTTTAAAAGGGTTGAGTGGGCAGATTCCATGTCTAGGATCTAGCTAGGTCAGATTACCTCAAGGAAAACTCAGTGACTGGATGTTCAAGCCATCCAAAGTTATGACTTGCTTTTTTTTCTTTTGTTATTCGTAACAGTTGTTCTCTCCTCATTATTTTCTGGAGGGAAAAAACAAAAAAACACTCAAAGTACAGGCCACTTCATAGAGCCAAGTGTCTAATTATCCTCTTGGGTAGTCTGATCTATGTAGCAGAACAAACTGAAGTTGTTCTCTAGGTGGGAGTGGGTGGCGTTTCCTAGCCTTCATTTGGGGATGGTGGCAAGGATGTGGGGAGTGAGTTGTAAGACCAGAAATGCCTGAAACTGTGCCAAAGAACTGCGGCATGGCTGGGAAGATTGGTATTGTTGGCAGACTCCATTGTTACTTCGTTTTCATCTTCTTATCACTCTACCTCATATCTTTTCCATCTTTCTGTTCTCTCTTTGGGTTTATGTGATACTAGTGTTAATGGCCAAGCCATAAAGCCAGGTGGGAAGAAAGCAATGGCTTGGGACTCATGACCATGGGCTCCCGCCGACAGGGTCAAAGCTTAGTCCATTAGAGTTGGGGGAGAGCATTCCAAGAGCAGTGGTCAGGGTCTTGGGAGATCTCAGAATCAGGAAGTGAGTCTGTGAAGCCCTGACTCAAGACTCCTGAGGCATGTACGTCAGAAAAGCCAACTCTTATCATTTGACCCAACCCGAAGGCAAGTGTCATTTTTACAGATGCCAGTCCTGCATCACAGTCTTAACCAGAACCTTCAACTGGGCTGGGAGGTGAGAGTCAGTGATTGTAGGTGCTTGGTAGAAAAAAAATTGTTTTAAACCCATTTCTCTCATTTATCATCTTTTCTCCAGGTCAGTATTAATGCAGATTTAGGTTTATAGACTCTGATCAAGGATGCTGAGGAAGGAAAACCTTTTTAGTCTTTTTAGAAAATAATTATAGTCAGCTCTTTTGACTTACATGACCAGGAAGAAAGTAAAAAGTATTGAGGTCTATTCAAGAGTTAATCAAAAGTGTAGTTCCCTCAAATGCTATGATGTGTCATGATTGAACAAGAAAATGATACTGTTTTGGATTTTTTCTAATGAGTCACATTGACACAGAGTGGGACTCATGATCTGGGAGGTCCAAGCAGTATGGGTAGCTTATTCTGTGTGTAAGGCAGAATTCTAAGATGACATCTGATGACTCACGTCTTGTATAATGCCCTCCCCTTGTGTGTGGGGAATACCTGTGGACATAATGGGATATCACCCATGTAATTAGGTTTCTAATCAGATGACTTTGAGTTAATCAAAAGTTTTCAGAGTTTATCTGTTATAGCATTTAGTGTTACCTTAGCAACACACATGGCATGATCGTGGCTCAGGATGGAAGAGGCCTGGTCAAGTCCAAGCTCAAGAATAAGCCCTAGAGAAAGCCAGAAAGAATCCCACCTTACCAATACCCAGGGGGGCAAAGGAGGGGCTGTCATCCACATTGGAAGACAAACTGTGGCTGATCTGTATACTTGTACATTACTGAGTGTGTTCAGTGTTTTGTCATGAAATTTCTTTACACGTTGCCCTAATCTGCTGCTTGGACATTTGTCTGGTGGATTTGTTACCACAGACAAACCCTAGCAGAAAGAATGAGGAGAAAGGCCATGACCTTTGCAGGAGAAAGCCCTGTTTCTTAATCTGTGTGGGTTCGACCTAATCAGGTGGACACTTAAAAACAGATAAAGCATCAGAGAGCTTTTCCTGATGGGCTGCAGGGGGAGGCATGTGAACTGCCTATGAAAGGTCTACAGGGTGAGGACTGAAAGGGCCTCCTAGAGGATTCAGCAACATCTGGGATCTGAGGGTGCCCTGGCCCATTGTCAGGGAACTCAGTGCCAACAGCCTGAATGAGCTTGAGAGAGACCTTCCTGCTCCACATGAGAATGCAGACCCAGTCACATTTTGAATCCAGCCTTGTGAAATCCTGAGCAGAGAACCTAGTTACACTGTGCCTAGATCCCTCACCCACCGAAACTATGAGATAATAAATGTGCATTGTTTTAAACCAATGAACTTGCGGTAATTTGCTACGTAGTGATAGAAAACTAATTCACTCTGTTTATTAGCATACTTTTTAAAGTCTGCAGAAGCAACATTTGATTTATACAGTGCTATAGGTCATTTCACTGTCAACATCATACTTTATGACATAATGAAAAGGATGATATCCTGTTTTTCTTTGAAGAACTCATCCAAGCTCTATGTTTCTCATTTAGTTACTCCCTACAAAAATAATGTGTGAATTTACTTTGAACTACTTTAGTATACATGCCTTTAGTTTTTCACTTTTGAATCACTGTAATGAAAACATTGCATTTAAGTTTTTAGTGTTTTAAAATTTTGAAATAATTTCAAACCTATTGAAAAGTTGCAAGAACTGCATAGAGAACTCCCAGATCCTCGATACCCAAGGTTCCTCACATTTTCTTTATCTACTTACCTATTTATTTTGTCTTGACAGGATGGCTCATAACTCTTAAACACTACAGTGTATACCTATTAAAAATAAGGATATTCTCCTTCTTAACCATTATACAACCCTCACAAATCCTGATTGCATCAACATTGATGCAATGTGGCTGTCTGAGGCACAGACACATCCAAAATTTACAAACTGTCCTAACAATGTGTCTTTTCATTTTCTGGTCCAGGACTTTATCCAGGAACACACATTGAATACAGTTGTCATGTCCCATCACTCTCCATCGATCTGGAATAGTTCTTCTGTCTTAAAGATGACAGGCCTTCACTATATATGCAGCATGTCCCTCAACCTGAGTCTGTTTGCTGTTTCCACATGACCAGACTCAGGTCATGCATTCTTAGCAGGAGTACCACAGAAATGATTCTGTGCTCATCTGGAGAAGTCAGCATTTTCCCTCTGCATTTGATGAATATTTTGTGGCAGAATTGCCCAATATTATAAATAATATACTGTCTCTATGCAAATCTGTGTCCAGCTTCCATTGGTGACTCCTGTCTATATCAACTACCAAATGGTGCCAGATGGAGATTATCTATTCCCATCATTTGATCTACATTGATTAATTGGCATTATACTGTAAATAAATGGTTTCCTTTCTACCTCATTTCTTTATTTACTCATTTATTTCTATCAGTGCAATGTTATGGTTTTCTATTTTGCTTCATGAATTATAATTAGACATGCTAATTTATTTTGATGCACAAATTGTCCTAGATTTGGCCAGTGTGAACTCCCTAAACCTGGCTTCTGTGTCCCTTTGACAGGTCCCTATCATTCCTTAAGCATTTCCTACTTCCTAGCATAACAACACATTCTAGGCTTACCTTATACTTTCCCTGCCCCGAGCCTGTAAGCAGCCATTTCTCCAGAAGTCCTTGTTCCTAGCAGTGGAAGATGGTATTTAAAAACATAGGTCTGGATGGGATGCTAGATGTGCTTATTACTATTGGGGTGTTACTGCTCCTAGACACTCTCAGTGGATAGGACAAGCTCTCTGTGTAGACATACATACACATACATACAAATATATACTCACACACAAACATATATTCTATTAGAGTTGAACAGAGAAGCTGAAGCAGTATATTACACACACACACACACACACACACACACACACACAGGGAATTGGCTTATGCAATTGTTGGGAACTGGACACCTGTGGGCACAAACTGAAGCCTTTTGTCCACACAGAGAGCCGTCAGGAAGGAAGATCGGGGGAAAGGGAGAGGAATTGCAGAACAATGCTGTTTGATCAGGGTAGGCTTAGGCCCTCTTTTTTTTTTTTTAAATTAAGAGACATTATTTTTTAGAGCAGTTTTAGGTTCACAGCAAAACTGAGAGGAAAGTACTGTGATTCCCATATGTCTCCATCTCCATATATGCACAAACTTTCTCGCTATTGACATCCTGCACCAGAGTGCTACATTTGTTGCAGTTGATAAATGTACATTGACACATCTTTGTCACCCAAATACCATAGTTTATATTAGGGTTCAATCTTGGTGTTGTACATTCTATGGGTTTGCGCAAATGTATAATGACACATATCCATCATTGTAGTATCATACAGAACAGTTTCACTGTCTTAAAATCCTCTGTGTTCTATTTATGCCTCTCTCCCTCTCAATCCTGGGCAACCACTGATCCTTTCAGTGTCTCCATAGTTTTCCCTTTTTCAGAATGTCATACAGTCGTAATCATAGACTATGTAGCCTTTTCAGATGGGTTTCTTTCACTTAGTGATATACTAAGCCTGCTTTTAGACACCTTTCAGCTGGTTAAGTCAGGCCCAACAAGTAGAATCTCCCATTTGACTAAAGCCGACTGATTAAGGACTTTAATCACGTCTGCAAAATTCCTTCACAGCAGCACTTAGCACTTAGATTAGTGTTTGAATAACTGGGAAAAGGTATGTATATGCTTCAACACGACTCTGCTTCCTTTCTGTCCTTCAGTTCTCACGAGAGAATAGCCCTTGTAGCCCACCCTAATCAGAAACATAGTAGAAAGGGACTTCTGGGGACTGTAGTTTAGCTTAGCCAAACTGATCCATCAGAAAAAGCCATCCCTCACACACATCTATGACAGTTTCTCCATCTATCAATCTGTTATTGTATCTACCTATCAATAAAAATTCGTGAGTATCTGTTTGTCTACCCATCTATAAAAATTCATGAGTTCACACCTATAATTTCAATCTTACACTCCAGGGTTCATTTTAGCCTTTACCTTTTTCACATTTCAAAATTCTTCCTCAGACAGTAAGAAACCTGGTTCATAATACCCTCAATATATTCATTTATTTGATCAATGAATTACCTAATCTGCTTAGTGTTACCCGTCTCCACATACTTCATTCTCCTCCTTCTGCCCTCTCTTGCTCACTGTTTTGCTCCCTGGCTCCTGGGTAAGCTGCTGCACTCCTCACTGCCTCTTCCTTGGATGCTGACATATTTGCATTCTTTCTTCAATGAAAGAAAGAATTGGAAGAAAGGATGGGAAGAGAAGAAAGGGTGTTGGTTTTTACAATATTTTAAAGAGTTTTTCTTTTTCACTTTATTTGTGTTCAATCTTACCCCTGTTCAACCAAAGGCATCCATTACCTTGGGGAAAATTCAGATCGCTGAAGCAGTAATGGAAAGAGGAAAAACAAGTCCGTATTCAACCATTGACTTCCAATATAAGAAGGTTTGCATTCACAGCAGTACCACACATCTTTAAATCTTGGTTTGATCAAGACAGCCAAGTGTTTTTTAAAAATTCCAGATACCCCCTTAAAATATTAAGGGCCCAGCTTGGTGGACTATGTGTCAAAGTGTAGAGGAGACAGTTGATATCATGTAAGAGATGTGTCTACCAAGCAGGAAGAAGTGGAAAGCTTTCTTCTATAGGAGGAAGGAGGAGAAGAAACAGGATCAAGAATGGGGTGAAGATGTTGCCTTATATCTAGGCCTGTGTGTGTAGGGGCCAGGTGGTGTTGGAAAGAAAGCAGATACATCAGATAGTTGAGGGGATAGCTAGAAGCAGAGGCTACCCATCCCCTGATTCCCATTGATAACTATGAGGAGACTGCATTCAGGGTTCTCCTTGCATCTTCATATGGAAGTGCAGTAGGGTGGTAACGGCAGCGTGAAATGCTCAGGCAGAAAGAGGCCTGAGATGGAGCCCCTTGTTCTCTAATGCTTATGCATGTCACCTAAGGAATGCAGATGCTCTCACTGTGTCCTGGCCTCCTCCATGATGCATGTGGGAAGTGGCTGAAAGTGCTTGCTGGTAACCTTGCCAACCAGATGACTGACACAAAGAAAGAAGGGACTTCATAAGTGGTCTTCCCAGGGTGGGGACTGAGTGGGAGTGGCAGCCATAACTCAGAGGGGCCATGGCACCAGGGAGAGCTGAGAGGGGGCCTATGAGCCCCCTAGAAGCAATTGCCATTCATTGCCCACCCATGCTGAGAGTACAGGCCTCCTATCATGGCAGCTGAGGTGACCTGCACAGTGACAAGAGTGTCGACAGAGACCAAGGCCCAGAAATATTCTGGCTAAGAAACCTTGAGCAGAGAACAACCTGTATATCGGGGTTCTTTTATCCATTATGTGAGGATATTTAAGCTTAGCTCTGCACCAAGATATCATCTTCATGTGGTTGGGACAAGGAGAGGGCAGTCCTCCTAAGGCATGAAGAATCCACTCTGTTAGGAGTTTAGGCTTTGAAAAGCTATTGAACCATGAGATTCAGTTGACCAGAGATTCTTTTAAGTGAGAGATTAAGTTATCATTAATGGGTGATTTGAAAATCTTTCTTTGCCATCTCCTTTCCTCCACCACCACCACTACTCCATCTCCCTTCCCAAGGAATCAGGGAATGAAATTGCAGAAAACAGCTTGAGACTGATAACAGAAAATAAAAGTACATTTTAATCATAGTGTATACATTTGGACCCCAACACATTGCTAAACAGCCCCATATTCTAGGCCCTGCCTTGGGTTCGTGAGTGCCATATGGACGCCATGTTGTTCTGTGGAGGCACCAGTTAGAATTCTTTTGGCCAGGTTTTAGTCGATTCAGCAAATTGCTTAGGAGAGAATGATCCATTGTCAAAGAGATCATTCTTTCAGGGAATGCATGTCTGGCAAACATAGCCCTCAATTTGCAGATTGTTGTGGTACCTGTGGTAATGAGGATTCTGTATCTTTTTCCAATTTAAGAAAATTTCTTGCAGTTCTCTGTGACAATGATGTGTAGTTCTTGACATCCAAATGAGCTGATATAATTCTAACAGTATGCGGCGTATTCCTATGGTGCTGGTGGGTGTTTTGTTTTATATTGCCTTACAGTTTTCGAGGTGAATTTGACATCTTAAGATGACTAAAATATCAGTTTTACATACCAGGGAACTTTTCCTAATATGGATGACTATCTTGGTTACATTTCTGCTTGTTCTTACAATGGCAGTTTCCATGTGCAACATCTGAAACCGTCTGTCCAGGGACTGGGACTTCCTTGGATCCTGTAGCTTCTGTTCGTGTCCTGTGGTGATTTCTAAAGAATGCTATCCTTACCATGAGTGTCTAGACAAACTCTATGGACATTTCCTTATTATTTTCAAGGTCACAGAGAGAAGGAATTTTGTCACAAATGACCCAGAAAGTCCCTAGCACATTGGGAATGCCTAACTATAGTAAAAAGCAATGAGAGAGGTGAATAGGCCCTGAAATGAAGAAAACTCAGTTCTCCTGCCCCATCAAATCAGCAGTCCAAATCTAAATGGAAGATGTAAAACAAATTGAAGGGAAAAATTGTTCTGGATTGACATCTTAGGGATTTGTTCTTGAATTAACCAATAAAATAATATAGGTTTAATCTCTTAAGAAAGTAGGCACTGTTGTTGGGAGAGGTCTTAGTAGATGAATCACCTGAAACTTAAATTCCACTTCTGAGAATAAATAAAAGTGGTAAATAAGTTAACTTCCTGTTATGTTTGTTTCTTGGCAACTCTGAGCCCCCTTACCAATCTAGTTTCACTGAATATGAGCTATTATCCCCCTTTGATATTTTCCTTAAAGGTTTTAATTTTAATGGTTGAATCATCTTGAATGAAAGAAATAGTGGATAAAGAAATACGGTAAAGGCTTTAAGAGGGAGGGGACAAAATGTAGTTTTCCTGGATGTTGTTGTTCAGAGTGTTTGTGAAGAAATGATAAACACCATGGCAACAAGAAAAATAATGATTTGTACCCCAAAGGCTGTTCCATGTAGTCATGTACTAAGACATAAAAGGAAAAAAAATCAACCAAATTTTCCCTTGGAAAAGCTTATGAGGCAGAGGGAATAAGTTAAGAATTTATTATATAGCCCACTAGAAAAATACAGAATATATGAACATTTCTAAATTTTACTATCTGCCAGCAAAACCCATAGCACTGTTGTACAGAGGGAAGAGTAGAGCGTAGGGCTTCTGTGTGTCTCTGACCATGTCAGTGAAGAAGGGATGGGGTGTGCGATCTAGATCACAGCTGGGAGGGTCATGCCAAGTCGGGAAGAGTGAGTCACTCCACAGGAGGGTTAGGCATTTGAAACAATGTGGTCTCAGAGGGTTATGGTTCCATCGGCTCCTACTCTTCACTCTCCTATAGCCTCTTTCACTTCATATTTTCACCTGGGACTACAGGACATATAATAACTACTTGATATTGAGCGTTTATTACCCACCTGACACCATTCCCAGTGTTTTATGTGTTTTTCTTAAATAAGACATGAAGTTATTAGGATGTAGACATGTTGAATAGTAATTAATGACAAACTTTGAATTTACACAGGGTCTTTTCTCCATGGATTAGCACAGGAAGACAGTGAAATGAGCAGTGAGATTCAACTTGAGATCTCAAATTGTTCGGGTTCAAGGTTATCTTATTTGGGAGAGTTGAACTCTAGGACTACTACTTATTTGTTTAGAAAAGCTATCTGACAGACGGCAAATAAATGAAACATCTGAATACATGACCGTAACTTCTATTCAGAGGGTGAGGCAGGGATGGGTAGCTGTCCACAGGTGCTAGGAGTGGCTTCTCAGCCTGGGGCCAGCTACATTTCCTAGACCCCTCTTGCACTGGAGTGGGGCCATATGTCCAATGAGTGGAACATGAATGGAAGTAACATGTCACTTTTGAGTTAATGTGGTAAAAAGCCTTTGTGCCTACTCCCTCCTACTTCACACACAGTCATGCACACTGAATAGGAACATCTGTTTTGTTTCATACATAAAATAAGCTCACATAGGTTGGGCACGGTGGCTCATGCCTGTAATCCCAGCACTTTGGGAGGCTGAGGTGGGCAGATCACCTGAGGTCAGGAGTTTGAAACCAGCCTGGCCAACATGGTGAAACCCCGTCTCTGCTAAAAATACAAAAATTAGCCAAGTGTGGTGGTACATGCCTGTAATCGCAGGTACTTGGGAGGCTGAGGCATAAGAATTGCTTGAACCAGGGAGGTGGAGATTGCAGTGAGTCAAGATAATGCCACTGCATTCTAGCCTGGGTGACAGAGTGAGACTATGTCTCAAAAAAAAAAAAAAAAAAAAAGAAGTTCACATAAAGAAAACATACGAAGTCACTGAGATTTCTGGGTTTACCTCTTACAGCAGCTAGAACTACCCTCACTAATAAGGAAAATTACCTTGAGCCATTAAAATTATAAAGGTTTATTTTGGTTTCCTTTCCAACAGAAAATTTGGTTGTGAAAGACACAAGTTAGAAAGAGCTCTTTTTCAGATGGATATAAGGCACATTTTAGAAATTTCAGCAAAAGTAAACTAATTTTTTTTCTTGGAAAACTAGCATTTAAATATTTAATTATTTCAAAGAAAAGCAAGGTGATATCGAGTGGTAGCATTTGAGAGGGAAAACTAACAGGCAGAATATAACTTTGATTTCCATAGACCTTTATAATTCAATGGAAGTTGCCTGTGTGCCATGTTCTGGGCTCTGAGTTAAGAGCTTTACATGTACATCTTCTTTAATTATGACAACCCCCCAGATTGGCACTATAATTATCCCTAGTTTAAAATGAGAAAATCGAGACTCAGGGATGTTAAATAACAAGTTTAGTGTCACACTCTAGGAAGGGATAAAGTCAGGAACCAAGCATGAGGCTGACTGCTGAGCCTGAGCTCGCCACTACTGCGCCATGTGGCTTTTCATTTTGCACACGGCATCGTCGCCACTTATGGATGAAAGTGCTAAGGCCCAGTGAAGGGAAATGCGTAGCTCAGGTCCAAACTGCCAGCATTTGTCAAAGTTGGATTTTCTGACTCTGACTTCAGTACTCTCTCAACTTGGAATACCATAAATTAAAGCAAATACTAACTTGGTTATGGGGCAGTCAATATTTTTAGAGTGTTTATAGAAAGGAAGTAATTTTGGCCTGGCAAAAGAGCAAACTGAAGGTAGTTTTACATTTCTATTTCAAAAAGAATCATTCAAATTGGGAAAATTCGCATGCGCTGGATCACCCTGTGGGATATTCAGGGAGAGCAGACCCCTTCGGCTTCCTCTCCAGCCGTTTTAAAAGCAAATTTTGTAGATTATCTCACCTGGCTTGTTGCCCTCGGAGTCTGATGCACAAAATTGCTTGGTGTTTGGCAAGATTTGATTGGCAAGAAAGTGTTCCTGTGGTTAGTTTTTGTGTCTGACCCTTGCTGGGAGGTTAAGGCTAGTTTTTATGCTTGTGCCCTCACAAAGGTGAACTACCCTGTTCACCTCCATTCTCCTCAGTAGGAGAGAAGTGTGGCCAGGAGGAGGGGCACCAAGGGGGGTGGACCTCACGGTGACAAGAGGGCTCTGGAGCCACATTTCCTGGGTTTGGGCTCCATGGCCATCATCCTCTGGGAAGTGACCTTGGACTCTGTGCCTCAGTTTCCTCATCTGTAAAACGGGGGTGGGGGTGAGACTTTTGGTTTATGTGATTGAAAAGATAACACATGTCAAGGTCATAGCCTTAGAGGAGATACACACTAAGTGCTCAGTCGAATTTAGCTATAGTATAAATGGCATATTAAAGAAAATGTCTGAAGGAGGGTGTGTATAATTAACAAAGAGCAACATAGCCTTCTTGCTTGTGAATTGTCTAGTCGTATTTTCACCAGTGTCTGCTGATACCGAATTTGGCCTAGACACAGTGGTTTGAAGGAACCAGTTGGCGACAGGGTTTGGAAGGAATAGGTCCATGTCTAAGATGTAGCATCTGGCCTCCAAGTTCCTGAGAAGCAGCAGGATCCTTGGATGGGACAGATCATTAAACATGTAGCCTTGACCACCCCTTCCTCATTCTTGGAAAAAAGCCAACAAGGTGACTCTTGGGGAATGTTTCACTCTAACCAGTTTTCTTCTTTTTTTCTCCCCTCTCTCATGTATTTTTGCTCTGAATTAAAAAAAAAAAAGTCCTGCTGTGGTCATTTTGATCTCATCATGGTTTTTAATGTCAGGCTGGTCCATTCAATATCTAGTTAGCGATAGGAGACCAGCTGCTTCTCAGGCAAAGGAAGGAAAGCACGAACCTCCATGTTCTCATCCCCCTCCTCCCAATTATGTGGTCTCTTATCCCAAGATTGCCTGGAGGAATGTGGCTTCAGGCCCTGAGAGCCTCCAGGAAACAGGATTGCTCAGGGGGCCTGAGAAACTGAAGGCAGGCACCGAGTAGGTCCAAAGAGGCCGGAAGGGCTGGTTGTGAAGCAAGGTGGAGGGAGTGGAGGGAAGTGAATGATGGGGCTGCAGAGCTTTGTCTGAGATGTGGGTGAAAGGTTAGGCTACCTATGGGCCTAGAAGAGCACTACTTTCAGAAAAGGACTGGCAAGAAGAATGTAATGAAGCGTCAGCACTGGAGCTTTCTAATCCACAGGAATGCAGCTGAATGCTAACAGGTCTTCTCTTATTCCCCATTCTCTTTTCGTGCATCTATTCTGGAAACCCAGGTCCTTGTGCTGTCTTTGAATTTCCTCTTGGCTGATGAGTTTTTAATCGTAGTTCAGAGTCTCTGGGACTTTTCCTCAGGCTCCTTCTTAAGCTTATAGGATTATCTGGCCAGATCAGTTATTCTTTCTTTTGAACTGTGTAAATTATAAATAACTTTCCTGAGAAAAGAGCACCGGATGGGGAGGCAGAAGCTCCAGCGTTGTCCTTAATTGTGTGATCTTGTAGTCACGGTCCTAGATGCCCCTTTTAGGACGGAGGCACTTACTCTCCCAACTGTTGGGAAGATGGGCTGTGATGGTTTACAGCTGAATTTATCTGTAAGCACTGCCCTTGGCCTAAGGCACTGATTGCTAGTGGTGGTGATTTTGCCCCACAGTGGATATTTGGCAATGTCTAGGGTCATTTTTGGTTGTTACAGCTGAGGGGGGTGCCCATGCTACTAACATCGAGTGAGTAGAGCTCAGGCATGCTCCTAAAATCCTGCAATGCATAGTATCCTACAATAATTATCCATTCCAGAATGTCAAAAGTGCTGAGGTTGAGAAATGCTGTCCTAAGGTAGCCACCATACCCAGGATTAAACCTCCTCCTCAAGGGCAGTCTGGATACTCTAACAGGTTAATGCAGGGGGGTACAAAGATCTGGTGCCTTGCTTCAATTTAGGGCCATCACAAAAAAGGCCATCCTAGCTCCAGAGCTCTCCATGGGATCAGCAGAGGCCTCTGGGACTGCACCACACTTCAACTCCTCCCCCTGCCCAGTCCAGCTTTGTTCCCTCACAGGCGCTATTCCTGAGAAACACTTCCCAACAAACCTTCTGCACACAAATCTCCACCTCAGAGTCTGTTTCCCAAGGTACTCAAACTAGGACAGTTCATATCAAAAACAATCCTAAGGAGCAGACTGAGTGTTGCACTCTTTTGCTCCTTGTTAAAACTGAGGCAGACTTCAATTCACTTACAGACTTCTATTAGTAATGTGTGACACAAATTGCTAATTGTATCCAGTGTCTCTCCTCTCCCATTTTATCCCAATAATACAAATTCTAATGGGACATATGCTGCCTGTATGTTAGTTAGGCTTGATAACATGACCATGCTCTGACCAGGGAGGTAAATGGTTGTGATGGGTGGCTCAATCCAACTTCTGGGTTGGGTTCTTATGGAAAAGGACCATGTCCTCTCCTCCCCTGGGCCCCTTGCCACTGGCTGGACTGCAGAGGTAATGGGAGAGACTAGAGCAGTCACCATGAAAGCCTCATGCAGAGGATGTCAAAGTAGCAAAATGGGAGGAACGTAGGTCTGTGATAATTATGGGGTCAGCCAACAAACCTCGGCCACTTTTCAGGATTTTTTTTTTTTTTTTTTTGAGACAGAGTCTCGCTTTGTCGCCCAGACTGGAGTGTAGTGGTGCGATCTCGGCTCACTGTAACCTCTGCTTCCTGGGTTCAAGCGATTCTCCTGCCTCAGCCTACTGAGTAGCTGGGACTACAGGCTCATGCCACCATGCCCGGCTAATTTTTTGTATTTTTAGTAGAGACGGGGTTTCACCATGTTAGCCAGGATGGTCTCGATCCCCTGACCTCATGATCAGCCCGCCTCGGCCTCCCAAAGTGCTGGGATTACTGGTGTGAGCCACCGCACCCGGCCCACTCTTCAGGACTTTTATGTGAGAGACAAAACTTTTTTCTATGTTACTATATTTTGGAACTCTCTTTTGCAGCAGCCAAATTAGTACTTGATAAAAGAAAAACTTCAACTGAATTAAATTTAAAGGAGTTTAATTGAGCAATGAATGATTCGCAAATCGGGCAGCCCCCAGAATTATGGCAGATTGGCAGCGACTCTAGCACAGCCACGTGGTGGAAGAAGATTTATAGACAAAAAACTGGAAATGACATATAGAAATCAGAAGTGAGGTACAGAACAGCTGGATTGGTTACAGGTTGGCTTTTGCCTTATTTGAACACAGTTTGAACACTCAGCAGTGTATGAATGGTTGAAGTACGACCGCTGGGATTGGCCAAGACTCAGGTATTATTACAGGTGCATACTCCTAGTTAGGTTTTCAATATAGGTTGCAGTTAGTCCACAAGGACTCAAATATAGAAGTACAGAGTCCTTCTCAGGCCATACTTAGTTCACTTTAACATACCTAAACTATGCATATCCTTAGCATACCAAAATGAGCATGATAAAGACTATAAAAAGATGTATTATTTTTAACGATGTTTCGTTAACCATGTTTTTTATTTTCCATTCTCAAGATAAACCACATAATTTTATGATTGAATCCCTATTGTCTGCATCATAGCTCTAACTAGCAAGGGAGAGTGGGGCTGGGAAAGAGAGTAAGAACATCAGAATCCTCTAGAAAATTGTTATGAAAATGCACACACTCAGGCCTCTCTCTTATAGAGATTGTAGTATACCTTTGGGGTGGAATATATTTCATGTAGGTGTTTTGAAAACCTAGGATAGCTTATAAAACTCACATCTGCTCTTATATGTCACCTTGCTCCATAAAGGAAGCACAGAGTAGAACCTCAACTTATGTCTTTTGAATAACTAAATGAAATTTCTAGGACTAGGGGCATAGTAGATGCTATGGAACTTTTTCTTCTTCTAGTTGCAAAGCTAACAGCTCCTTATGAGAACTCAAAAGGCACTCCTTATGTTCCCAGCAATAAAGATCTAAGGCCCAACAGATTTGTGAGTATCCAAGAGAGTAAGAGCAAAGATAGATAGAACCCTATCACTTGCTTTTAGTAGATATATTTTTAAATGGGGTTTGAAATCTAAAACTCCTCATAGACATTCAGATGTATTTCAATTAGGAGGTTATATTGTACACATGTTGTAGGTACATTAGGTGACCCTATTTTCTTGGCCAAAGAATCACTGGGCATTTATGTAAAATATTTACAGGTAGATGACCTTTGGCTAAAACTTTCATAGCCTATAATTTTATTTACTGACTAGCTTTAGTAGAAGTATCAATGCACATTGATTAAATAGTTGTGTGTAGCTAGTTCAAATAGCTATGTAAATCCAGATTAGGAAGTAATGAGCATCCTCATACTACACAGAGATTTATTTGTGACTCTTATTGAGCTCAAATAATTGGGTAGCGTGATGCTGACTAAAGCAAGAGTTCTGCCTAGTGCTCATTTGAACTGGTGTCTCCTGCTTTTGGTGCCTCACAGAAGTCACTCTGCTGGGGCCCAGGACCCCTCAGCCTGCAGCCCGGTGGTCAGGACATTGATAGGAGCCCAGGTCCCAAGCTGCTTTTGAGACTTTGGATTTCTCCTTTATGCTGAAGCCCTTTCCTTCATTGTGCTACATTATCAGGGGTTTTCAGGGCCCTACTGGTCCCTCTAGGCTCTCTATTACTCATAAACATTTTGCTTCATCTCCTCCTACTAATAGCTTCAATCTTTCCATATTCAAATAAGTTCAAAATCTTGAGAGGAAAATTGGCTCATCTTTGTGTCCCAGGCTAGGTCAGAAAACGCTAACTCCCTCAGGGATGAATAGCCCTTGGGTCAGTGATCACTTGGTAGGGGACCCCCGTCTGCCATTTTCCTGAGCTCAGGCAAAATGAAGGGCAGTACTAGCTTAAAAGAGGAAGGTGGGCACTTCTAATGATGTGTGCAGTTCCCACAGAAAGGCATTCCTGTTGTTCAGAAATCAAATTCCATTGTGCTATAGAGAAAACTATTTATTAAAAAGTCTGTGTTGAGGCCGGGCGCGGTGGCTTATGCCTGTAATCCCAGCACTTTCGGAGGGCGAGGTGGGTGGATCACCTGAGGTCAGGAGTTCAAGACCAGCCTGGCTAACATGGTGAAACCTCATCTCTACTAAAAATACAAAATTAGCTGGGTGTGGTGGTGCATGCCTGTAGTCCCAGCTACCTGGGAGGCTGAGACAGGAGAATCACTTGAACCTGGGAGGTGGAGGCTGCAGTGAACCGAGATCCCACCACTGCACTCCAGCCGGGAAGAGACAGAGGGAGACTCAGTCTCAAAAAAAAAAAAAAAAAAAAAAAAATCTGTGTTGAGAGTTATAAGCAGGTCTGTAAGAGGCCTGTGCAAGCTGTCCCTTAATTTAGTTGAAGATGGTCTTTCTATTCTGCATGTATTTATCAACTTCGGAAGAGATCTAGATGTAAATTCCAGACCTCTGTTATCTATGCAGAAATCCTATGAGGGAAAGCAGGGTCCATGAGCCTTTTAGTATTATAAGAATGTGGAATGTTAAATGGGAAAGGTATCAGAACTAAGAGATTTCACATTTTAGGGATAATAAGAATATTCTCATGGGTTATCATGGTGATTAAATGAAGTGACCCACGTAATGCATCTGGCATTTGATAGATGATCAGTATATGATGGTGGTTATTATTCATTGTGGGATCAAACATCCTGAAATTTTGAAAACATTTATCCTGAGTGGTTTGGTTTTTCTGTTTTCATTGTTTTTATTTGCTCAGTTTTTGCCATGAAAAAATACAATCTCTCTAATCACTGAGATATTAAGAAACATGTCCAATATCCAAAGGAAGGTTGAATATCCCAAAAGCTTTCAAGTTCCCCTTAGGTGCTTTGACTTTAGTACTGGAAGCTTCCACCAGATAATTAGTGATCTCTTATTAATTCAAAGCATACAGGCAGTATATGCAAACTTGAATATGATTGGGAATAACACACATCTATGTGTTTTCTTAAAATATTGAGTGGGCATAAATTAACCTCACCTTCTCCTCCAAAATTGCGAAATGCATAATATTCTTTGGCCGTTTAAAAGAATGAGGTATAACTTCTACATTCTAAGAGGAACAAATGTCCACAAAGTGTTGTTAAAAATCAAGTTATAGAACAGTTTTATAGTATGTTGCTATTTTTATGTAATTGTAATAGTATAATAAAATACATGACTTGTGCATAGAAAAATAATCAGAAAAATACACAAACTTCATGACAGTTGTCCCTGAGGGCATGGGGGACTTTTACTGAAAATATTTCAGTGTGGTTTAAATTTTTACAAGGAAAGGATAATATTTTTGAAATTATAAAAATAAAAAACTTAAAAGTAGATTAAAACTTGCAAAATAGTTTATTTGAAGCAAATCTTGTAAAGTATACAAGGTGATTAAACACAAATAATGTGTTTCTGTTACTGACTTAAGTCAGCTCTTCTACCACTTGGTTTAGTGTTCCTAATATTTTGGCCACCTCAGGCAATTTTTATTACTTATTACAAGCTTTTCGGTTTCAGTTTGTTCTCAGCTTCTAGAATACAAGGTGTTAAATAACATCTCACTGCACTTTTGATTACTCACTCTCCCAAGACGTGCTCTCAAGTTATGCTTAAATTCTCCATCTCAAACTATCTGCTTCCCGGCCTCTGGGGGCTCTTCTCCCTAGAGGTGGTTCTGGGCTGGCTTTGAAGGAGTGTAAGGACCCAGTTGCTCCTGAATCTATTGTTAGGTGATTGCTGTTCTCCTTTCAAACTGTGCTCCCTATTGCTCAGGTCCATATGGTGACCCTCAAAATGTAGCGTACATAAGTATTTATTGAGGTTTGCTTAAAACTCAAAGTCCTAGCTCCAGGGATTCTCCTTCAGTAGGTATGAGATGGGCCCAGGAATCTGCATTTTAATTAAGAATCTTATAGAATTCCATTCTACCCCAGGGGTTCTGTGGAAGTATTTCAGGCACTGCAGTCAGGGAGGGTTCCAGGGTTCATTCACTGTCAATCAAAACATATCTGCTTTTATCTTTTTTAAATTAGGCATCTGGGCCAGGCGCAGTGGCTCTCACCTGTAATCCCAGCACTTTGGGAGGCTGAGGCAGGCAGATTGCTTGAGGCCAGGAGTTTAAGACCAGCCTGGCCAAGACATAGCAAAACTCCCCTCTCTACCAAAAATACAAGAATTAGCTGGGCATGGTAGTGTATGCCTGTAATCCCAGCTACTTGGGTAGCTGAGACATGAGAATCACTTGAACCCAGGAGGTGGAGGTTGCAGTCAGCCAAGATCATGCCACTGCACTCCAGCCTGGGGCAACAGGAACAGACTCTGTATAAATAAAATAAAATAACATAACATAACATAACATAACATAACATAACATAACATAACATAAAATAAATAAAATAAATAAAATAAAATAAATATAGCGTCTGGTAAGATATTACTTGTAGAAATCTGTTCATCTGCATCTACTGATCTAAATCTCCCAATCATCTCCTTCTGTATCATGATTTGAAAGACCTTTTTCAATCCATAATTCTAAGAATAATCAAGCAAGCAAACAAACAAGGCTCCTCAAAACTCACTTCTTTTCTAGCTTTGTTATGGCTTCCTTTTTTTACAATACAGCTGGGATTTTTTTTTTTTTTTTTGGTATTAGGTATAAGGTGAGGATCCATCTTAATTCTTATCCCAAATAATTTACTAATTATATTTACAATTCGATAAGAACAATCTGTTTTCCCACAGATTTGAAATGTAATATTTATCATATGTCACATACCTACTTGGCTTTATTTCTGGGTGTCTTCTTCCCTTGATATAGCTGCTATTCTACTGCTATCATTCTTTCTTAGTTATGATATCTTTGTAGTGCAATTCATTATTTAGTAGAGCTGATTGTCTTTCATTATTCTTCACTTTGAATATTTTTTCATTGGGTTGACTTTTATATCTAAAAGAACAATGTTTGCTTGGTTCTGGAAAAGTCTCTGAGATCTTAGTCAGAATTTCATTCAATTTACAAATTAATCTGGTAGAGGAAGAAAAATTGACATTGAGTATTGAGCATGTCCTTCCAGGAATATAGTATGGTTTTCAATGTAATTGGTCCTCTTTTATGTCCCTCAGTTAAGCTTCCTTTCTGCCTTTTGGTAGGATCTGCACATTTCTTATCAGTATTCAGTATGGAGTAGTACAGAGCATGTTGGCTCTGGAATCAGATGCCTGGGTTCAAAGCCTTACCAATCGAGACTCTGTGCTAGTTGCTTAATCTTGCTTGTCTCAGTTTTCTCTTCTGCAAAATGGGTATGATATTAACAGTACCTAGCTCAGAGAGTTCCTTAAGGAATAAGTAAATTTCATGCAAAGCACCTAGGACATTTCTGGCATACATTAAGTGCACTTTACATTTTAAGTTAAGCTCTCTTTCCATAGCTGTAGCTGTCTTATCCAGAAATTACTTAAGAATGCTCCTTAAGTGTCCTGCACTTGAACACAAGTGAAGTCTTTGAAGTGAGAAACACGTAAGCATATAAAGTAGATAGGTTAAATAACAACTCAGAGACGAGTATTTAAAGCACCAAGGATTTGATGGTATAGACAAGGAAGAACAGCCTCTGTGGAGGCGGTCTCCTTGAACAAAGGCAAAGTCAGGGCTTATAATTATAAAAAGCTAAACCCACAACATTTCACAAGAAAAGGGGATTGATGTAGGCAAATCTAGTTTAGGGTCAGCTGGTTGCAGTGATGCTCTACAGGCTGTTTACTGGCCTATCATGGTTCTGTGGTTTCAGTAGGAATTGTGTTGCCACTAAAGCTCATGCTCTGTATTCAGGCTCCTGCCCAGAACTACTTTCTTTGATTTTAGATAGTCTTCAGTCATTCCCTAGTCTGTACTCCATGGTATAAATAATTATCATACATTTAACTATAATTTTATTTTTGCAGTTTTAACCCCGTGGATTCTGAACTACTCACCACTAACCCACTGTCGTATTTACCTTTGTCTGTAGGTGCTTTGACTGGATTCTAGCACATAGTAAGAGCTCAACAAATGTTCCAGTGAATGAATTAATCTCCTGGCCTATATACAAGTTGGGGACAAGGATCTTTCAAAGAGGCATAGTACACTGACTACTGGAAGTTATGTGCTTCTATTTTATACAACCTCTGTGGATCTGTTTGCTCATCTTAAAAGATGAAGTTAGAGTCCTATCAATGATTTTCAACCCTTGTTGCATGTTAGAACCACCTGCCAAAACTAAAGAAAAAAAAACCTCTAATGCTCAGGCCCCACCTCACATGGATTGGGTCAGAATCTTTGGTATCTTGGCACTGCCTTTTTTTTTTTTTTTTGAGACGGAGTCTCGCTCTGCTGCCCAGGCTGGAGTGCAGTGGTGCAATCTCGGCTCACTGCAAGCTCCGCTTCCCGGGTTCACGCCATTCTCCTGCCTCAGCCTCCCGAGTAGCTGGGACTACAGGCGCCCACCACCATGCTCGGCTAATTTTTTGTATTTTTAGTAGAGATGGGGTTTCACCGTGTTAACCAGGATGGTCTGGATCTCCCGACCTCCTGATCCACCTGCCTGGGCCTCCCAAAATGCTGGGATTACAGGCGTGAGCCACCACACCCGGCCTGGCACTGGTATTTTTAAAAACCTCTCCCTGACCCCCAGCAGGCAATTCTACTCTGCAGCCACACTGAGATCCACTGGGCCAGGTAAACTTGCACATCTATGACTGCGAGGAACAGCTGATGATCTTAAAGAGATTCAAAGCTAATTGAAAATCTCTAGTTTTCTGGGATCATCTTGTGAGGTAGCACATATTCAAACCCACTTTTATACTCCCTGAGAGGACATCGCTGTACTATGTAGTCCAGAATATAATTGCTGTCCATAATATGATTCAGAAAGTAGAGAATCAGTTAGTATATTTTGGCAAGACTTACACAAAAATGCATAAAAACTAAAATATTTAATGCATACTAGGGTAAATTAGTTGTCTGCCAAAGCCTTGTATGTGGAATATCTCACACTTCATGGATGCCTGGCCATTGAGCCTTACTGTGGTCACTTTCACATTTTCAGTAGACCGGTATGTGTACAAGGCTTTGTGATTTCTTGTTGAAGGATGGAGATTAAAAAAAAAAAATCACCAAAACTAAACAAAAACCTTTCTTCTTTGCTACCATGACTTCCTCTATCTGTGGCTGCATTTCTCTGTGCCCACTTAACAGAAAAACATCTTAGATGAGATTTCTGTCCTGTTTTCCACTCTCTGTTGGACTCACTTCAATCTTGTTTCTTTCCTACTACAGGATGGAAACTACATTTGCAAGGTCATTACCAATCACCTCCAAACCAGTGATGCTTTTTTTTTTTTTTTGGTCAGCTTATCTGACCTTTCAGCAACTTTTAACTTCCTTTTAATACTCTTCTTTCCTCTGGTTTCCTTCCTACTTAAGGCTGCTCCCCTTGAATATCTTTTGCTGGTTTCTACTTCTCTATCTTCTTTCCTTCTCTATCTGATGACTACATATTGGAGTGCTTTGGGGTACCACCCTAGACATTAGTTCCATGAATTTTTGTCAGAAATAGATGCTGAATACCATGACTTGCCCTACCACACCACAGTTTGATGGCTTAGCAATAGCATAGTTTTATTGCAATTTCTCAAACTGCAATTGAAATTTTCCTGAACAAGAAGACTTGTCCTGAATCACTATTATTGAATGTTGAATGGCTTTGGAAACCTTGTTGCAGATATGATAATGTTTTCTAATAAATTTAATCTAAAATTACATTATAAGACAGTGCTTCTATTGAAATTTAACGTGGAAAAGTCATTTTGATGAGAACTAGTGTTGTTTCAACAATAAGTAATGGCAAGATCAAATACATTTTCCATGCTGTCAAAAGTTAAAATAAGAAGCAGGATCTCTATTTTCACACAAATTTGTGGCAGATATGTTTTCTGAGCTTAAACTGCAGTTCCAACAGTGTTTCAGGACCTCATTGCAGTGCACATTTCATATTTTGAAATCCATTTAATGGACAGTTGAGGAACTTCCACCTAACCTTCAATTAATCTGAAATGCAAGGATATGCCAAAAGGCAGATATCAAGAGAAGAATCTAATAGAATTCCATAAATTCCTCCTGAGTGGTGAATATGCTCAATGAAAATCATATGTTTGTGGGAGATATCAGTATTTGTTAAAATCTTTGTGAAATATATTTTCAAAGATGGAGTATGTAAAATCTCATTACAGATCAACAGTAAGAGATGAACACCAACATTTCAACCAATTTTGATAACTAACACTAATTTTGAACCCCAATGAAGTAAAATGTTACCCCTCCCCAAGAGAATTCCATTCTTCTCATTAGTAGACCTGTATTACAAAAAATTATTCCCAATTATTATGTTTTGAATTTCATCAGTAAAAAATTTGTGGAACTTTTCCTCTCTGTTATAGAAGTACCTACATAACATCCTTGATTTTCCTATTGGCCTGCAAAGCCTAAAATATTTTTTATCTGGTACTTTACAGTTTGCCAAACCCTGGTCCACCCCATCATTATCTCTTCCATGCACAACTCAAAAGATTCCAGGCCACGCTTGTTCTGGTTGCTACTTCTTCAACTACTAGGCCTCTTTTCTCTTCCTCAAACATATCACAGGTTCCCCTGGCTCAGGCCTTTTTTTCTTGCTGCATCTTCTGCCTTTAAATGTTTGTTCTTATCCTTCAGGTCTCACTTTGAGTATCACTCTCTAGAGAATTGCCCACACCCACTTATTCTCTATCACAGATCACCCTCTTTATTTCCTTCATAGTTATCTCACATATTTTTTACTTAGTCATTGTCTCCTCCATCAGAATGGAAGCTCCACAAGACCAGATACCTTGCTGCTTGGTTCATCAGTGACTAGGACAGAGTAGATGTTCAATGATTATTTTTCGAATTAAAGTGTCACAGTAGTGGCTGGTCAGGCATCAGCAAGGCTGGAGAGGGCTCCCCCAACTCCTCACATCAGGACTGTCAGGTGACCATCAGATGATGGTCAGGTGGTTGTTAACGGGCTCTCTAAAATAATAATTGGTCACAGCTGGCGCCAGGGAAAGGCACGCTCCTAATAGATAGAAAACACCTGAAAATGGTCATCAGCAGCTTCCTGAGAAGATCTCAGGAGTTGGGTGAGTGGGCTCAAGCACATGCTTGCAGACAACCTACCCCAAGGGAAGAATCGGGGCAAAGTAACGCGAGACCCTGGGAGTAAGCCAACATATAAAACCCCCAAGTCAAACGGTCACACGGTGCACTTGATCTCCCAAGTTGCCCACTTAGCCCTCTTCTGAGTGTACTTTCTTTTTTTCCTTTCATTCTGGCGCTAAAACTTTTGGATAAACTTTCACTCCTGCTCTAAAACTTGCCTCAGTCTCTCCTTCTGCCTTATGCTCCTCAGTCGAATTCTTTCTTCTGAGGGGGGCAAGAATTGAGGTTGTTGCAGACCCGTATAGAAGTGAATTTGCCACTGGTAACAAAATAGTGGGGCAGGAAGCTAGTGGGTTCTAAAGTTCCAAGGCCGTCTACATAGCAGCAAGCCTCTAAGTCTTCCATTCTGACTGCTCTCTGCTCATGTTCTCAGTGCTTTTTCACTTTACTACAATGTAACTATAAAGCATTAAAAAGATAATTGGCCAGGCACGGTGGCTCATGCCTATAATCCCAGCACTTTGGGAAGCCAAGGCGGGCAGATCACAAGGCCAGGAGTTTGAGACCAGCCTGACCAACATGGTGAAACCTCTTTTCTACTAAAAATACAAAAATTAGCCGGGTGTGGTGATGCGTGCCTGTAATCTCAGCTACTCAGGAGGCTGAGGCAGGAGAATTGCTTAAACCTGGGAGGCAGAAGTTGCAGTGAGCCAAGATCACACCACTGCACTCAAAAAAAAAAAAATTTTGTGTTCACTCTTCTGATTCTGAGATGGTTGGATATTTAAGTGTAGGTAGGTCCACTGTTTGCTAGCTTGGGGTTGCAAACACCTCACCCTTAAGTTTGTTCTACAAAGTACAGCAAGTTAGAGTTAGTATTTCCCTAATCAATAAGGACCTTAGCTTGTCTTCCCCTGGGGTCATCCTCCCTGGATATGAATCCAGGTCATGCTTGGGCATGCTTACTTGTGTCTTACCGCAAGTCTGGGTTGCCCTCTCTGCTGGCCGATGGAGCCCCTTCTTAGACCTGAACCTCAGGGCGTTATAGGTGTGGTGTGAGGACCAGCAAGCAGCATTAGTATCACCTGGGATCTTGCTAGAACTTCGGACTCTTGGACCCCACTCTAGACCTA
Source organism: Homo sapiens (assembly GCF_000001405.40). Classification (NCBI taxonomy): domain Eukaryota; kingdom Metazoa; phylum Chordata; class Mammalia; order Primates; family Hominidae; genus Homo; species Homo sapiens. The sequence goes on from NC_000014.9 coordinate 53,353,934, forward strand.
CCGAGTCAGAACTGGCTATTTAACGAGATCCTCAGGTGAATCTTATGTCACATGCAGGCCTAGGTGCTGGGTGATCTGGAAGGTAGTTCCGGCTGGTAGTGGTGGCTGCCATTATCATCTCTGAGGACCCTCCAGAGATCTCTGCCTCACGCAGCACAGCTAGGTCCTGATGGCGACTGCTGCATCACTGTCCCAGTCATTTGGGACAGGGCCACACCTCTCGCTCATCCAAGTCATATCATGGGTGGGATGTAGTTCAGTAAAGTCCAAATGGTAACCTTCAGCAAAATATAACTGTTGATGAGGAGATACTAGAATATCTTAGAATCTTCCTGAGATGCTCTCAGAACTCTCTTGGTCTGTCCCTTCTGTGGCCTGGGATGTCTCAACCCCTATTAGTGGAACTTCTCCAGGCAGCTCCCTGCCACAGAGTCCTGATCAAACCAAAATTCTGAATGCAGAGAGAGAAGAAAATTATTCCCTGACTTCAGCCTTAGGACTGCTTGTCCAAGCCCTTGTTTCCTGACCCAGTATTGACCCTTCCCCAGGATGATTGATGGGGGAAATAGCCATTCTCTTCAGGGGGAAACCCTACCCCCACCCATAGAGGTGTGGTCCAATATATAATTGATTGACATAAGCACATTCCCTAAAGTCTGGGTTATTTGGTCTTAAATAAAAGCACATGTGGGATCTCAGCAGCTTTGGCAACTTTCTTTTCAGTTTTTCTCATAAAGGGTTCTGAAACCTGGGAGCCTAGCCTCATCCTGGGTTACCTGGTTACATAAGAATTTACTTGAAATGTGGTTTAAAGCTCATTGAGAACAGCTCATATGCTTACAGAGGAATCTAAGAAGGAAAAGCTGTGATTAAGAACTGGCTAAGATATATATAATAGTAAGTGAGGTGTAATTTTCTCTTGATCTCTGTAAACAACAGGTATTAGAAAGATTACCTGCCACTTTCCAGTTACATATACACTGACACCGAAGAAATGGGCTATTGATGGATCTGAACAGAGCTTATAGAATGACTCTGGATCACTTAATGCTGTCTTTGAAACCCCACCTGATGGCAATTTTTAGCTTTACTTTCCATTTTAGAGCTTTCCTATGTACTTCAAAAATAACCAGTTATGGTGGTTGGAAGGCACTTCTGCAAAAGATTTTCCAGAGGTTGAAAAGCAGAAAGAACAAATAGTAAGAAACATTTGCCGCTTATTGAATTTAATAAAAGTATCTTATTTGTATAGCTAACAGGCATTTCATACAGATGGTCTCATTTTATCTTTATATCAGCCCTGAAATTACGCAAAGCAGTATTTCATTCCCATTTTCAAGATTTAGAAAACTGAAACCTAGAGAAGTTAAACAGCTGGAAAGTAGTGAAGTTAGGTCTGAAAACTGTCTTTCGAATCTAAATTCAGTCCTCTATCTCTGGTTAAAGTTTGCATTCACGTTAAGGGTGTAGGCAGTAACAAGATGGGGTGATATACCATAGCTGTTTACATGGTTTATGGAACCACCAGTTTCTTAATACTAGGTCGTTTCTGACTCCTTAAGACTCTGAGAAAAGTCTCTGGATCAGAGCTCCCCATGCACACTTCTTTTCTTTTTCCCACTTTCTCTTCTTTCTTCCCTCTTTTATTTATTTCTCCAATTTGCTTCCTTTCCTCTTCACTCCCTCTGGCTTAGCTTGATTCTTAAAGGACTTCACTATTAACATCCAGGATGACTCAGTGTGAAGGAAACCACAGCAGATGTAGAGAAGAAAGGAGAGGAGGGGTTGTGGAAGGCGGGGGAGATGGCCAGGGCAGGTGTGGAGAGCAGCTTAGCACAGATACACTAATTTCCACGTCCAGACTGGTATTCTGAGATGTTCCCTGCTGCTCTGGAATCTCTGTAAACACAGGGATTTGTCTGGAATGACTTTACAGCTCAGCAGGAAGCTTGCTAAGTGCCAGGACTTTCAAACTGTGAGTGCTGCTCAGAAATGGAGGAGGAAGTGCTATCAGCCCAGGCCCACAGCCCTTGCCTGGGCCTGCCAGGGCCCATTTAGACTGGGAGAGGGGCATGGAGGCTTGTGCATGCTCCCGTCCTTCCATGGTGCCTGCTGCACTCACAGGGCAGTGGGGCTGGACGGAAACTTGCAAAGGCATCAGCTACATCTTTGAGCGGTTATAGTGAGCCAAACCTAAAATGTCCCAGAAAGCCATGAAAAAAACCAGCCTTGTTCTTACATTTCTTTTAAGGATAGAAACTTTCGTGATTTTACTCAGCAATACTTTTTTTTTTTCTGAAATCCTTTTTTGCAAGAAGAATGTAAATCTTCCCTGCAGCACTTTAATTTTTTCCTCTTTTTTTCCTTAATGGCATGTTGTTTCCCAAGAGTCACAGGTGGTGGTTCTGTCTCACTGTTGTGATTGAAATAAGCAAAGCTAGCAGGAGGGCAAAAGAAGAAAACCATGGAAGATTGTGTCTCTGGGAAGTGAAATGCAGAGAGTTTCATTTTTGTCTCCATCTTGTAAAAGAGGGCACTGGAAAGGGTTTGGGAACCAGGGTAAAGCCACGGGGAAGCACTGTTGTGCCGAGGGGGGCAAAGGGAAGGAGGTCATGCTGAGCTCTTTGCTGCTCAACAATGCCCACAACTGCCCCGTGCCCAGCACAGCTGAACTGTCCTCCAGCCAAATGGCCTGCTCTGTAGACAAACTCTTAGATGCAAGTTGGTAATATAGCTTATTCTGGTAACAGTTACAAGCAGTGGCTTTACAGAATTCAAATCCTAGTGACACTATTTATTAGCTGTATTAGTGTTCTCCAGAGGCACAAAGCTGGTAGGATCTATATCTTATATCTCTTTTTATCTCTGTATAATCTATCTATATCTATCTAATCACACACACACAGTCATGTGCTACATGATGACATTTTGATGAACAATGGGTGGCATATATTACAGTGGTCCCATAAGATTATGTTGGAGCTGAAAAATTCCCATCACACAGTGACCTTATAGCTGTCATAACTGCATAGCACAACACATTACTCACGTGTTTGTGGTGATGCTGGTGGAAACAAACCTGTGTCTAAAAGTTGTATAAACATATAGCTCATACAATTATGTATAGCACATAATACTTGATAATAAACAACTATGTTACTGGTTTATATATACACTATAGTATAATTTTTATGGTTATTTTAGAGTATACTACTTAAAAAAAGAGTTAACTATAAAACAGCCTCAAACAGGTCCTCAGGAGTTTTCTAGAAGAAGGCACTGTTACATAAGATGACAGGCTCCATGTGTTTTATTGCCCTTGAAGACCTTCCAGTGGGATGAGATGTGGAGGTGAAAGACAGTGATTTGGATAATTCTAATCCTGTGTAGGCCTAATGTGTGTGCCTGTCTTAGTTTTTAACAAAAAAGTTTAAATAGTTGAAAAAATTAAAAATGAATAAAAAGCTTATAGAACAAGGATATAAAGAAAATATTTTTGTATGGCTGTACAGTGTGTTTGTGTTTTAAGCTAAGTGTTATTACAGAAGTAAAAAAGTTTAAAAATGTTTATAAAGTAAAAAAGTTATAGTAAGCTAAGGTTTACTTATAGGAGAAAAAAAATTAAATGTGTTTAGTGTAGCCTAACTATACAGTGTTTATAAAGTCTACAGTTGCATACGGTAATGGTCTAGGTTTTTATATTCAGTCACCACTCACTCACTCACCCAGAACAATTTCTAGTCCTGCAAGCACCATCCATGTTAAGTGCCCTATGCAGGTGTACCATTTTAATCTTTTATACAGTATTTTTACTCTACCTTTTCTATGTTTTAGATACACAAATACTTACCTTTGTGTTACAACTGCCTACAGTATTCAGTGCTGTAACAGATTTGTAGCCTAGGAGTAATAGGATATATCGTATAGTAGGCTATATCGTATAGTAGGCTATACCATCTAGGCTGATGTCAGTATACTCTATGATATTCACATAACAAATAAATAAAGGTGCATGTCTTAGAGCATATCCCTGAGGTTAATACATGACCGTGTGTGTATGTGTGTGTGTATATACGCATATACGCATACATATATATCTCCTTTTGGTTATATATATATATATATATATCTCTTTATATAGTCCATAAATAGATATATAATATACACTACATATATAATAACATAGAATACATGTACAATATCTATACTATGTATAGATATAAATATATAGTAGAGAAAGAGAATGAGCATGTGCACTGTTGAATTTGAAATCTGTAGGGTAAGCCAGTAGGTTAGAGATTCAGGTAAGAGTGGATATTTCAGTGTTAAGTCTGAAGGCCAGAAACTCAGGCAGAATCTCTGCATCAGTCTGGAGGCAGAACTGCTTTTTCAGGAAACCTGAGTCTTTGCTGTTTAGGCCTTCAACTGATTAAATGAGGCCCACCCACATTATGGATGGTAATCTGTTTTACTTAAAGTCAACTAATTTTAAGTGTTAATCACATAAAAAAATACCTTTACAGAGATATCTAGACTAGTGTTTGTCCACACAACTGGTCACCATGGCCAAGCCAAGTTCACACATAAAATCATCACTCTAGCTTTTAACTTACTGGCAAGTCACTCAACTTCTTTACACTGAATTTTTCTTTTGTAAAAAGGAGAAAGAATAACACTTTGCTCAGTGCCTGGATATACTAAGTGGTCAGTACATGTTGCCTGTATTATGATTATTGTGAGTTCTTAAGTAAACTGTATTATGTATTGGAAATCAAATAGAGTAATCAGCTCTATCTATTGTATTTATTGATTTGCCATCAGAACAAATGTTTGTTAGACATTAATATTAAAAAATATTCATTAGCACAATGGTATGAATATAAATAATATTAATATAATATAAAAATAGCCGATCATCTATGTTTTATGTCTATCATCCCAACAGATCAACTGTGTTTATTTTTCTGTTCTCTAGTCCTTCCCCATACATACATATATAAACATATTATTTACAGAGCTGTATTCAAGATGGGTTAATGTTTACATTTTGCTATTTTCCAATGAACACAATAGGTGTTAAGATATTAAACTAGCCAAATTAATTGTATTCTGGTTGAAAATTACAGTTCATCTCTCATTTTTACCAAGGAGCTGAGCTGCTGGGATGATGGTTTTCATGGTGTGCCAGCTTGGTAGACAAGCTGTCTAGGTGTTTTGCATCTCATTGCTTTCCTCAAAAAGGGTAGTTAAAGGACTAAAGCTACTGAATGGATTTTAGGTGTAATCTGTTATTGGAGAGAAAAGGTTAATCCAGTTCTGCATTATTATGTTTTTTATTTATGTTATTCTTTCATTGATTTAAAATGTGTTGAGCTCTTTCAATGTACTGTGCATTGGCCACTGAACATCTGTGCAACCAGCAAATGCCCTGGAGACCTGCTCTCCAGATTTGCAGACTAGAAGGTAAGACTGACAGTAGGGAGACACATAAGGTCCACAACAGAGTGGTTCGTTTGAGGGTTGGGGGAGGAAAAGAGAGGAGGCATTCTGGATCTTCTAAATTGAGCTCTGAAGGATGAGTTAGGAGTTAGCCAGATGAAGAACAGAGAGGAGGGTCAACATCTTTATCTTTTGGTAGAAGGAAAATAACCTGCTTTTGCATAAAACAGAATCCAGATGGTTTTCTATTTGTTTAGGCAAACCTGTGAACCTCAGTGTATTAGTCTGTTTTCATGCTGCTGATAAAGACATACCCGAGACTGGGCAATTTACAAAAGAAAGAGGTATAATGGACTCACAATTCCACATGGGTGGGGAGGCCTCACAATCATGGCGGAAGGCAAAAGGCACATCTCATGTGGCGGCAGACAAGAGAAGAGAAAGAGAACCAAGGGAAAGGGGTTTCCCCTAATAAAATCATCAGATCTCATGAGAATTATTCATTACCATGAGAACAGGATGGGAGAACTGCCCCCATGATTCAATTATCTCCCATTGGATCCCTCCCACAACACATGGGAATTATGGGAGCTACAGTTCAAGATGAGATTTGGGTGGGGACACAGCCAAACCATATCACTCAGGTAAGGCTGTGGGAACATCATGTGCAAAGACCCACTGTCTGCACACCATGGTTTGCAGAACTGAGAATATTCTGGCTATAGGAAGAGTGTGAAGGTGAAAGCCATCTATAATAAGGAGTTTGGACTTCCCTCTGTGGTCAGTGGAAGGTTATTTTTGTTGTTGTTGTTCTTTTGAGACAGGGTTTGGCTCTGTTGCCCAGGCTGGAGTGCAGTAGCACTATCTTAGCTCACTCTAGCCTCTGCCTCCCAAGCTAAGCCATCCTCTCACCTATGCCTCCCGAGTATCTGGGACTACGGGTGTGTGCCACCACACCTGGCTAATTTTTATATTTTTTTGGTGGAGTTGGGGTTTCGCCATGTTGCCCAGGCTCGTTTCAAATTTCTGGGCTCAAGCAATCCACCCGTCTTGGCCTCTGAAAGCATTAGGATTACTAGCATGAGCCACTAAGCCTGGCCTACTGAAATGTTTTCAGGAGGGCAGTGACATGACAGGATCTATACTTTAGGAAAATCACTTAGGCTACAGCATAGAGCATCAGTAGTGAGGGCAGTGATGGCTGCGTGGAGACCAGTTATGTCACCATTGAGGTAATCCAGGCAGAAGATGCATGACCAGGAATGTGGTAATGGCAGTGCAGGTGGAAAGAAATAGATGGAATCAAAAGATAGTTAGAAGATAGGAGGGCTGGAACGTGGTTATCAATCAGGTGTGTGGAAGAGACAGCAGTTAAAGATGAAGCCCAGGGTCTTTCTAGTCTATATCTCTATGTTCTTGAAAATGGTGTGTGTGTGTGTGTGTGTGTGTGTGTGTTTAAATCTCAAATTATTTTGACTTCAGGGCAGTTGCTGTCATGTCATCTAGTCAGACATTCTATCATGACATAGAAATCCTCATGGCATGGTGGAAAAAGCCCTTGCCTGGAAGCCTGGGGGCCAGTACAGCTTTACCACAAACCCCAAATATGATCCTGGGTCAATCATTTCAGCCCCTTGTGGGGAGAGTGAACAGCTGTAGTGTAAGATAGCATAATTATAAGCTGGGGTGGGGCTTTGAGTTATGGTGCCTATGCAAAATGAACATGACACTTGGTGTAAACTGGTGAGGCTGCTCTTGGACTAAAGAGACTAGCCTGGGGTTCTGCCTGCCCTAGGTCCTGCCTGATTATTCCAGGGACTGAAAGGAGGATCTATATTTTGCCACACCTGTAACAAATTTAGAGCATACCAGTATGCCGAAGAATACCTTTAAGGAAGCTCTGGCATGGTGATTAAATTCTTGAGTCATGAAGTTCAGACTAGAGCCTTCGTTCTACCATTTACTAGCTGTTTGACTTCAAGAAAATTACTTAATCATTACTCTTCAATTTTGTCATCTGTGAAATAGGAATAATAGTACCTATTCATCAGGATTGTTGTAAAGATTAAGTAATAGATGTAAACATTCTAGCTCCTGGATACAGAGCTCAATACGTATTTGCCATTATTGTTTTTATATAATATTTTCTACAATGTGTACAATTCAATAATTTTTATTTTTATTTGCATAAATTTATGGGGCACAAGTGCAATTTTGTTATATGCATAGATCGGGTAGTGGTCATGTCAGGGCTTTAAGATATCCATATCCTATGCTCCTTGTGTCAAAGGAATCACTGGAAGGCCCACTGGCCCAGGGGACGAAGGTCCTCTGAGTCAGAAGCCACTAACCAGATGATCCAGCAGCAGGACTGAGGGTGCCCGGGGCAAGTGCCAGCCCATGCCATCACCCTCACAGAGCCCCAGATGTGCTTGAACATTGAGGGCCAGGAGGTTAACTGTCTCTTGGACACTGGCGCGGCCTTCTCAGTCTTACTCTCCTATCCCAGATAACTGTCCTCCAGATCTGTCACTATCCTAGGGGTCATATGACAGCCAGTCTCTAGATACTTCTCCCAGCCACTAAGCTGTGACTGAGGAGCTTTAAAATAGAAGAAAACCACCAAGCGGATATTAAAGTCAAAAGAGCCACAAGGCAGGACCCTCCATTAAAAATGCTTATAGAAGGACCCCTAGTATAGGGTAATCCCCTCTGGGAAACCAAGCCCCAGTACTCAGCAGGAAAAATAAAATAAGGAACCTCACAAGGACATACTTTCCTCCCCTCCAGATGGCTAGCCACCGAAGAAGGAAAAATACTTTTGCCTGCAGCTAACCAATAGAAATTACTTAAAACCCTTCACCAAACCTTCCACTTAGGCATTGATAGCACCCATCAGATGGCCAAATTATTATTTACTGGACCAGGCCTTTTCAAAACTATCAAGCAGATAGTCAGGGCCTGTAAAGTGTGCCAAAGAAATAATCCTCTGCACTGCAGGCCATACATTTAAATCCCTGTATCTTTAACCTCCTTGTTAAGTTTGTATCTTCCAGAATTGAAGCTGTAAAACTACAAATCGTTCTTCAAATGGAGCCCCAGATGCAGTCCATAACTTAAGATCTACAGCAGACCCCTAGACCGGCCTGCTAGCCCATGCTCCGATGTTAATGACATCGAAGGCACCCCTCCCGAGGAAATCTCAACCGCACAACCCCTACTACGCCCCAGTTCAGCAGGAAGCAGTTAGAGCAGTCGTCGATCAACCTCCCCAACAGCACTTGGGTTTTCCTATTGAGAGGGGGGACTGAGAGACAGGACTAGCTGGATTCCCTAGGCCGACTAAGAATCCCTAAGCCTAGCTGGGAAGGTGACTGCATCCACCTTTAAACACGGGGCTTGCAACTTAGCTCACACCCAACCAATCAGAGCTCACTAAAATGCTAATTAGGCAAAAACAGGAGGTAAAGAAATAGCCAATCATTTATTGCCTGAGAGCACAGCAGGAGGGGCAAGGATCGGGATATAAACCCAGGCATTCGAGCCGGCAACGGCAACCCCCTTTGGGTCCCCTCCCTTTGTATGGGAGCTCTGTTTTCACTCTATTTCACTCTATTAAATCTTGCAACTTCAAAAAAAGAAAAAGATATGCATATCCTGAATAATGAACATTACTCATTCAGTAATTTCTCATCATCCACACCCTGGCCCTTTCACCCTTCCAAGTCTCTGTCATCTATCATACCACTCTCTGTGTTCATGTGTCCACATTTTTTAGCTCCTACTTATGAATGAGAACATGTAGTATCTGTCTTTCTGTGTCTGACTATATTAGTCTGTTTTCACACTGCTGATAAACACATACCTGAGACTGGTAAGAAAAAGAGGTTTAATTGGACTTACAGTTCCACATGGCTGGGGAGGCCCCAGAATCACAGTGGGAAGTGAAAGGCACTTCTTACATGGTGGTGGCAAGAGAAAATGAGGAAGAAGCAAAAGCAGAAACCTCTGATAAACCCATCAGATCTCATGAGACTTATTCACTATCATGAGAATAGCATAGGAAAGACTGGCCCCCATGATTCAATTACTTCCCCTGGGTCCCTCCTACAACATGTGGGAATTCTGAGAGATACAATTCAAGTTGAGATACAAGTTGAGATTTGGGTGTGGACACAGCCAAACCATATCATTCTGCCCCTGGCCCCTCCAATTCTCACATTTCAAAACCAATCATGCCTTTTCAACAGTCCCCCAAAATCTTAACTCATTTCAGCATTAACCCAAAAGTCCACAGTCCAAAGTCTCATCTGAGACAAGGCAAGTCCCGTTTGCCTATGAGCCTATAAAATCCAAAACAAGCTAGTTACTTCCTAGATACAATGGGGGTACAGGTATTGGGTAAATACAGCCATTCTAAATGGGAGAAATTGGCCAAAACAAAAGGGTTACAGGGCCCATACAAGTCTGAAATCCAGCAGGGAAGTCAAATTTCAAAGCTCCAAAAATGATCTCCTTTGACTCCAGGTCTCGCATCCAGGTCACGCTGATGCAAGAGATGGGTTCCCATGGTCTTGGGCAGCTCTGCCCCTGTGGCTTTGCAGGGTACAGCCTCCCTCCCAGCTGCTTTCACAGGCTGGCATTGAGTGTCTGTGGCTTTTCCAGGAGCATGGTGCAAGCTGTTGGTGGATCTTCCATTCTGGGGTCTGGAGGATGGTGGCCCTCTTCTCACAACTCCACTAGGCAGTGCCCCAATAGGGACTGTGTGTGGGGATGCAGAACCCACATTTCCCTTCTACACTTCCCTAGCAGAGGTTCTCTATGAAGTCCCTGCCCCTGCAGCAAACTTTTGCATGGGCATCCAGGCATTTCCATATGTCTTCTGAAATATAGGCAGAGGTTCCCAAACCTCAATTCTTGACTTCTGTGCACCTGCAGGCTCAACACCACGTGGAAGCTGCCAAGGACTGGGGCTTCCACCCTCTGAAGCCACAGCCCAAGCTGTATGTTGGCCCCTTTCAGCCATGACTAGAGTGGCAGGGATGCAGGGCACTGAGTCCCTAGGCTACACACAGCATGGGGACCCTGAGCCTGCCCACAAAACCACTTTTTCCTCTTGGGCCTCCAGGCCTATGATGGGAGGGGCTGCCATGAGGGTCTCTGACATGCCCTGGAGACATTTTCCCCATGGTGTTGGGGATTAACATTAGGCTCCTTGCTACTTATGCAAATTTCTGCAGCCAGCTTGAATTTATCCTCAGAAAATGGGTTTTTCTTTTCTATTGTATAGTCAGGTGGCGAATTTTCCAAAGTTTTACGCCCTGCTTCCCTTATAAAGCCTCATGCCTTTAACAGCACCCAAGTTACCTCTTGAATGCTTTGCTGCTTTGAAATTTCTTCTGCTGGATACCATAAATCATATCTCTCAATTTCAAAGTTCCACAAATCCCTAGGGCAGGGGCAAAATGCTGCCAGTCTCTTTGCTAAAACAATGGAAGGGTCACCTTTGCTCCAGTTTCCAACAAGTTCCTCATCTCCATCTGAGACCACCTTAGCCTGGACCTTATTGTTCATATCACTATCATCATTTTGGGCAAAGCCATTCAACAAATCTCTAGAAAGTTCCAAACTTTCCCACATTTTTCTGTCTTCTGAGCCCTCCAAACTGTTCCAACCTCTGCCTGTTACCCAGTTCCAAAGTCTCTTCCACATTTTCAGGTATCGTTTCAGCAATGCCCCACTCTACTGGTACCGATTTCCTTTATTAGTCCATTTTCATGCTGCTGATAAAGATATACCCAAGACTGGGAAGAAAAAGGTTTAATTGGACTTACAGTTCCACGTGGCTGGGGAGGCCTCAGAATCCCAGCGGGAGGTGAAAGGCACTTCTTATGTGGCAGCAGCAAGAGAAAATGAGGAAAAAGCAAAAACAGAAACCCCTGATAAACCCATCAGTTTTCATGAGACTTATTCACTATCACGAGAATAGCATGGGAAAGACTAGCTCCCATGATTATTACCTCCCCCTGGTTCTCTCCCATAACGTGGGAATTCTGGGAGATACAATTCAAGTTGAGATTTGGGTGGGGACACAGCCAAACCATATCACTGACTTATTTCACTTAAGACAATATTTCCAGTTTCATCTTTGATGCTGCAAAAGATGTGATTCTGTTCTTTTTTTATGGCTGAATATACACTACATTTTCTTTATCCAACCATCTGGTGATGGATACTTAAGTTGATTCCTTATCTTTGCTACAGTTCAGTGATTTTTAAAGTAAACTTACAGAGTTGGGAAATCATCATCATAATCCACTTGGAACATTTTTATCTCTGCAACAAGATGTGTCCATTTGTAGTCACAACTTGTTCCCACCACAACCCCCAGGCTGCCAGGAATCTACTTTCTGTTTCTATACATTTTTTCTGGGCATTTTATAAAAATGGAATCATGAAGTCTTTTGTGTCTGGCTTCTTTCACAGTATAATCTTTTTGAGAGTCATCTGTAGTACTTGTGTTTCCTCTTATTGTTGAATAGCAGCCCATTGTATGGGCATACTGTACTTTGTCTATGCATTCACCAGTTGGTGGACACTTGAATTGTTTCCACATTTTGGCAACTATGAATAATGCTGCTATGGACATTCGTGTACAAGTGCTCGTGTAGACATATTAATATGTAATCTTGTTCTAAAAGTCTAAAATTCTAAGAATTTATCGAACTTGTGAAGAGAATGACTATTGAAACTAGCCTTGGTTCTTATCCTTTGGATGTGACTACATTTTTGTCAGAATGTCATGAAGAAGCATAATTATTTATATCCAAGATAGAATTTAACTTTCAATTAAAAAATGTTAAAGTTGATTTTTAATAAAATACTTGGACAAAAGTAGATCAGGGATTAGGTTGATTGCTTTTAAATTTTAGTGTAAAATTTCAAGAAAGGTTAGACTAGATTCCAGTGGCTGCAATGCTGCACAGCTATAGGCCGCATCCTCTCATTGGAGTTGTGTGTGCAGGTGTGCCCTTCATGTGGGATGCAGTGGGAATGGTGCCGTCCAGAGCTGTGTGTGAACAGGTGTCCATACTGCTAGTCTTTGAGTCTGGGTAATCTCCACTCTGTCCCTGGAGGGTGGGCCTGTTCTGCTTCTAGAGGTCAATGCCAAGTCAGAAAGGGAGTCAAGGCCCAGAATGCCACTCTGCAGACTACTATAGTTCCAGACTCTAGGGAGTCCTGGGCAGGGGGCTTATCTTAAACCAAAGGAATTTCAGACTAGAATTGTAGATGGTGCCCTTGAAGAGCTGATGGGACAGATTGAAAGTCCTGACTCCCAGCTAAAGCAGTATCCTACACACCCTCCCATCTGGAGAGATCTTGGGCTAGATGCCCCCAGTCTAACTGAGACGCTGACTTTGGAGGGTTGTTCCAGCCTTGCAATAGTAGTACCTTTTTGTTTAGGTGGGAGTGGATTAGAACAGTGGGTAAAGTTTTGGGGTGAAAGAAGCCAACTGGGACATATGTCTTAGGGGGACACAGGCTTTGTCCATCCTTTCTCTAAAAGTACTGGGCTGAACCCTCTCAGCAGAGAGTTGTGGAAAATTAGAGACGTTCTGTGGAAAGACCAAGTTAATGTTCAAGTCTCAGAATCTGATCTTAGGTCAAATATCTCTTGCTTTTGCCAGTAAAAAGAGCCCAGATGTTTTTCTATTTACTTAGGCAAACCCTTGAAACACAAGTTAGTCATATAAAACTTTACATTTGCAATGTTAAGAGCCCATATTTGGAAAGTCACAAGCATAAAATATATACTGTGAAATGGGAGGTCAGGACGGTGAACTCATTTCAGAACCATAGTTTTGACTCAAGAATTTTGATGGGGTCTTCACGTTGGTTGAGCTTCTTGGTCCTAATATCATTGAGAGAATTAAATCATGATATTAAAACATTGAAACACTAATGCTTTGTTTTTATTGGCAAGAACCAAAATGATCTAATACTAATGCCACGAAACATCAGTCACTTTTTTCCTGATGAATAAGATGAACTTTGGCTGCTTATGATAGTAAATTTAATAATGTCAGTGATTTGAACTGTTTCAGTTCTAAATGTGCAGAAATGTGTTTTACTGCATCTCTCTCTCTCTCTCTCTCTCTCACACACACACACACACACACACACACACACTACTTCTGTCAGGAAGTTTTGTGGCAAATGAGCCCAAATGCATAGATTAGAGCATATCATTCACATGTGCCATGTGTGTGCCAAAGTGTGCGTACCCACTGCTAGACTTCCTCTCACAGGTGGTCTGAATTTGCTTCTAGCTGGTCCTGTAAGCAGATTTAATATTTCATAAGCACTGCTCCATCTCATGCCTCCATTATTGACACCACATGGAAGTCAGGAAATTGGTTCTTTCTGGGAACAGTTTGCAGAAATATGCAGCCTGTCAGCCCCTTTCTCATGGGTGCATTAACAGAGCAGCTCACGATTACAAGTAACGAACCTTCTCCAGATGTGTGTAGCAACTCAGCTCCAACTTTATCTTCGGCCCTGAAGATGGACTTGGCAAGATGGATTATTTGTGGCTGTATTGTAATAACTTTGTGAAATTGGAATTCCCAGTGATTGTAATGGAGGGTGAGGAAGCGGCAGCAGAGGAACAGATAATTTCTCCTTGCAGTAAACAACGAAAAGACCAACAACAATAAAAAGGGCAAATCAGCTGTGGCATTTTCCTGCTTTGGACACCGACTCTTCCAGACTGTTCTAATTCTTTCCCTTTTATGATTCTGTTTATGTTACACACATTAAAGTTAAGTCATGTCTTAAATAAGATGGAAACTGGAAGTGAGATTTGGAAATGACTGAATCAGGCTTCTTAACTTTTTTCTTCTCTTGGAGAGCTCAAAAACAACGGACAGAAAGGGATATACCAAAGAAAACAATATTAATTGTCGGCTTCCATGGAAAATTCAATCCAGTCTTTCATTCATTCTCTTCCCAGTGCAGTGCCAGCAGACTTCTCTCTATATGGCTAAGGGCTTAATTTAGCTGACAAATTTCTGAAGGATAACTAAGCTTTCAGAAAGAAAGATTCTAGCTATAAATGAAGCATGTGTGCTCTCTCAGTCACAAAAGACAGATTTTTCCAGGATAAAGTAATTTGGGGTAAATTTCTCCTGTATTTTATTAGCAGTGATGATTTCAAGGGAGTATTCTTTTAAAGCAAGGCAGTATTTAAATCTTTCTTTTAAATCACAAGTCCCTTGAGTTGATAGTTATAAAACTGGGTTCCACTGGGAGTTATTTGTACATCTTCAAGGTTGGCACCCTTAGTTGTTTGATGTAGATGTTCTAGATAAAATTCCTAAAGTCCAGCTGTTATGATTTAGCTTAATATGTTTGTACAGAGGGGTTTCCTTTGTCATTGAAGAGATAGAGTCAAAACAGAATTAGTCATTCTTGCATCTTCTATTTATAGCCCACTATTATTCTGATGCATTGTCAAAGAATGAAGTGGACAAGAATTTTTCTTCCTTTCTTTCTTTTTTTTGTGTAAACAAAACTCTTTTTATACTCTGTGGATTTAACTTTGGTTGCTAACTTAGTCAGACAAGGCACTTAACAAAAATATTACTTCTTAAATGAAAAATTACCTATTAAGTCATCCCATCTTCATTTGCAAATTAAAGGTTTGTCAGTACAAAGTATGTGGGATGACCAGAAGTCATGGATGACTTACACTGAAGTGGCAAGGGTAGAAAAGGTCAGTTTGAAAATTTATTTGTATGGGTTGCTCATGACTAATAGTCCAAATCTGGAGAGTTTATAAACAAAATTCTATTCTGTTTATTTAGTTTATGCCAGCATTAAAGCTAGCCTGAAAATTTAGTGAAAGTCATTTAAGGAATTTTTATTTGGAGGAAACTTTAATTTTTATTTTTGAGGTCACTGAATAAATGTAGAGGTCTCTGTGGCCTGTACTGCAACAAGTAGAACAGTTAGATAAACTGGTTGTTGAAACTCCCTGGGCCACTGAGTTTTCTTATTTCTTTTTTTTTTTTTTTTAGTAGAGAGCTGACTTTAGAGGGATCAAGAATAGCTTGCTGGATGGAAGGAGGTAAGAAACAGGACTATCAATGTTTTACTTATCTGAGCTGTATAATAATTTGGTGTAGATAATTAAATGAGATGAAGTATGGGAAATGTGTTGTAAACATTCTCAAATCCTCTGCTATTATTGCTTACTGCAGCATCTGAAACAGCAGGGTCTGTCATGCAATAGCCCTCAAATCAATGTTTGTTGAGTTATAGTAAGTCGAATTAAAGAGTAGTTGGACAATTGCAAGTAATAGGTGGAAGTAGAAGGCTGAGAAAGTTGACACTTAGCGTTCTCTGTTGAAAACTATGCTATTAGCAGTGTTGGGTCAGCAAATGGCTTATTTTGGTTGGCAACCCCATGGAAAAGGATTTGCTGGATACAATAATAGTATATTCCCACAAAAATTCTGAAGTTTTATATTTTTGAGAATGTTGACAAGCCGGCAAATTAATGAATGGCTGCCAGTTGTTGAATTTGAATGTCACTCCTGGTGATTGTAAGTGTGAGTATGCCTTTGTTTTCCCTGTGTGCTAAACTCACGCTAGGGGTCCCATTGTTTTGAGGAGCTATTTAAGTAGCCTTCAGGAGAATCTGAAAATCATCCAAATCCAGTGTATAAGCATGAGAAGTCTGAGCTGAAGACTAAAAGTACTCTCCCTACAACCTGTCAGACATCTGGCCCAATGCTAGCTATAGGCAGTGGGGCTTCTTGATGGTCATTGGTGAGGATTCAATCTTTGGTACCCAAAGAGTGGGTGAAAGTTTCAGGAAAAGAAATCTCAAGCCTTGAGGCCTCCCATGAAGGCGAGACCAAGATTTCTCTTCCACAACCCAATCTTTACAATTATTCTGGAGATGGTTGGGAGGAGAGTAGTCATCCTCTTGACTAGAGGATGAGAGACTGTGCAGGAGAAAGCTCTGGAGGAGACCTCACCCTTTGTGACTAGTATGGTGTGTCTCATTCATCATGAGATGGTGGGTGATGCAGGTGATGAGTTAATGATAATTAAGCCCACGCTGTGGAACCCATGGGAGAAGCATGTAATAGCCAATAGTAATATCAGCAAGGCCTTCCTCAATTCCACGCAGAGGAAGACCCAAAAGGATCAGTGGACCCAGGGCCGTGGGATACCATGAGAAGGGAGTCGACGGCAGGGATTTAGGTTTGGGGGTTCTTGGAAGGAAGGTATCATGTAGACTTTTGGTGAGGCCCTAGAGAGCCTATCATTAGCCAAAATGGTATGGCTGTGAGGCTGCTCAAATCACTACATCCAATGAGTCCTGGGGAATGGTGGGAAGGCTCTAATTTAGTGAGTGGTGGTCAACAGTAGAGATCCCTGGAAAGCAGCAATACTTGTACTTAGAAGCTAGCACAGTCATCAAGGGAGGTCTGTCTGGAAGCCTGGAGGAATAGTGACAGGGTCCAAGCCCCTGCAGAAGGGTGCCTGGTGAAGACTAAGTCAACCGTAGGCACCCAGTCAACAAGGTGACTCAGAGTAGGAAGAATTAGAGTGCAAGTTGGGAAGTTGGGAAGAAAGCAAAGTCATATAAATTGGGTAGAATTTCAGCAGGTCCTGGCAAGGAGACTACAGTCAGCAGACATGTGGGTCCCAGTGGTTCCCTTCAGGGACATTGGATATCATGCTGGCAACATCAAATCAAATCCCAGGCCCTACATACTGGTGGGAATGAAGCTGCTGAAAGATCACCATGCTGGGAGGGTTAGAAGTGGCTCAAGGTCTAACTGGGGCTAAATGTGTAGATTAAATCTTTAACACCTTTAGCTGGATGGAGTGGGGACAAACATTCTCTCCCTGAAGGTAGTAAAAGGTCTTTGTGACAGAGAACAGCTAGTATTAATGGGGAAAGCATTGAACTATTATCAAGGGTAGATTTGTGATATTTCCGGGTGGCTTTTATACCAAGAGAAGCATGCTAATATTCCAGAAAAAATTATGGGTTATTTATTCTGGGAAACATATACTTTGAACCAAAAATGAGAACACATGGTGTGATAAGTATGAGCATACTGATGAGGATAATTGGATAAGATACGTGCAATCAGGATTGTTTTGGTAAATAGGAGACTATGTGGTCACCAAGATATGCCTTGCAATTAGAGAGCTTATCTCCGCACAGAAGGAAGAAGGTATGAACATATGAGAGTAATAGAGGCTGCATGTGAGAAGCTCTTACCAGAGGAGATCAGGAAAGGGAGACAGCTCACCCATTTGGGGTAATCAGGGAAGAGTCTGTAAAAGTGGCAGCATATAATTGGATTTTGGTGGTTGTATAGGATTTGAGCAGGGAGCTGTAAGCATGAGGGCCTTCCATGTGGAGACACAGAATGAATGAAACCCTGAAGTTTGGAAGCAAAAACCATAGGAAGCACAACTGTGAGTACATAACTCAGTTGAGAGAATGGGGTAAGGCAAGACTAGAAAGGTAAATTCTGCTGTCTTGTGGATCACCATATTGAATGGGAGATTTGGTGACTAGACATCAAGCATTGTACTATGTACTAAGAATATAAAGATGGAAAAAGGAATGAAGATACATTTGGGAGATACAGGTTTAATCTAAATTCATTAGGGCTGTCATTTGTGGAAATAGGTGAGATAAAGGACATTCAGAGAGACGAACTGAGGGAAAAATCTTGTATTTTGTATTTCTATGGGCATAAGGAGATATGGAGGGAGATTTGCTCAGTAATATATTTAGGAGGAAACTCTGGGTGGTTCAGCATTCAGGCAACTGAGAGAGGAGTGGGTATCAAAATGGAATGCCAAGTACTGCTGAGAGGCCAGGGAGAGCAGAGCAGAGACAGAGAGACCATTGGAATTGCTGTTTTACAACTCTCTGACCCTGAAAACGTGGTTTCAGATGAGCAGGCATAGGAGGAAGGGTGAGGCTGGAGTCCGCAGTGCAACAGATTATGGCAGTGGTTCCCAAAATGTAGCCTTTAGATAAGTGGTGTCAGTATCACTTATTTCTGCAAATTCTTGGGCTCCACCCTAGGCCTACTGAATCAGAAACTCTGAGGGTGGGGCCCAGCAATCTGTGTTTCATCAAGACCTCCAGGTGATTCTCATGACTGACAAAGTTTGAGAACCACTGTGTTATGGGACTACACAAGGAGAATGTGGAGCCCTAGAGCTCTTAGGTGTTAAATCTGATTGTCAAAGAGTCTATAAAATTTGCTGGGCATGGTGGTATGTGCCTGTAATTCCAGCTACTAGGGAGGCTAAAGTGGGAGGATCACTTGAGCCCAAGAGGTCAAGGCTGCAGTGAGCCGTGATAGTACTACTGCACTCCAGCCTGGGAGATAGAGTAAGTCCCTGTCTTAAACAAATTTTATATACATATATATACACACACACACACACACACACACATATATATGTATATACCATATATGTGAAAATGAAGGGTCTATAAGCCTAGGGTACAATGTTCTCAAAGATATTCCTATTTGATCTTGGCAAGCATAGACTGCCTCTTTGTTAGGATGATATAATTTGAGGGGCAAAATGGCAACCTTGCTGCTTGTTATTTTGCATACTATTATCCAAGCCCATTGAGTCAGTGGAGACTTTTGGGGTTCAAGAATTTCCCTTCCAGACTGCTTTAAAAAAAAAAAGATTGTGATGCTATCTTAAGGCAGGGATGGGAAACAGGTTTTATTTGTGTGGTATGTTGATGAGGAATAATTGTCTGGAGTTCCATATTGAGGTAAATTGTGAGGCCACATTCCTTGGGGAGACAATTGTGATTGGCAATGTCTGCAATAGGCACAGGAGGCAGGGAGTCGTGGCACACAGATCACGCATTTACCATCCCTCCTATGAGGATTTATCAGGATGCCTGGGACACAAGATACTTTTAAAGGAAACAGAAGCCTGAAGAAAGGACAAAGGTGTTGAGGAGGTGCTGAGGTATGGGAAAGCATCTCATAATTCTTCCTGGGGTTTGCGATGCTGGCTTCTAACATTTGTTATGGATACTTGACACCAACATGAATACCTTGGCAAAGTTCTGGGAAATGTCAGAAACCTTGGGGTTTAAGAAAAGAGAGGGAAAACCTGCTATTGCTCATTATAAATGTGAAAAACTATATAGCTGGGGTCTGCTGTTCTCTTCTGGAATCTACTTTCTGCCATTTGTTTTGCCTGCTGTACAGATATAGCATCCAAATGAGACTGTGGCCAGGAACAATAGTAACTGTTCCCCTGCAGGTCCTCTGGGCTTCCCAAGACACAGCAGAACAGCCCTGTACCCGGGAAGCTTTGTGTATTCATCCACCTATATAAACAGTTGAGTTGGCTCATTGAGTGGTATTCTTTCAAAGACAGCCTGTTATCCTACTTACCACCCTAGTCAGGGGAGCCAAGTTATTTTACATATTTTTTTTGCCCAGTGGTAACATAATGACTATTTTAAAGCAAAAATCTTAGTGGATACCATGAAGAGTAATTAAATATGACACCTGGCATAAAGAAGAACCAAATAATGTTATGTAAAGCATGAGGTTTAGGCTTTTTTTCAGTTATATATGAGCAAATGTTTTTCCTATTCAAGCTTTAAAAATCAGAGTCAGTGGCAAGTCTTTCAGTTTATATGGAAGATCATCAATTCAACTGGCAATATAAATAATGAACCTGGGACACAGCTGGAGGAACAAGGGATTGGGGGGCAGGAGAAGTGTATTTTAGTCTTGGCTCTAGCACTTGTTTTATGTTCCTGAGAAAGTCCCTTAATCTCTCCTGGTCTCAATTTCTGGATCTGAAAAATAAACGGATTGAGCAAAGTACTCAATAAGGTCCCTTCCAGTTCTAGGATATTAATTGTATATCTGGGTTTGTCATTTATGTCACCTAAGCATGCCTAGATTCAATTGTCCTAGACTCATTAGGTTTAATGTCTAATCTTGCTGCTGGTTCTACTTTGCCTCTTTTTGCCAGGGAATGTTTATTGTGTAGGTCCAGTTATCCGAGCCAATGTCTGGCTCCATTTAATCCTGCACACCACTTTGTGATACACGACCTGTTGAGAGAACACATAAAAACTCTTCCTGGTATAAAAAAAGAAAAATAAAGATCCTATCCATTTCAAAGGGTCACCCAGAATGCCTGACATTTTTACTATTATTTACTCCTTTGTCTTAAGCATTCAAATCTTGTCTGTACATTAATTTACATTTCTTCAGGCCATACTATATGAAATGCATTGTGCATCCAATTTCTGCTCTTGTGAGCTCACAATCTAACAAATACATTATCTGAAATAGGTCACATGATAAAATTTCTAGAGTTATTTTTGAGCAAAGGAGTGACCGTTGAAGGTAAAATGTTAAATGAAAGCAAACCATTTTTATAGGAGATGGATTCCATTTTGGAATCTTGGCTTTGCATCTGTGGATGGAACCTAAATGAATGACACACTTAGTTTTTCCAGCGCTGCTGGAAGTAGCAAAAATCTGAATTCCCATATGAAAAGCAATGTAGTCTTCTCTATTCCACATGCAATTTGAATTAATTTTTAAACACATTATTTCAAGGTTGTGTTTAAATAAATAATGTGTTTATTTATTTAATAAACAATGTTAAATAAATAATGTGTTTTAATAAATAAAGCACGCTTTATTTATTAAAGCCTGCTTTAATAAATAAATGTAGAAAACACTTTGATGGACAAAATATCCAATAAAGCATGTATTTGTTCTCAGGCAGCATTATTCCTTTATATATGCCAAATGTACCGCCCCTGCCCACATAGTATTTATTTGAATCTTCATCAATGGAGCAAAGATAAACTTCAGCCCAGGCAACATTACATTCTTAATTAGTGGAATTCAAATGAATGAGATATCAGTATACCTCATGCAGAAAAGTTAGTGGGTAGAAATGAATGCAAAATGCTCAGCCATTAATAGCGTTGAGAGGGTGAATGTGGGAATCTTGTATCTTGTGTAAGTACTAATATTAAGAGCTACTGAACTAAGTACTAATATAGCACTAAGTAGTAATACAGTACTAAGAGCTACTGAACCTTATAGAGAATACTGTTCTAAAGATTAGATAAAGAATATCTTATACTTTTAGCTGGGTTTGAGAAAACATACAAAAGAATCAGACTTAGGTTTTGCTTGGAAATCTGCAGAGCCATTGGGAGGCATGTAAAGGTAAAGATTAGCCGAGGGTTTCAGAAATAGTTAGGATACACTAGCAGGACTCTGAAAAAACTTGTGCACTTGTAAACTTGGCAGACCTTAGCCGTGAATGGTTGCACCAGACCAGATGAACTGTTGGGAATGTTGAGAGAGCCAGAGAAAGAACTTGGTTATTTCTGCCGACTGAGAGAGGGAAAAAATAATCCAAATGACAGACATCCAACAGGACAGTGGTTCAGTACTTGGAAAGCAGTGAGACTGAAAACCACCTGTGGTTGGTAAAGGAAAGTAAATGTCTTTATTTTTCTTTTTTAATTTTAAGTACTATTTTGGGCTTCACACCCCAAGTAAAATGCCAGGGGTGCAGAGGTAGACAGTAGCTTGTGTGACATCAAGAGCGAGCCCTAGTGACTCATACACAATTTGGGGTCTTCATGAATTAGAAAGAATGAATGTATGTATTGGACCAAATTCAAAGAACAGAAATGCAAAAGTATAATAGCTGGCTTTAGAGGACAGATTAAGAGGCCTAAATATGTTTGACTTGGATGAAGAATGAAAAAACAGAGATATAATAGCCACCTGCAGGTCCTTGAGGGGCTGAAACTCAAACTAAATAAGGAGAGGAACTATTTGGGGTGGTGCACAGAGGCACGGCTATGCCTGACACGATGAAATTGAGAAAAGGAAAACTCAGCCTGAATGTCAGGAAAATATTTCTACCCAAGTTCCATAAATCTGCCAAGGGAAGTGGTACAGTCTTGTTATTTGAAATCACTTAAAACTAGATTGAATAAACCACTCACATTTTTTAGTCCTTCCCCACTCCACCATTTCTCTTTCTAAAAAATCTGTGATTTCTTTGTTACTGCTTATATTTGTAAGTTCCATAAATTAAATGTTCCCTGTGAAAATCTTGAAGGTATTTTTATATTTATTTCTAATTTAAAAATAAGGGTGAGATTCACTGAAAAAAAAGTCACCAGGATGTTGATTACATTTTTCCTCCTTTGCAGAGTTCATTCCTTAAATTGCTTTGTTCAATTTGGGTACAGGCTTATTTGGGTACAGGCTTTAGTTGTTTGTTCTTACTTTTAGAGTGGAATTGCAACAAGATTAGTTTTGATTGGATACTTTTAAAAATACTTAGAAATGAAAGGACTCCAATGGAATTAATTAGAATTTAATAACAGAATTAAACTTGGAAAATTCACAAATATATGGAAACTAAACATAGTCCCAAGTAATCAATGAGTCAAAGAAATCTCAAGGGAAATTACATAATATTTTAAGATAAATGCAAATGAAAATACAACATACCAAAACTTACAGGGTACAGCAACACAGTGTTCAGGGAAAACTTATACCTATAAATGCTTTTAAAAATGATACAGATCTCAAGCTAATAACCTAACTTCTCCCTTAAGAAACCAGAATGAGAAAGAGCAAAGTAAACCTAAAGTAAGCAGAAGGAAGGAAATAAAGACTCGAGTGGAAATATGTAAAACAGAGAATAGAAAAACAATAGAAAAAGCAATAAAACCAAAAGTTGGATATTTAAAATGATCCACAACATTGATAAACCTTTAAACAGATGGGCCAGGAAAAAATAAAAAAACTTGAAGACTCAAGTTACTAATATCAGGAATGAAAGCGGGGAATCATTACTGACACTGCAGAAGTAAGGAGAATAATAGAGAAATACTATAAACAGCCATAGGCCAACAAATTAGATTATTTAGATGAAATGGACAAATTCTCTGAAAGACAACAGTTTTTGGAACTGCCTCAAGAAGAAATAGAAATTTGAATAAACCTGTAAGAAGTAAAGAGATTGAATTAGTAATCAAAAAACTTCACACAAAGAAAAGCCTAGGACCAGATGGCTTCACTGGTGAATTCTAACAAACATTTAAAGAAGAGTTAGCACCAATTCTTCACAAATTCTTTCAAAAAATAGAAGAGAAGGGAGCATTTTCTAACTTATCCTATTAGACGGTTATTACAAACTAAACCAGACAAAGTTATCACAAGAAAACTACTTTCGAATGTAGATGAACAATTCTCAACAAAAATCCTTTCCCAAAGATCAGGAACAGAACAGGATGTCCATGATCATCACTTCTATTTAAAATTATACTGGAAGTTTTATCTAGGGCAATTAGGCAAGAAAAAGATATACAGTAGTCACCACTTATCCGGGGTACACTCAAGACACCTCCAGTGGATGCTTGAAAGCATGGATTGTACCGAACCCAGTTGCTGTCAATTGAAACATGTTCCCATTCATATCTTTCATTCAGAAGTTTAATGTCTTTTGAATCTTAAATAAGCACTTACTGCACACTATGGCCATACCTTTTGCAGTTTGAGATGTGACAGCAAAACTTGTACGATTTTTTTTCTTCTTCATGTGGATAGATTTTTTTTTATCATAGATCTTAGCAACCTCAACATACATTTTCTTCTTTCTTTTATTAAGTCGAGAATGTTGACATTCCCACATAAAGGAAGCACTTTGTGGCTTCTCTTTGGCATATCCAAACTGCCAGCATCACTACTCTTGTGATTTGGGGCCATTAATAAGTAAAATACGGGCTGCTTGAACACAAGCACTTTGATACCACAACAGCCAATCTGATAACCGAGAAGGCTACTACGTGGGTAGTGTATACAGTGTGGATATGCTGGGCAACAGGATGATTCATGTCCCAGGTGGGACAGAGTAGGACTCTGAACAGTTTCATCATGATACTCAGAATGGTGTGCAATTTAAAATGTATGAATTATTTCTGGAATTTTCCATTTAACATTTTTTTCCTTGCTTGACTTCGGGTAACTGAAACTGTAGAAAGTAAAACTACAGATAAGGGGGAACTACTGTAAAAGCTATCCAGATGATAAAGGAAAAGGTAAAACTATTTCTGGTTGCACTAGAAATAGTTGCATATAGAAAATGGTGTTGTATATAGAAAATTCTAAAGAAGTTACTAAAAACAAACAAACTAAAAACCTATTAGAAATAAGTTCAGCAAAATTGCAGGATATAAGATCAATATACAAAAATTAAGAATATTTCTGTAGAGTGGTAATGAACATTCTAAAAATGAGGTTAAAAAATCCATTTGTGATGGTATCCAAAGAATAAAATTCTTAGGTTTAAATTTATCATAAAAGTGCAAAATTTGTACACTGAAAACCATGAAACATGTTAAAAGTCATTTAAGAAGATCTACGTAAATGGAAAGACAGCTCATATTCATGAATTGGAAGACTTAATATTGTTAAGATGGCAATATCCCCCAAATTGGCCTACAGATTCAATTCAATACATGTCAAAATTGCAGCTAGCTTTTTTTTCTTTCAGAAATTAATAAGCTGATTCTAAAATTCATATGGAAATGCAAGGGACACAGGATAGCGAACACTCATAAGAAAGAAGAACACTACAATCAAAGTTGGGGGATTCACACTCCCCGATTTCAAAACTTACTACAAAGTGCAGTAATCAAGACAGTGCAGTACTGGTATAATGCCTTTTGAATTGATCTGGTATAAGGATAGACACATAGATCAATGAAACATAATTGAGAGTCTATAAATACACCCTTACATTTATGGTCAATTGATCTTTGAGAAGGTGCCAAGACAATCTGATAGGGGAAAGAATAGTAATTTCACAAAATGGTACTGGGACATCTGTATATCCACATGCAAAAGAATGAATTTGGATGCCTACCTCACAGCATACACAAAAGTTAACTCAAAATGGGTTATGGATCTAAATTTTAGAGCTAAAACTATGAAGCTCTTGGAAGAAAACATAGGTGTAAATCTTTGTAACTTGGGTTGAGCAACAGCTTTTATTATTATTATTATTATTATTATTATTATTATACTTTAAGTTCTGGGGTACGTGTGCACAACATGCAGGTTTATTACATTGGTATACATGTGCCATGTTGGTTTGCTGCACCCATCAACTTGTCATTTACATTAGGTATTTCTCCTTATGCTATCCCTCCCCCATGCCCCCAACCCCCGACAGGCCCCGTGTGTGATCTTCCCCTCCCTGTGTCCACGTGTTCTCATTGTTCAACTCCCACTTATGAGTGAGAACATGCAGTGTTTGGTTTTCTCTTCTTGTGTTACTTTGCTGAAAATATGACACCAAAAGCATAAGCAACTAAAGAAAAAATAGACAAGTTAGATTTCAGTGAGATTAAAAAGTTTTGTGTTGCAAACAGTACCATTGAGAAAATGAAAAGACAGACCACAGAATGGGAGAAAATATTTGCAAATTATATATTTGATAAGGGACTTTTATCCAGAACATGAAAAACATTATTATAGCTCAATAATAAAAAAGACAACCTAATTAAAAATGAGCAAAATATCTGAATATATATTTCTCCAAAGATTTACAAATGGCCAATAAACACATGAAAAGATGTTCAACACTATTAGTCATCAGGGAAATGGAAATTAAAATCACAATGAGATATTGCTTCAACCCACTTGGATGGCTATAATGAAAAACACAGATAGTAACTGTTGGTGAGGATGTGGAGAAACTGGAAGCCTCACACAAGGCTAGTGGGAATGTAAAATGGTGCAGTTGCTATGGAAAACATGTTAGCAATTCCTTAAATGTTAAATACAGATTTAGCACGTGATTCAGTGATTCTGCTCCTAGGATACCACGGAGAATTAAAAACATATGAACATGAAAACTTGTATATGAATATTCACAGCAGCATTATTTATAATAGCCCAAATCTATTCAACTGATGTAGATAAGCAAATGTGGTATATCCATATAATGGAATATTATTTGGCAATAAAAGGAATGGAATATTGACACATGCTACAACATGGGTGGAACTTGAAAACATTATGCTAAATGAAAGAAGCCATTCACAAAAAAAACCTACTGTATAATTCCATTTATGTAAAATGTCCAAAATAGGCAAATCTATAGAGACAAAAGTAGATTAGTGGTTGCCATGAATGGGAGTGGAGTAGGGGTATGAAAATGTTTAGAGACAAAAGTAGATTAGTGGTTGCCGTGAATGGGAGTGGACTGGGGGTATGAAAATGTTCTAAAATTAGATTGTGATATCATAACTCTGTGAATAGACTAAAAACCATTGAACTGTACACTTTAAGTGTATGAATTGCATGATATGTGAATTGTATTTCAATAAAGCTGTTTTTTAAAAAGGAAAGGATTCCATTATGCTGGGCATCACTAAAGCTAAATGAAAATGTTGTTCTTTTGATCTTAAAAGAGCTCACACGTTTTTTTTTCAGCCTCTCTCCTCCTACCTCTGTCTGTCTCTTTTCAGTTGTTTTTCTCTCCCTTGTGACTTATTCCACAAAAGACATAATTTATGACTCATAAATTTTATGATTGACTCTTAGGTGACCAACTTGAAACTGAGAAAAGGAAAACTCAACCTAGAAATAAGAAAAAATATTTCTTACACAATTTCTATAAATCTTTCAAGAGAAGTGGCAGAAGTCTTAGATAGCTGAATAGGTAACTGCATAAGCCCCTCACCCATTCCAGTGGTTGGGATGGGGAGGAGGGATGCCAGCATAACCTTAAAGTGGGGTGGACTCAGACTGGGGTACTGGACCAGAGGCTGGGGAAGGGACATTGCCACTCCCACCAAGAACAGATACTGAGTTCCTTTCTGCCAGGCAGAAGGTTGGAGAGAATTTAGTAGAGCAGCATACCAGTCCCCAATATTGCAATGAAACAATCCAAATAAGGTCCTGGTGTTCAAGATGAAGAAAACCTTTTGGTAACTACCCAAAATATAAATGTAAAACAGGAAACAAAGAGGCAATGGAAAAACATAAAATCTGACAATTCATTAAGAAAAAAACCCAACCACCTCTAGACGTTGTGAAATGCAAAATCACGCAGGGGAGAGGATGGGGAAGGGCAGGACAAAAGCTAAACACAAGGTGTCGTTTCCTATTACTGTGCCTCAGATGGTGCTTCACTGGGCAACTTTGTCAGACCACACATGAGACTGGGAAGTCAGAAAGAAGCTTTGCTTTCATAAAATCTTTCCTTCTTCCTTTGCTGATGCCTGATATTCCTTAGATAAAAAATAAGGTTGCTTGCTTTATAATTAAAGCTAATAGACTTGAACGTGTGATATAATTGAGAGTTAATACTCAAGAGTAAATGTTTTTATCAAGAGGTACCTGATGGTTCCATGCTGGGCCTGAAGGGTTGAAAAAGCATGAAGACCCTATGTGCTAAGGAGACAGAGATGTGAAAAGAAGATGATGGCAGGCCTTGAGTGTTAGGACAAGAAATTTAGTCACAGGTAGAAAAAGAGGAAGATTCTTACGCAGGAGAGTAACATGATTAAATCAATGGCTGAGGTCATTTTGACAGCATAGCTAATAGACAAGATTGGGCACAATGACAAGGCAGCCACTTTGAAAGATGTTATCATAATCCAGACAGGAGAGATTAGAAATATTGCAGAAGTGGAAAGAAGAGAGGAACAAATTGAGGACAGATGGTGAAAAAAAGTCGCTACCTTAAAGGTGGTTCCAGAACCTCATGGGCTCTCTCTAAGGGTAGCACAAACCCATAGTAATGGGAAAGGGAGTCATACTGCTCATTTAATTTTCTCTTCTTGGCCTTAAGAATTCTCCAGTAGTTCCTCACTGTGGTCAAGTTAAAGTCCAAATTCCACAATAACATTATGAGGTTCTTCCTAATCTGTTTCCTGCCTGCCTCTCCAAACACCCATGTCTCCCTGCTGCTGCCTCTCATTCCAGCCACCCTGAAGAACTCTCTCCACTTCTGGGTTTTGTAAGAAATGGCTCTCCTGGGACATTTCTTCTTTTTGCACCTACCCTCTACCTTTTCCCCTAAATGGGGGTAATTCCTATGTATACTTGAGATCTCAATTTAGACATCACTCGGCAGAAAATCTCTCCTGTCCCTTCCCTCGACTAGGGCTAATTTTTTGTCCCTTCCCTCAACTAGGGCTAATTTTTTCTCCCATGGGTCTCTTTATTACCCAGTGCAGCACAAGAGCATCCTACTTTAGCACAAACTATTATACTGAATGTCTCTTCAAATTTTGGTGGGCACAATATTAACCTCTAGTGCTTCCTAAATGCACACTTCCAGATTCAGGCCAAAGACTGATTTAGTAGAGCTTGACCAAACCCACACTTTTGGAAACACTGCTGTATTGTAATTGGTTGTTTACTTATTAGTAATCCCAACTGGACTGCAGCTCTGGAAGGGCAGAGGCCATTATAATCCTAACACCCAGGACAGGGCCTAATGTGGTACAGGCAGCCATTTAGGTAGTTGTCAAATAAGTGAATAAACAATGTGAGAAGAGGAAGAGCAAGAAAAACCAACTGAAGTCTGCAAGCTTAGGAACCAAGAAAGTAATAGAAAAAAATGAGAAGGGGTATCTATTTGTGGGGGAAATTATGAAAACCCACATGCAAATTTCAGGCAACAGGTTGGGATTCTAAGGCAGTGCCCAGGCCTCCATGCCTCCTGTCTGGCACTGACTATAATGTGGAAAATGGCCTGGCTCTTCTTACATTACCTGTGCACTTCCAAGGACTCCAAAATGTGTTTTCCCCAAAGGCGGTATATAATTTTGAGAATTGCAATCATTTTTTCCATGTTCTTTTGAAGGCTGTAAAATAATTTTAGATGCAATAGTAATTCTAGGTCCTTGCTTACCCTTGACCTTTGAAGTTTTATTCAAAACATCACAAACCTCTCAGCCCGGATGTTGGCAAGTTAATGATATATTGCTGCAGGAAAGAACTTGGTCTTGTTTGCATGAGGAACTCGGAATCTTTGGTATATTACCTCAACTTTTTTTTTTAGGATACAACTGAAATATAATTTTGTTAGTGTAAAGGTAAAAGATGAAGTATTAGGAAAAATAACAAAGCCTCCCAATGTTTTTGGAACTCAGTGTTATTATGCTGTTGATGTAAGAACTCTTCAAAACCCATGGTGACTCTTCTAGCTCAAGAATAAAAAAGATAATTTTCAGCAAAGTGAGTCCACTGCCTTTTTTCTTTTTTTTTTTTAGAGGTTGAGCTCCTTTTACCCATTTCCTACATCCAGCCTCATTCTTGGTTTCTAAATGGTAGGATTCACACAGAACTGATTACTAAACCACCCTGCCAACTACTCTTGAAAACTTCTTAGCCTTTTAACTAGCAAAATCAACCTTAAGAAGAATAAGGCCTTTATAAGGCAAGCAGTGAACAAATCCAGCTTATACCATTTGGTACATCTCACAGAATACTGTAAATCATTGTGATTTATATATATTTCTTAAGATTCTCTACTGTGGAGCAAGCATCTTGAGGACATGGGACAGGTACCCTTCTCTGGACCTAATCCAATGTTCTACATTGACTAAGTGCTTACTAAGTGGCTGTGGAATGGACAAATTAATCCTTAGCACCTTTCTGATCCTGGTTAGCTGATTAGCACACAGTACTGGGCATGTCCAGTGCAGCCAATACTGGTGAATTAAATGTAATGACATCGTTTTCTAACACCTCCTTGGTATTTATTTTCTTGGGGAAGGGTGACTAATTATGCTCTGGAGAGGCTAGCCACCTCCTGGCAGCCATGTTAAAGGTGTGGACAGTGCTGGGCCTGGAGGCATTATTAGCTTCTGTGTGTAGATGGAGAATCTCAGGTTACAAGAGATTGGGAGACTACACTTGAGGTTCCAGGTGGCATAGTAGAGGCCAGAAACCTTCTGGATCAAACAGATTACTTCTTGGAAGCAGTGACAAATAGCTGTTTTTCTATGAGAGGACGTTTTCTTATGTGAAACTTGGTCTTTATCTTCTTTTTCAGCTTTTGGAATTGGAAGATGTTTTCCATCTTCTTTCCTTTCACTGGCGTCATATAGGAACCCTGCTTACAAACACTCTGTTCTTTTAAAACTAGTTTTCCAGTAAGGTTTCTTCATCCTGGGGAGCCCAACAACCCACACCATGCTCTATTTAGACTTCTGCCATCTGCCGGCCTCCCCCAATCACCTCCTCCACGACACACACGTAACACCACAAATTCCCAGCCAGGAAGGAGATGCTGTTTCAACTGGGTGTTTGAAGATGTCATCCTTTCTTTCCATAATAAATTAATGTTTTCTCCTCCCCACTGTGATCCTTTATATATAACCTCCTCATACTCAGAAAAATTTTCCGCTGATGTTTAAATATATTTATTTGGCAAGTGTGTGTGTTCTCAGTGATGAAGTTCTCTTGACTGAGAACTATAATATTATGAGAAAGACCTCCTCCTAACCCTGATTATGTGTTCATGCTTAAGATAGGCTCACAGTAACATCATAACCCGACTTCTATATAGCAACACAATGATCAGGCACATTGGCACATGGATAGAATCACTGCCCCTAAGCTGAAAATTTGTCTGTGTAATATTTTCTTGCACTCTCCTTTTCCTCAGACAGTGCCAGAGCAGCAGCCAGCACCTGCAGTTACTGGCAAGGTGTGTTGGCAGCTGGACCAGCCAGATGCCAAGGTCTAGCCTGCTCCAATAATATTTTAGTGTCTGGGTGGCAAGCTGGCTTCCTGCTGACATATAAGTCTGCCACTGCCCCATGGAGTGGTCCTGGAGGCTTGCATCAGGGTTGGCTGCTAACCACCCACCTCTAGGGAAGAGAGTGGACTCCCCTTGACCCTTTTCTAGAAGGTGGTAACTGTGGTAGAAATCTCTTTTAGAATTAGAGAGGCTTTCTGAAGGGTGAGTGCCTGCTCCTTTCAGTGACTGCTGTGGCTACCCAAACCACCTTGATTCTTCTCTTGGTGCCTTGTTAGCTCACGCAGAAACGTCCCCCAAATCAGAGCTTATGCTCCCATATCTGTGCCTTGCTGTGGGAACAATGGGAGCCCAAGTCTACTGGCCAAGTGTCATTGCAAAGGCAGATGGCTCTACTTCTGCATAAATTTTTCACTTCAGTTAGAGTTATTTCCCATGCTTAGTAGATACCATAAATAAGTATTCTATGGCATTCCTTTGCAAGTGGGCATTTGTCCAGGCAAGTAAGTTCTCTTTAAGCAGATGGTAAATGCGTCTGTCTCGTAAATTCTATTCCATTACAATTAATGTTGGGAGACTGGGCAGATGATAATGGGAAGTTGAGCCCTTTGGTAGTGAACTCTAAGGCATTAGAGTCAACTGGCCTGAGTTTGAATCCTGCTTTTATACTTACCATGTGGCCTTGGACAAGTTATTGAACCTTTTTGAGTGTTGGTTCCCATATCTATACAATGGTGATAATACAGCTAATCACAACTTTTGAAGGTCCTACATTTGAAGAGAAAATGTGAAAATTCATGGAATGCACTTAGCATAGCACCTGACTTGAAGGTAATACTATTAAATGCTTTAAGAATACATATATTTTTCTGGTCCGTTTGCAAGACATCAGTACCGATGTGTGTTTGAACTCTTCAGGGTAACTGGCAGTTGGCATGGATGGCAGAGTACCTTAAGTAAGTTGGTTTGAGGTTGAATTCCCTTGCTTGAGTGGATGCACAGGCCCATCTTACTGTTGTGTAATTCAAATTTTTTAGCTTCAGCCTTGATGACAGGCTCGCATAACATGCTGCAAGCCCCCCTGTAATTGTGGCTGGATGAAAAGAATATATGGGATAATGATATGACTTTTTCCTCTCCTTGCTCAACACTGTGGTATAGAAGGAAGAGGGCTCTCCAGAAAACACTTTCAGAATGGCAAGAGCACGTGTGTTGGTTTGTTTTAGAACACATAGTTCTCGGATTCTGTTCCTGATGGACTTGGTTAGGCCTGTGGGGTTGAGGTTCACTGTATAGGAGATGGTTAGAATTCAGTGCTATGCAAGCAAGTGTGATTCATGGCCACTGAAGCCTTTGCAGAAATGTTAATGTTTGTGAAGTCCTCTAAAGTTCATATTTTCCGTGCATCTGGAAATTCCACTTACCAAAATTGAATTGTCGCTATTTGACCATAATTTCCATTCCTTTCTGAATGGAAAGGACTTTCTGAAGGGTGAGTGCCTGCTCCTCTTAGTGACTGCTGTGTCTACCCAAACCACCTTGATTCTTCTCTTGGTGCCTTGTTAGCTCACACAGAATGTCCCCAAATCAGAGTTTATGCTTCCGTATCTGTGCCTTGCTATGGGAACAGTTGGAACCCAAGTAACTAGTCTGGGATTGCACTTGATTGAGGGCTCAGACCTTCTCTCCAAATTTCTCCTTCTTCAGTCTTCTTTCACTTAACAAACTGAGGAGCTTCCTGGATTTTTTATTGAACTCTGTGAAGACAAGTTTAGGTATCTGTCCATTCTTCATCACAGTCTAGTGCTGAGCCAGCCACTACTTCCTTTCCTTCCACCCTCCTTGTCAGTGATAATTTTAAAGGCAACAGACTCCTTCATCAGAGTTTCTCAAATTTTGGTGTGCACACAAATCCCCTGGGATCTTTATTAATAAGCTGATTCTGATTTAGGAGGTCGGGGGTTGGCCTGAGATTCTGTATTTCTAATAGGTTTCCGGGTAATTCCCATGCTGCCAGTAAACAGATCAAGAGATCAAGTATAACTTCATCCTAAGTTATGTATATGAGGTTCTATAGGGATTTGATTCTCCAAACATTTATTGAACCTTTCAGCAAATGCAGCCATTTTTCCTCCCTGAATCCTCAGTTTGAGCTTTCTGATCATTTTATCTTTTGGCAGTGCTTAACACTGCAGCCTTAATCAGCTCTACTCCTCTTGATTAGTTCCTCTTGTATTGGTATTTATCATCCACTTAGAATTTCAGTCCTTGTGTATGTGGCTATTGCTGTGACAAGCAGTATATACTATATATAAATGTGTAGTCAGCTGCAGTGACTCTCTTGGGGCCATTTTGCTTGCACTGGCTTTTGGCTCTTACTCTCCCCTTTGTTGATCTCACATTCAGATTCACGGCTTTGTGAAACTCAGTGATATATATCTATCTATCAGAATCCCTTTTTAGGGTGTCTACTATTGACACTTTCCTGGATAACTCTAACCCTCATGAAAAATTGGTTAGCATCAATCTTTTTGTCATCTACTCCCTTGTTTAATAGGCACACAGAAGCAAGCTAAGATTTCTTTGGCTACCTCATGTGATGAAACAATGAATTAAGAAAACCCAACCAATATGCTTAAAAACATCTCCCCACCTTTCTCTATTCAAAAACTAGGAACACATCTGAGAGCATATAGGAATGGAAATTTGGGACAGCCAATTTTTTGGAATTGAATGAAGTGATCTAGAGTATAGAAAACAACATGTCTTTGGTTGGAAGCATAAGCTATAGCATCGGACATTTCCTCCTTCCCTGGCTGTCTATTCATAATTCCCATCTCACAAGCACTTTACTAGATTACCTAAAATTAGTAACACAAACAATTAAAAGTACTTTACTAAATTATGACAAGAAGGTGAACCATTGAGTGCAGGTCTCAGTTTTTCAGTTGTTCCCAAGCTCAACTGTGCATTACCATGGCTGGGGGAGCTTGTTAAAAATACAGATATCTAAACTCAAACTCCCAAGATTCTCACTTAGGTAGGTATGGTGTTAGGATTTTTCTGCTGCCTCCTTTTCATCTCAAGGTTGGAGAGTCCCCAGGCTCAGATGTCCCGTTCTCCAGCTGTGCTTTCTCCCTAGGTGATTTTATCTGGACTCAGAGGTGTAAATACCAGGTATACACTTACACTTACATCTTCAGCCTGCTCCTCTCCCTCACACTCCAGACTAACGCATCAACCCCCGTCCAACAACTAAAACTTAATTTGTCTTCATTCCCTCCCAAATCAGTTTTTCCTGTAGCCTTCCCTAACTCCAAATATACAACTCTGTGCTTCCTGTAGCTGAGGTCAAATTTTTTTCTCTTACACTCCATATAAAATCTGTCAGCAAATCCCCAACTTTCAAAATATAACCCAAATCTTTTTACTCCTCACTATGGCCACTCCTTCTAATATGGTCTAAGTTCTCATAATTTTTCTCCTGAATTATGGCAATAGCCTTCTAGTTGATCTCTTTGCTGGGCCATCCACTACCACCTTTCTGACCTTGTCTCCTATCACCGTCTCCCTTGCTCCTGCCACTCCTGCCATGGTGCTTTCTTGCTCTTCCCGGAGTACCCAGGGCTTTTACAGTAGCTCTTCCTTCTGGCAGGAAGGCTCTCTACTGAGATATTTGCATGCCATGCTCCATCAATTTTTTTAGGTCCTTCCTTACACATGATCCTAGCAGAGGAAGCATCCCTGACCAATCCATATAGAATAATGAGAGCTCTGCAGCCCGACTTTATTTCTCTCTATAGTATGCATCCCTGCCTGAGGGGTTTTACATTTTTGTTTGTTGTCTGGATCCCCCTACCACAATGTAAGCTTCGGGAGAGAAAGACTTTTATGCCAGTACTTAGTAGGCACTCAATAAATATTTGTTCAATGAATGAAAGGAAGAAAACTATATTTTCCAGAAACAGCTTCTTTTCTAAGCATCAGTGCCACATTTATAGTTAGAAGTTTATTGAGGGCAGGTGTCCTATCTAGCTCATGTCTGTGTCTTATGCAGCTGCACTAGGGATTTAATAAACATTCATTGAGTGAATGAATAATTGTAGTGTAGAGGAAATGCCACAGACTTTAGAGAGAAGTGAGCCAGACTTAAGTTTCAGCTTAGCCTTGTATTAATCATGTGACTCAGACCGAGTTACTAAGCCTTCCTGAGCTGTTGCTTCCCCATAAAATAAGTTCTGTCTTTAGATGATTGTTTTAAGGATTAAATGAGATAGTATACAGAAACCTCTTACATATAGGGACTTAACACATTAAGTGGTGGGCACCTGTAATCCCACTTGTAATCCTACTTGGGAGGCTGAGGCAGGAGAATCACTTGAACCCGGGAGGCAGAGGTTGCAGTGAGCCAAGACCGCACCATTGCACTCCTGCCTGGGTGACAGAGTGAAACTGCATCTCAAACAAACAAACAAATAAAAACAACAAAAAACATATTAGGAACTCAGTATATTGATATTGCTGCTGCGGTTCCTTATCCTGACCAATATTAACCACTTATATCCTTTCCTTTTCATTAAACTTACTCCCTGCTTCAGTTTCTTTAAAATCCATGAAAGACACTAACCAAATCCAAGCTTTGGTAACTGAGCTCCTCACTGCTCCAAGTTCCTGGATCTTGGATTTATGAACATCGCAGATTTACCCTAAAGACTCAGGGAAAGAGAATGAATGGCCATACATTTGTACTCTGGAGGATCTTAAAAATTTGTCTCGAATATATGCAGAATCTGACCTTTTATCGCCTCCAACTCCATCTCTCCTCTGGATTATTGCAATTGGTTTCCTTGCTTTTGCACTTGTACCCCTCCATTCCTTTCTCCATCCAACAGACAGAGCAATCCTTTTTAAAAAGCAAGTCAGAGCATGTCAGTCTTCTGCTCTACTGGTTTCCCATCTTACTCAGAGTAAATGCCAGAGTTCTTAAAAAAAGCCCAGAAGGCCCTACGAAATCTCATCTCTCTCACATTTCTGAGCGCATCTCCCACTATTTCTTTCTTACCCTCACTCCACTTCAGCTACCACAAGCCCTTTGCTATTCGTGGAGCACGTTACAAGGCATGTTCCAACCCGAGGGCCTCTGCACTTGCTGTTCCTTCTGGCTAGAATGCTCTTTCCTAAGATATTTGTATGGCTCCCACTCTCACCTACTTTAGAGCTTTCCTCAATAGTTCATCTTTACAAAAAAGCTTTCCTTGACCTCTTAAAAAATGGCAGTGTTCTCATCCTAGGAAAATATATGACCTTTCCTTACATTATTGTTGTTTTTTTCATAACCCCATAGTATCATTGGATAAACTATATATTTTGATTTTTTTTTTTTTGCTGTCATCCTAGACTAGAATACAAACTCCATGAGAGTGGGAATTTTTTCTTTTTTTATTCTCTGCTTTATCTCTAGTGTCTGGCACATAGTAGGTGATCAATAGTCTTTTTTTTTGTTTGTTTGTTTTTTGGGTTTTTTTTTTAGACAGGATCTTGCTCTGTTGCCCAGGCTGGAGTGCAGTGGTGTGATCATAACTCACTGCAACCTCTAACTCCTGGGCTCAAGCAATCCTCCCACCTCAGCTTTCCAAGCACCTGGGACTGCAAGCGCATGTCATCATGCTTGCCTAATTTTAAAAATATTTTTAGTAGACATGAGGTGTTGCTATGTTATCCAGGCTGGTCTCAAACTCCTGTGCTCAAGCAGTCCTCCAGCCTCGGCTGGGATTAGAGGTGTCAGCCATCATGCCCAGCCAATAACTGTTCATTAAGTGAAAGAATGGATGAATGAATGAATGAGGGGAGAGGGATGGATTAGGGGTGGCCTGTGTGTCCATGTGGGAGTGCGAACTGGAAGGAAGGAGAATTTAAATTCTACATGTTAGGGCTTCCTAAGCCATCTCTTCCTCATAAGGAGATAAAAGTTCTGTCTTCATATGATTATTCTAAAAATTAAATGAGATAGCACATAGAAGCCTCTTAATTTAGGGACTCAGGCTATGTATACTCAGTCTTGGTTGCCCCTGTCATCCCGCCCACTGACAGCTGATGCCACAACAAAGCAATGTGCTGGAATGAGTCAGCTTCCAAAATGTTGGAAAACCTCCACGTGTCAGGGTGACCTTGAAAGTGGGAATTCATGCTCCCTTGTTGCATATTCCCCCCAGATGGTTAACAGAAGGGCAGAGACTCTTTCTGGTATCCCCCTGTCCCCTAAGGAATAGGTATGAAGAATAGTGGGTTTCCAAAAACACCTCACTGGTAAATAGAATCGATTTTTCTGTTTCCTATCTTTCTGGATCATACTTTTGCTGGCTTGAATGGGGGAGGTGACTGTGTAAGTTTAAAATGTTCCTTTAAGAATTCATTATATGCCAGAGAGTGAAGAAAGGATTAATTAAGCAAAGTAGAACTTGGAAGGTGATTTAACTGCAGTTAGTCATCATCTTTAACCTTGGCGTTTTCATTATGCTCAGGAACCACACTCCTCTGGATTACTTTGTCATGTGATGGCTCACTCCTCATGCAGCTATTCCTAACCCCAAAGGATAAGAGCAATTGACTCAGATCAGCATCAATGGGTGGCTTCCTTCCTTGGGAGAAGTACCTCGGGGGGTGAAGATGAATCGGATTGCAATCAAAACACAGAAAGGGAGAGATAGGGTGGAGTCGGAGAAGAGTCATTTCCTAATTTAAGTTGACTTTCTCTTACCTTTTTTTGTGGTTCTTGAGGATAGAGTTGAGACTGAGTCTTTTCCAAGACTTCAGGCCCCACTAGATGGCTTCTTCCTCTGCAGGCCTGGCCCCTTGCTGGAAACTCCCTTCCTGGCCTAGCTGTAGGGACACCAACTCTCCTGCTTACCCTCCAGCCCAAAGAGTGGCCATGACTTCTTACAATTGCTCATCTGGGGGAAGTTGCACTATTTGTTAGGATTCTCAGCTTTTTTCCTCTTTTTTTAATAATCTGTGAAACCAGTTCTCTGTACCAAATACACTTTTGTTTCAAAGATACAGAATGGCTTTTGTTTTCTGGACTGTACCCTCACTGGTCTGCTTAGCTAAAGCAACTTCTAAATTTTATAAATTACATATTATAAATTATCACATTGTTTTTGAGACTTTTTTCAATATATGAAGCTGAAAATATTGATGTGAGTCTGTATGGATGTATATACCTATCCAGTCATGGCTTTGTTTAATACTTATATACCACTCTGAATTTTCTGCAGGTGGATATTGGAACATGGAACATTGATTTTCCACTCATAGACCAAAAGCTCCTAGAGAATGTCTGAATAGTTTTTGACTTGATCTCCCTTTGTGTCATCAAATCTTTGCTACCAACTAGGGGTATGATTTTGGAATTTTATGTAACTTCTCTGTGCCTCAATTTATTATGCATCTGTAAAAGAAGAAATGTGTAATGGGTCATTTAAAAACTTAGCCTCAAAACTCCTTTTGTTTTTTTTTAAAAAAATCTGACCTGAGCCTCCACATGTAAAGTGGGACCTTCTAAGCTTGCCTCCCTGACCTCCAGATGACCTTCCTTGGTCTCCTACATTGACCTGAGTCACCACTGCCTAAACCTGGAGCACAAAGTGACTGGGTGCAGAGTGCTCACATTCTGCTCTGAAAGCTTTTGATTTTCAACTTCTTGAAGGAATCCAGCAATAATGACTGTTTTGCCAGAATTGTATTTCTCAGTTTTTTAACTAAGATGTAAACAAGCCCAACATTTTTAAACCTGTTTTTAGTTCTCTTAACTGGCTGTAGTGTGAAGGAGGGAAACCTCTGTTTCCTTGGAATACATAAGGTGTCATTAGAAAAAGTGCCAACAGGTAAGTATCTTACCATAAGTAAAAAAATTGGGCCTGCACTCATAAAAGGATGTTCACATTTCCGGCCGGGCGCGGTGGCTCATGCCTGTAATTCCAGCACTTTGAGAGGCCGAGGTGGGCGGCTCATGAGGTCAGGAGATCAAGACCATCCTGGCTAACATGGTGAAACCCCGTCTCTACTAAAAATATAAAAATTAGCCAGGCGTGGTGGTGCTTGTCTGTAGTCCCAGCTACTGAGGCAGGAGAATGGCTGAACCCAGGAGGTGGAGCTTGCAGTGAGCCAAGATAGTGCCACTGCACTCCAGCCTGGGCGATGGAGAAAGACTCTGTGTCAAAAAAAAAAAAAAACCAGGATGTTCACATTTCCTAAATGTAGTATCCTATGGATATAGCCATGGCTTGCCCTAGTGCCTGACCACAAGTCTGCTCCTCCTGCTCAGAGAACTTATTAGCCTCAACTCTGCTCTGCCTTAGATGCTGGAGCAATCCTGTCCTTGTTGGGATTTCCAGGGGCCCTAGCAAGATGCTCATAACTTAGCTTCAATATTGCTGGGGCTCTGACTTTGACTTTTCTCTCAGTTCAGTTGCATCCCTGACTCCAGGCTTCCCCTTAGCCTCGATAATGAAATAAAATTCACCTTGTTTCCGTGTGCCTGATTCCCATTCCTGATCACCTGTTGAGAATCCTAGTCCCACCAGGCCTGCCTTACCAATTTCTCCCCAGGATTGGGCACTACACTATTTCCTGTTCAAAGCCTTCTGTGATGATAATTACCTTTTTTTTTTTTTTTTTTTTTTTTTGAGACAGAGTCTCATTCTGTTGCCCAGGCTGGAGTGCAGTGGCATGATCTCAGCTCACTGCAACCTCCACCTCCTGGGTTCAAGCGATTCTCATGACCTCCTTTTTTTTTTTTTTTTTTTTTTTTTTTTTTAACAAATTGAAGGTTTATGGCACTTCTGTGTCAAGCAAGCATATCACCATCATTTTTCCAACAGTCTGTGCTCAATTCCTGTCTCTGTGCCACATTTAGTAATTCTTGCAAAATTTCAAACTTTTTCATTATTTTTACATCTATTATGGTGATGTGTGATATCGGGGAACCTGCCCCCAATATTTCACCATAGGTTCTTTCTATTTTCCCTAAGTGTCAGCCAGCTGAGTAATAAAGAGAAAGAGTACAAAGAGAGGAATTTTACAGTTGGGCCACCAGGGATGATATCACATATCGGGAGGACTGTGATGCCCACCTGAGCCGCAAAACCAGCATGTTTTTATTAAGGACTTTAAAAGGGGAGGGGGTGTATGAACAAGGAGTAGGTCACAAAGATCACATGCATCAAAGAGCAAAAAGGAGAACGAAGATCACATGCCAATAAAGATCACAAGGCAAAGGGCAAAGCAAAGATCACAAGGCAAAGGGCGAAATCAAAAACTCCTGATAAGGGTCTATGTTCAGCTATGCACGTATTGTCTTGATAAACATCTTAAACAACAGAAAACAGGGTTCAAGAGCAGAGAACTAGTCTGACCTCAAATTTACCAGGGTGGGGTTTCTTCCCCACCCTAATAAGCCTGAGGGTAGGCTTCCTCTCATTCCCCAAATTTTTCTTCAGTAACAATGATGGGATCTAAGTCCTGAACCACTTGGTTCCTATGGTTCTACTCCAGTTAAACCTTCCATGCCTAATCTGTGTCAGGGACTAGTATTTTACATAACACCATTTGCTTATTAGAAAATACAAAGTACAAATTCCTTTCCAGTTCCAAACTATCCAGTCTGTCTCTCACACCTGCCATTCTTCCGTTAAACATATGATGACAGAGTGCTATTAGAGGTTAATAAATAAATAGCACTTGGGAGCTTGCAATATAGTGGGGAAGAGATTCTAAATGGATAGACAATTGTAATACATTCTGATAATGATGTAAGTTGCTCTCGGAATACAGAATAAGAAGTCCAGACTCTGAGGGCTTCCGATAGTGGTGAGGGAAGGAGTAGTTCCAGGGAAAATCTAAGCAGGGGATTACACACATTAGAGGAAGGTCAAGTCAGTGGGTGTGGCTGTA
Organism: Homo sapiens; assembly: GCF_000001405.40. Lineage (NCBI taxonomy): Eukaryota > Metazoa > Chordata > Mammalia > Primates > Hominidae > Homo > Homo sapiens. Next base: position 53,395,202 of record NC_000014.9, read on the forward strand.
GCACCAAAGTTAAGCTGAAAAGGTAGAAGATGATGGCCTTTTATGCCAGGTCAAGGAGTTGGATTCTGTTGTTCAGCAACTGGAGCTATGGGAGGGTTTGAAGTACAAACATACCTTGTCTTACTGCACTTTACTTTTTTCTTTGCAAATTTTGAGATAAACATCTTAAACAACAGAAAACAGGGTTCGAGAGCAGAGAACTAGTCTGACCTCAAATTTACCAGGTTGGGGTTTCTTCCCCACCCTGATAAGCCTGAGGATACTGCAGGAGAGCAGGGCGTATTTCAGTCCTTATCTCAACTGCATAAGACAGACACTCCCAGAGCGGCCATTTGTAGACCTCCCCCCAGGAATGCATTCCTTTCCCAGGGTCTTAATTATTAATATTCCTTGCTAGGAAAAGAATTCAGCGATATCTTCCCTACTTGCACATCTGTTTATAGGCTCTCTGCAAGAAGAAAAATATGGCTCTATTCTGCCCGACCCCACAGGCAGTCAGACCTTATGATTGTCTTCCCTCGTTCCCTGAAAATCATTGTTATTCTGTTCTTTTTCAAGGTGCACTGATTTCATACTGTTCAAACACACGTTTTACAATCAATTTGTACAGTTTAACACAATAGTGGTCCTGCTTACAAAGATAACAGGATTAAGAGATTAAAGATAGGCATAATAAATTATAAAAGTATTAATTTTGGGAACTGATAAATGTCCATATTAAAATGAAATCTTCACAATTTATGTTCAGAGAGTGAAGTAAAGACAGGCGTAAAAAATTATAAAAGTATTAATTTTGGGAACTGATATATGTCCATATTAAAATGAAGTCATCACAATTTATGTTCCTCTGCTGGGGCTCCAGCCAGTCCCTCCGTTTGGGGTCCCTGACTTCCCGCAACAGTGTGATTGATAATCTTTGATGTTACCATTGTAATTATTTTGGGGGAGCATGAACTGTACCCATATAAGATAGAGAATTTAATAAGTGTTGTATATGTTCTGACTGCTCCATAGACTGGACAATCCCCCATTTCTCTCCCTCTCCTCTGACCTTCCTCTCCCTGAGACACAGCAATATTGAAATTAGGCCAATTAATAACCCTACAGTGGCCTCTAAGTGTCCAAGTGAAAAGAAAAGTCACATGTCCCTCTCTTTACACTTGATCTTAGCCAAAAGGCAGAGAAATGATTACATGTCTCACTTTAAATCAAAAGCTATAAATGATTAAGCTTAGTGAGGAAGGCATGTCAAAAGCCAATAGAGGCTGAAAGCTGGACCTCTGGCACCAGTCAACCAAGTTGTGAGTGCAAAGGAAAAGCTCTTGAAGGAAATTAAAAATGTTATTCCAGTGAACACATGAGTGATAAGAAAGTGAAAAAACCTTGTTGATACAGAGAAAGTTTGAGTGGCCTGGATAGAAGGTCAAATGAGCCACAACATTCCTTTAATAGAAGCCTAATCCAGAGCAAGGTCCTAACTCTCTTCAATTCTGTGGTGGCTGAGAGAGATGAAGGAGCTACAGAAGAAGAGTTTGAAGCTAGTAGAGATGAGTTCATGCATTTTAAGAAAAGAAGCTGTTCTTTGTAACGTAAAAGTGCAAGGTGAAGCGGCACGTGCTGATGTAGATGCTGCAGCATGTTATACAGAAGATCTGGCTAAGATAACTGATGAAGGTGGCTACACTAAACAACAGATTTTCAATGTAGATGAAAATGTAGTTAGAGAGGAGAAATCAATCCTAGTTTCAAAGTTTCAGAGGACAGATTGACTTTCTTGTTAGGGGCTAATGCAGCTGCTGAGTTTAAGTTGAAACCAGTCCTCATTTACTATCCTGAAAATCCTGGGGCCTTTAAGAGTTATGCTAAATCTACTCTGTTTGTATTGTATAAATGGAACAACAAAGCCTAGATGGTCGGATATCTGTTTATAGCATGGTTTACTGAAAAAAAGGTTTCTTTCAAAATATTACTGCTCATTAGCAATGCACCTAGTGACTCAAGAGGTCTAGTGCAGATATACAAGAAGGTGAATGTTGTTTTCATGCCTACCAACACAACATCCATTTTGACTGTTAAGACTTATATTACTTAAGAAATACATTTAATAAGGCAATAGCTACCATAGATAGTGATTCCTCTGGGTGAATGTTGGCAGAGTAAATTGAAAATCTTCTGGAAAGGAGTCACCATTCTAGACGCCATTAAGGACATTTGCGATTCATGGGAAGAGGTCAAAATATCAACAGAAGTTTGGAAGAAGTTGATTTCAATCCTTATAGATGGCTTTGAGGGGTTCAAGTCTTCAGTGGCAGATGCAACTTCAGATGTGTTAGAAATAGCAGAGAGCTAGGATTAGAAGTTGAGCCCAAAGATGTAACTGAATTGGTGCAATCTTATGATAAAACTTTAAAAGATGAGGAGTTGCTTCTTGTAGATAAGCAAATAAAGTGGTTTATTGAGATGAAATCTACTCCTGGTAAAGATGCTGTGAACATCGTTGAAATGACAATAAAGGATTTAGAATATTACATAAACTTTGTTGATAAAGTAGCAGCAGGGTTTGAGAGGATTGACTCCAGTTTTGAAAGATGTTCCACTGTGGGTAAAATGATATCAAATAGCATCACACACTACATAGAAATCTTTTGTGAAAGGAAGAGTCAATCAAAGTGGCAAACTTCACTGTTGTTTTATTTTTAGAAATTGCCACAGCCACCCCAATCTTCACCAATCACCACCCTAATCAGTCAACAGACATCACTATTGAGGCAAGACCCTCCACCAGCAAAAAGATTACAACTTGAAGGCTCAAATGATCATTACTAATTTTTAGCAATGAAGTATTTTTTAGTTAAGGTACATACATTGTTACATTAAGTACATACATTAAGTACAATGTGTGTACTTAATAAGTGCACACATGTTAAGGTACATACACTTAAGTGCACACATATTAAGTGTGCAGTAGTATGTCTAAAGAAACAATGTGTGTACCACTTTTCTATGTACTGGGAACCAAAAATAATTCATGTGACTTACTTTATTACAATATTCGCTTTATTGTGGTGGTCTGGAACCAAAATGACAATATCTGAGGTATGCTTGTAATGAATTATCACAATCAGATTTGCATTTTAGAAAGGGTCTTTGGAGGAGGGCCTAAAAAGAGGCAAGATTGGATTAGGAAGACCGGTGGAGAAGCTCTAATGTAATAGTGGAGGCAAGAAATGGTAAGTGCTTAAACTAAAGTAATATCAGTAAAGATGGTCTGGGGTGGGAGCAGATTTGTAAAGTATTTGAGTTAGAATAGACGGGATTGGTGACCAGTTGGAAAGAGAAGTGGTGAAGGAGAGGGAACTGCTGAGGATAACTCCCAAGTTTCTGCTTTGTGAGTTGGATAAGAATGGGGACACCAATCCCTGAGATGGGGAGTGCAGAAGGATGTTGGGGGAAAATGGTGAGCTTTGATTTGGATATTTTATGTGAGAAGTGTTTGGGGGATGCCAGGTGGAGATGTTCCATCGACACTCCACAGTCTAAAAATCACATCCAGCTCAAGAAAGACTTCTTGGCTTGAGATTAATTTGGAAACCATAAATATATACAGATGGCCATAAATTCTGGAAACATAGATAATAACATTTTGTCATGTATTTTAATACAGTATCAATAAATCATTTCTTATGTATTCACCTATGTTTCCAGACTTTGCAGCCATCATTTATAAATTGGCTGGAGCCAGATAGAATACAGATCAGCCAGACAGAACGTATAAAGTGTGAAGAGAAAGGGATTGGATATAGAGTCTTGGGAACAACAATATTTATGGGACAAAGGCAAGTGAGAAGAAGCAGTGGAGATGGGGTGGGGTGGGGTGAGATTTAAAGTGCAGAGAAGGCTCACGAGGACAGCAATACTTCCGCTGAGATGGAAGGGAAAGTGGTGAGGATGAATAAGGATGTGCGGACGTCAGCCAACTTGCCATCAAAACTCCTTCAAACTTGCCCCCCGGTGGCCAAAATGATTACTTTCTCTAGAATGGTGGTTCGTAACCTTTGTAGGGTAACGAGCTCTTTGAGAATCTGGTAGAAGCCATGGACCATCTTTCACACATGAATAGTGAGAATGGAATGCTATGTAGGGGGGGTCAAAGACCCAAGCATCCTAGTTGAAGACTCTTTATATTTTGCAACCAGTTTCTTTCTGTAACTACTTCTACATAAGGAAGATCTTAGTTTCCACTGCTTCATTTTCAGCTGAGAAAGTGGAAGAAAAATAATCAATGTTATGCAGGAGCATAATGTCCATAAGCTTATGAGAGTCCAAATAATTTTTTTCCACTAGAGAATTTTTTTTCTTCCCTCTTTTTGTTTTCTCCTTTCCAATACCTTTAAACTTTTTTCTTAGCAGAAATTGGCTTCTACTTAATTCACATAGTGGTTGATTGTTGGTACCACAAATTGCATCAGCCTATAAGACTCAGCCTCAGAGTTTTCAGAAAATTTTAAAGATCATATTTTTTTTTCCCAGAGAACATTTGAAAGACTTTTTTTCCACAACAGGCATAACTCAATTTCCTTATATTAGTTCTTTTCATTTGACACTAATGATCATGTCTTTTAAATATTACCTAACTGGCTTTTCTTAACACTGTACGTGACTTTTTTGCCTCCTTCCACTTTTCATATTACTTGTAGGTTTCTGGTTGACAGCTGAGGGGATCTTCTAAGGCTCTTTCCTTAGCTCCCTGCTTTTGTTTATTTTTTATCCACTGCTTTTCATTCAGTTTATTCTAATAAATATTTATTGAGTGTGGACTATGTTTGATGCACTTACTCATTTTCACAACTGTAAAAATCCTTTCTTCATGGGGATTTATGCCTCCAACTTATGCTGCGAGCTCTGTCATGGTAGAGTTACACAATTTCCAGAGCAACCAATCATGTCCCTTTGAGATACATGGTTCTTTTTCCTCTGACTCTTACAATTTGATTCTTCCATATCAATCAGGGGGTCTCATTCATTTTCATTTTCTCAGCCTGGAAGTCTGGGATTTCTTCAATCTTCAATAATATCTGAAGAGAAAACAAAACAAATCATGAATCCTTAATTATGACTCTGCCGAAAATCCCACAATCTTGCTAGGTTCATAGGTTTAAAAGCAGTATTTTATTCTATCAGTTGATATTTATTTTCTCTTGTGTCTTTAGCGATTCCCCTTTTAGTACTGGTGTTGTTCTGCGTTCTATTATGTTTTTTGTATTGTTTCTCTTCCTCTTCCTTTCTTCCTTTTTGCACATTGTATTTGATGTTATTCTGTGCTGCTGGATCTCAAATTGCTCTTCTTATATGCTTTTGTATAAAAATATTTTATGTGTGGACTGTCCCCAATAGATGTCCATCTTTCTCCTCTTTTGCTCATAGCTCACATGTTGGTTATTTAATGTCATGCATTGGAATTCTCTAGACAGTATGTAGAATTTCTTTTTTATCCGACTGCTCTTCAATACCAGTTGGTTAAGCTTGGAAAATTTTAGATAGGAAAATTAAAAATCTCAGTGACATCTGGCTGCAGACCTGCTTGTCATGTACAAGTTTTACAAGTTTTTATAATGTTTACAAGTTTTATGTCACAAGTAAATTTCTCTTCCCCTTCGTTCTATGATTCTCACTCTTGAGTATGGCAAAGTTGAGGTCAGAATCACACTCTGGACCTTCTAGACCAAACAGATATCCTGGCAGAAAGCACACATATTATTGAGGTCCTATTCAGCATGTTAAGGGCTTGATATTCTCAAGAGGGGAGGCCTTGGAAAAGGTGATCAATAGTCAAGAGTCTGGTTCCATCATTCTGTTTGGCTTTTGGCTTTTCACTAAAACATTTTCTTCATGAGGGTATTTATCATAATACACATATGTTTTTAATGTATCAATCAGGAGGATGTGTGGTCTTGTTTGTTCTTGATTAAAAAGACTATGTCAAAAAAGAATTATTTCAAAGTTGCAGTAATAATTGGAGCAATAAGATGGTAAGGGGTAATTAAAGGATGCAGCTTTCTTTTAGAAACAAAAACAAATCTGGTGACCACATGTATTCTTCTTTTCTTCCTTAATGAATATGATGAAACATGTTATAGTGAGACTATGGACATTAGAGATACACCAAGTACGTGTTAACGTGTCGGATTTGAGCCCAGGTTCCCACATTAACTATACTCAGGAATTTGTAACTCATAACATTGTAAACTGACTGGTGATGTGTACATTTCATACCATTTTGTATCACGGTGATGCCTGGATGTAGTGGTATTGCTAGTGCCCATATCATCCCTTCTCCCTGCCCACCACACACACACATTGTAGATGAGAAGTATATTGCTTACCCTTCCCATTTTGAACTCTTGGACTACAAACCATAAATTACCCAGGTATTGCTCTTGAATTATTCCTCTTGAATTTAAAGGCTTTCTATTTCCGTGGAATTGGCTTGGAAAACTCAGACCAACTGAGAAGGAGAAATTGTCCTGGGACAAACTGTTTTTACTATATGTCATACTGTTTTCTTCTTCCTGTAAATATCTTGTTGGGCCTACTGACCAGCAAGGAAAACATAATCCAATGCTTGTGGTCAGTACTGAATGACTTGGCCCTACGTCTTTGTGTCTTTTAAGAACGGTCCAATGGGTCTGTCATAACACTTCAAACATCTGCTTCTCAGTCCTAGTTTATGCTTTATAAGCCAATTCCCATTGGTTTAAATAGTTTCTGTGCCTTTAATATGACTGTCTATATGGATTAATAGTAATGAACACAGTGATGTGGTGATAATGACAATTTTCTACTTAGAATTTGGTTAAATTCAATTGAACTTGATAAATGTTCTCTGAAGTCTAGGTTAAGAAAAATAGAGAAATGAATGTGGTAGTCTGGCAATCATCTTGCTCATGTCTGGCAATCATCTTGCTCATTGGGAAAATAAGATGTATAAACCAAAAAAAAAAAAAAAAAAAAAGAAAAACCAGGGGCTAGACATGATGGCTCACACCTGTAATCCCAGCACTTTGGGAGGCTCAGGTGGGCAGATCATTTGAGGTCAGGAGTTCAAGACCAGCCTGGACAACATGGTGAAACTCCATCTCTACTAAAATACAAAAATTAACCTGGCGTAGTGGCACGTGCCTATAGTCTCAGCTACTCAGGAGGCTGAGGCATAAGATTCACTTGAATACAGGAGGCAGAGGTTGCAGTGAGCCGAGATCGTGCCACTGGACTTCAGCCTTGGCTACAGAGTGAGAATCCGTCTCAAAAAAAAAAAAAAAGAAAAAAAAGAAAAAATCATACTCTGCATGTGGTATAGGAAATAAATTATATGAGAACAACAAGAATAGGTTGTAAGTATTTAGTAGGTTTGGATTCTTTCTGCAAGCCTTATAGGAAAGATTGGTGGTATATTGCCACCGCGCAGATGAGGAATGAATTAGGGGAACACTTATTCTTCAAAACAGAATGCTTTGCCTCCGACCAGTTACTTATGAGGCTACTAGTTACATTGTTTCTTGCTAAGTATTCTGCTAATTGACTACAGCATATTTTTAACTGTTTAAAATTTTTTTAATTTGAAAACTCATTTAAGAATTAATTGAGGCTAGCATATGCTTTCATTTGGGATATTTCAAGGTTAATTATCTGACTCATGGAGAATAAATTGCAACATTCTTTTTTATACACCCAGTGTTTGTACTATATTTTATTCTGAAGAGCTGAAAACACATCTATATCTGTTACCCCATTTAAAGCAGAGAGGTAGGCATTCCCTTTGAGCAGTCTAGAAATGCTCGTATTTTAGAAAACTAGGTTTCAAAATAACAGGGACACATTTGAGAAATGGTTAATGAAAATCAGGAATTAATACTTTGAGATCACAATGCACAATCAGGAGCAAAGCGTAGGCTTGGCCAGAGACAGATACAAATGGGATTGCAGCTGTAGTTTTTGTGTCTTTCATTTATACTAGGATCACATTTCTACTTCTGGTATCCCTTAAATCCCCTTGCTTTATAGACGTAATTTTGCAGCACCATCTCACCTCCATTTCTCCAGGCTTAATGTGCCTGTGGGCCCTGTTTTGTAGAAGTCACCAGTTAGCATCTGCCCCTCTAGCTATGTACAAATAGTTTTTAGAAGATGTTCTTGACTTCCAAATACGATTCAAATAGCATTCAATTTGAAATGGTTGCTGAATAATATAAACAATTGAAAGAAAAACCTAAAATCGAACTTGATGGGGAGCAAAATGATGTGTAAAAGTAGGTCTAATGGCACTTTAAAAACAAGTCAACAAAGGTAAGAAGATGTCAACTCTTTGTTCTGTGTCCCTCTACCCCCCTGTTACAGTCTCAGCCCTCAAGGTGTCACACAGCTATAGGGTTAGAAATCACTTAGACTGCCCCCATTCCAGGGTACCAGGAGATAATCTCTCCATTCAAGAAAATCAGCTAGTTTGTAGAACAGGTGAAGAAACATAGTTCATGAATGAATATCAACTTTACCCTGCTGATTTGTAGTACCCAAAACTTCTCAAACCCATGTGCTTCATCTTACATAACTATTTAATCCTCCACATCCCTCCCTCATTCATTCTCTAGGATATTCTTAATAGGAATTAAGGACGTGTGTTCTAAGACTTTAAATGTTGATTCTTTCAAAACTCATGCATCGCCGACTTCATTTATTTAGTTTTAAGTAAAGAACATCTTGATTATTCCCTCCAAAGTGTGAAGATGAAGGATGAAGAGTCATGTTGCTGGAGTGTAAAAATGAACAGAACTCAGGCTCTGATTTCAGATCTTGATATGAATTCAGGCTTTCTATGTTGATGTGCCCTTGGACAAGTTACTTAAACTCTCTGAACTCAGTTTTTCCATCTGTAAAATGGAGCTAACACACTACTTCGTAGAGATAAAGAAAAGCGAAGTATATTAGTGTCTGGAAAATAGTAAATGCTCCAAAAAACAATAGCTAGCATTGCAATAGCACCACCGACAAAAAGGCTTAAGGATTGCCTACTGTATTCTAAACACTGTCCTAAGAACATTATGTGTGCTATCTCATTTAGTCCTCACAGTGATTTTATGGGCTGTCCATTGACTCCATTTTATGAATAAGGCACAAAGAGTTTAAAATGCCCCATAGTTATTTGCCCCACAGTGAAGCATAGTGTCAAAAACACTATGCTATATTGATTCCAAAGGTCCACACTGAAAGCAGTGTGATTAGACATTTTAGGAAATGGTGCCATTAACAACACTCAGAAACTCAAGAAGATTCTTAGTTCTTTCTCATTGCTCAGCCCATCAATTTTCAGTACATACCCTCTGAGCCGACTGATATTTTAACACTGGGGGCATGTATATTCTTTCAGCAAACTGTCTCTTTATAGGAAGTACACTACTTGTCTTTGTAAAACCTAACAATAGCCAAATCTAATTATTATTCAAGAATTTGTTTAGAATTTTAAAAACAGGCAGAGTGTGACTATTGATTGATACTACAATTTGAAATGCATCTAGATTTTTGTGCTCATTATTATGCACAAATGACATTTAAATCTATGAGCTGGTATTCTTATCTGCTTCTTTTGTTTAAAAACAAACACACCTAGTTTAGAAGTGAAGGCCTAAGGCCATTGAGTATTTATATTTTTTTGCTTATATTTTATTTTCTACTGAAACAGTAGAATTAAGAACACATTTACAAAGTCAGACCTTTCTGCATTTGGCAGGCAGCTATTTTAATTAGGTAATAATCACAGTTTCTGTTTTTTCAGAATCAACTGGTAGCCTGAGACATTTAAAATTTCTTACCATAAAATTTAGATGGGTTAATATTAACATTCATGGTTTTAAAGTTACTAAGCACATAAATATTTTGGTTAAGGTTACAAATAAGGATAATAAAAGCCCAAAGGAGAACTTTTGTCTAAAAATATACTGAGAAGTTAGATATACTTCCATGAAATTTATTAGTGTATATAGTACATTTTTATTATTAATAATGTGTACATTTTAACACATAAGCAATTTTTAATTCTCTCTGGAAGTAAAAAAAATTAAAGGTTGATCTGCCTTATTCTTAAACATTCTTGGTAATGTAATCAATGAATATTATAATATTATACTATTATACTAGTAATAAATTGATTAACACAATAACCAATTTCTGATATGTAGTGTACTAATGTTAGTTTGCAGTATTTAGGCCATCATTTCCTTATTTTGACAGGTCATATGTTTAATAATCTTATGTGGCTTATTTTATTTGTAATTATTATTGCTTTTGCTTAGGACTCCTGGAATACTTTGTTTCCTAGGAAATGGAAATCCAGGTTCTTAATTACATGCAACTTCTTAATTACAAATGTAAGCGGAGAAGATGTCAGCAGAAGTTAACTTCTCGAAGAAGAATCCATCATACCGATGTTTTACTGACGTTCCAACTAGTAGAGAAAGGTTCAGCCTGTGATCTCAATTTCTTTGAGAAGAACCCTCTCAATTCTACAAGAGCTTGTGTCAATCTAATTTAAATGCTCTTGACGGTCTTAAATTATTGAGAAAAATATAAATCCATGTACTAGATACCTATCCAAACTTAAATATATTTTATAATAGGTGAGTGACATATACCCACATGCAAGCAGTATCTGTGCGCCCTTACTGCTGCTAGATTTTATGTTTCAAATTACTTGTCTTTTTAATTTAATTTAATTTTAAAACCAAATTGAGTAAAGTATGATTACATACACTGAAATTCATCCTTTTTAGGTGTACCGTTCAATGAGTCTTGGCCAGTGAATACCATCATGTAACCACCATCACGATCAAGATGGCAGGGTGCTTCCATCCCCCCAGGAAGTTCTCTCCTGCCCCCTTGTAGCTAGTGTCCTCCTTCTACCCTCAGCCCATGGCAACCACTAATTTGTTATCCTTCCCTATAGTTCTTCCTTTTCCAAAATAAATCTTACGTAAATAAAACCATACACTACAAGAGGCTTTTTATTTTTCATCAACAAAAACTAATATAGAAGGCCTTATGGCTGCTTCTGCCTGTGTTGTATTTGTATTCATTTCTTGACTACTTTTGTTGTGGGTGCCAGGACAGAATAAGAAAGGCAATAATAAAACCAGAAAGGACCGTCTAAGGGGAGTGGAGAAAAGTGATATCAACATGAGAAATGATTGAATGGAACAAATGTATTCTGTCTACTTGCCCCTGAGAAAAGAAGTAGATGCTTAATTTTTGAAATGTCCATTCAGTGGCATTAGCTTTCCCTCTGTTGTGTTACAATAATGTGATGATATTCTCTTGTTCACGTAAAAAGGGGAATTCCTAGCTGCTGTGGTCTTAATACAGCCCCCAAAGTTCATGTGTTGGAAACTTAATCCCCAATGCAGCAGTGTTGGGAGGTGGAGGATTTTGGGAGGTGTTTAGGTCATGAGAACTCCACCCTCATGAATGAATTCATGTCATTATAAAAGGACTTAATGGAGAGAGTTTGTTTTTTTTCACCCCTTCCATTCCTTCTGCCATCTGAGGACACAGGGTTTGTCCCCCTCTGAATGATGCAGTAACAAGGCACCATCTTGGAAGCAGAGAGCAGCCCTCACCAGACACCCAGCTTGCTGGTACCTTGATCTTGGGCTTCCTAACCTTTAGAACTGTGAGAAATAAAAAATTGTTCTTTATAAATTACCCAGTTTCAGGTATTTTGTTAGAGAAGCACAAACACTTTTATGTACTAGCCAATGTAGAATTTCAAAATATTTGACTCTTTCAACATTCTGGACCTCTCTAGTTGGACGAATTTTTATTTTTTCTGTAATAAAAGGCACTTATCTTCTTTGGACTGTGTCAGAAGAGAGACCGTGAAGCACAACAGAAATGCTGTGTTATTAGCTGTGTGACCTTGAGCATGTCTCTTACTCTCTTTGAGTTTAGTTTACTCTCCTGGAAAATGTGGATTAATAATAATATCTTCTTCATAGGTTGTTGTGAACATTGAATGAGATAATGCAAATTCTATGCCCTGTGTCTGGGCATAGAAAGCACAGAGAAAATGTTAATATACTTTGTTCCTTCTTTTTTAAATATGTAATGCAGGATAAAAATAGAATATTTAAAAATAATATATGGCTCTTGTTGCTAAATCATAACAGCCATAAAATGATGCAAAATTTTAAAATGTTTACTGATTTTTTTTTTTTTTTTGAAACATGATCTTGCTCTGTCACCCAGGCTGGAATGCAGTTGTGTGATCACAGCTCACTGTAGCCTCGAACTCCTGGGCTCATGGAATCCTCCAGCCTCAGTCTTCTGAGTAGCTAGGACTACAGGCGCAAGCCACCATGCCCAGATAATTCTTTTATGTTTTGTAGAGATGGGGGTCTTGCTGTGTTGCCCAGGCTGGTCTCAAACTCCTGGCCTCAAGTGATCCTCCTGCCTTGGCCTCCTAAAGTGGGATTATAGGTGTGAGCCACTGTGCCTGGTCAGTAATTTATTTAGTTAAGATGCAATAAATTAAAAGATGTGGTACTTATCTTTATGGTACATCCACTTTCACAGAAAAGAGGAAAAAAAAACTCTCTTGAAACAATCATAGAATGGCTATAAATCAACATAAAAATAAGAATGTGATAATTCAGCACAGAATATATAGCATAAAGCTGAAGAAATGGGGCTAAGATTAGGCATCAGAAACTTGCCTGCTACAAAAGACTTTTGGATGTTCTATTTGAGTCTCTGAGGAGGAGACTGGCTCAGACCACCATCCAGGCCAGCAAAGAAGTGATAGCATGAGTAGAGGTGGGCAGGTGGGAATGGTTGAGGACTATAGAAGAACAATGAGGAGATCTAATAACCTACACAGAGGGAGCAATAGAAAAGAAATTGAGGACCTAAGTAGGAAAGTGAGAAAGGGAAGAGGTGAGGCAGTTAGAAAATGTAATCAATTGATACAAGACTTAAAATAATGCCATAATTGATATACAGTGCTATCTGGAGCTACTGTGATAGGAACTGTGTGTAAAGAAGACTGCTTACAGCACTGTGCATAGTGGTTCAGACTATGGACACCTGTGGGATGTGTGAAATGTGCACATGTCACCACTCCTGCCTCCCTCCCCCACTCCTGCCTCCCTCCCCTACTCCTGCCTCCCTCCCCTACTCCTGCCTCCCTCCCCCACTCCTGCCTCCCTCCCCCACAGCAGACATCAACAATCAACTAGGACTCTGATCTCAGATGCAACCTCAGAACCCTTCTCAAGACAGCACTCTTGACCTTCATATTTGATGATCAGAATGGGCAAAAGATAAAAAGCAACTGCCACCTCAGACTCTTGAGTTAAAATATGTAACAGTTGTTAATGAAGCATCACCTAGTGCGTATGTTTTGCAGCTCTTAGAGTCACTGTGCGGAACTCATTCAGTTGCAAGAACTCCATTAGTATGTTGGCAGAGTCTGTCACAGAAATGCTTTTCAAGGGCATTATTTGAAGTATGATATGACATTGCCTCCCTTAAATATTTCTCAGGCTTTGCAAACTTAGAGGATAACTTTGCCAAATCTTGTAAGTTTTTGTTTCCCATTACTGATTTTTTTTTCACAAATAGTCATTAAACACTCATTTGTTAAAGGCTTAACACACTCCATTTTTCTGCCAAATTTATATTTGCACCCAAACTATGTTTCAGCAATTCAGAATTAAATTAATGCAGTACATCCTATTTATCAATATGGCAGACCAGCTGCTGGAGGACAAGGGATGATTTACACCCGACTGTGAGTCTGTGTGTTTGTCTGTACACGTGTGTGTGTGTATATACATCTTGCATAAACCTGTGAGCTCTTCCCTGGTATTTATTTCACACTGGAGAATTCCTGATAAAATAATCCTTTAAATATCTTGACATGTGGTTTAAATCATCAAAGAGAAAAAAAAATTGTAAAAGCACATAGAGGGCACCCCAAAACACGTACATCTTACCAGTTAACTCCCTTTGTAGTCAATGTAAACCACGAGAGACAGTCATTTTGAGTCAGATCCGAACCTAAATATCTATTTTAAAGTATCTTACTAGTTTGAATTATGATAGGTGCTTCAATTGAGGGTAATATGGTAAGAGCATTATACTTACATTGTGTGCTTATAATTAGAATATTTTCTGACAAAAGGTCAAAACTATTTTGAATGCCTGTGTTGTTGCTATGGGATTTGTTTGTCCTAAGGGTTGATAAACAGGAATAAGTAGGACCAATCATTTCAGATGCTTACTGTGTGACATTCCAGGGGTGTGGCATCACACAAAATAATAAGAATTAAATGGCAATTAAATCCAAAGTTCAGGAGTTTGTGGCCACAAAAGATGTTGGTACTTTTAGTGTTTTTGTAGCGCAAACATGAACCCACTCAGTGTTGGACCTGGTGGGGCCTGGGAGGTAATCTACTAACCTCCTCATTTTACAGATGTGCACACCAAGCATCAGAGAGGGAGGAGGAATTGCTTATGGTCACTCAGTTTGTCCAGGGTTGTTACTGAAATCCATTATTTTTTGGTTTATAGCTCTATGTCTTTAGGCATTTACTTATTTTTGGTGTTTCCTCCATCCCTTTAAAAGCCTCACACTGGAAAATTCTGCAGCCATTGAAAAGTTGCACCTGTGTTGATAAAGATCATTCCTGGCTGTCAAGAAGGGCTAAGAAGTGGTGAAGACACTTGTATCTATTCCCTCCCTGGTGAGCTGGTTTACAGGGGCAGAGAATGGAGGGCCCCTTTACCAAGGCTGGAGCAAAGGAGGTTGGAGAAACCACATAACTTCTTTTTTCTCTGAAGTTTTCACTGCTCACTTGGAGTTGAGTCATGGAATGACCATTCTCGTTATGTCATCTGACATTGTTGATAAATGTTGTCATTTTCTTTTTATGTGTGTTGTCCTGTTTATGCAGCATAGCAGGGATGACCACTGCAGAGCTAAAAGACTGGCATGCAGGAACCATGAGCCTTCCCCTGGCATCCCCAGGATAGGTTGACGGACTCAGGGGTCTGGTAGGCTGGCCAGGGCAAATCCAGGGAGATGACGTTTTGGTGCGTTTATTGTGATAATGTTTCCTCCTGCCTATCACCTCCTCGTTTGTCTGGCAAACTGCTGTTCATCCTTCAATACTGAATGCTTGGTGGGAATATAAATTAGTACAACCTCTACGGAAAACAGTATAGAGATTTCTTAAAGAGCTAAAAGTAGATCTACTACTTGACACAGCAATCCCACTACTGAGTATCTACCCAAAGTAAAAGGAGTCATTACATAAAAAAAAAAAAAATGTTTATTGCAGCACAACTCACAATTGCAAAAATATGGAACCAACCAAAGTGCCCATCAACAGATGAGCGAACAAAGAAAATGTGGTACATATACACCATGGAATACTACTCAGCCATAAAAAAGAATTAACTAATGTATTTTGCAGCAACTTGGATGGAGCTGGAGGCCATTTTTCTCAGTAAGTAAGTCAGGAATGGAAAACAAAATACTGTATGTTCTCACTTATTAATAGGAGCTAAGCTATCAATACACAAAGGCATGCAGAATGGTGTAATGGACATTGGAGACTCAGAAGGCAGGGGTGGGTGGGGGTGAGTGATAAAAATCTACATACTAGGTATAATGTACACTACTTGGGTGATGTGTGCACTAAAATCTCAGACTTCACCACTATACAATTTATTCATGTAACAGAAAACCACTTGTACCACAAAAGCTATTGAAATAATTTTTTTTTTTAAAGAAAGACTGAGTACTAACACCTCCTCTTTTTTCAATCCTTCCCAAGACCACCTTCCTCCCTTATCTCTCCTGTGTGTTCCTAGAGAGATGTATTTGAACTGAGGTATTTGGACTGGATGGTTTCTGAGATCATTTCTGGTTTTTAAACATTTCCTGGTTCTCTAGCAATGCCTGCCTCCAGTGATTAAGCCCTCCAGCTGGTGACCAGCCTGGCAGTGGTTTGAATCAGGATTGGGAGGAATTTGTTTTCTCAAGGCACATCTGCTGGGATGTGGGTTGCTTGAAGATGCCGGTCCCACACACCCAGAACACTGCCTGTCGAATGGCTCCACAGCTGGCCCAGGAGAACTGGAGTCGCTGTCTCCAACAGCTGTGCTCCTTCTTTGCCTTCTATAAACAGATGACCGATTGGGTTGGTAACTTCAGAGGCATACTTCTCTCCCCTCTCCCCTTTTCTTTTCATGAGATGTGTACTAACTGTAGCTGCTGCAAAATCTGGGAGCCACCCCTTCAACATTTTTCTTCTCTAGAAGGGAGAGTTTCTTAGGTATCCAGTGTTTGGATCTCTCACCCTGTCATCCTTCCCACCCTCCCCCACAACATCAAACACTCTCTCCCTCTCTCTCTCTTTTTCTCTCTCTCTCTCTCTCTGAGGCATCTATAGTCTATAGTTACCTTTATAGTATAAATATTAGCTGGAGAATAGCTGAGTCATCTCCAGTTTAATTATATGTGATCTACTGGCTGAAGTCTACCTCTATCACATTCTATACACCTTTCTGCTTTATTTTTTCTTGTTAGTACTTACGTTAAACAGACCATGGCCTGTATTTTGTATATATCGGCTCTTCACTTTCCACCATGAAGAGAATGTAAACTCCAGGGTACTGAAATTGTTTTGTTTGCTATTGTATCCTCAGAGCCTAGAAGCGTACCTGGCACATGGTAGATTTTCAATAAAAGATGTCAGATGAATGAATTATCAGTTTCCAGGAGCGAATTGTCTTGGACCCGCTACTACATTCCTCTGTGCCTCAGCCAGGGTTGGGTGTGGGAAGGGAAGTGTGGCAAAAAGAGGCAAAAACTCCAGATAAACTGAGGATAGGGCTGACACTGAAGAATTTTGTTTCTTCCTTATTGGAACTCAGTGAGAAGATGGTCTTGCTGAGACTTTCAACTTAGTACAGCCATCTGCAGCTAGAAAAATGGCTGCTTGGGGGTTTTTATAAAGAAACTTGATGAGACAGGGCCCCTTAGTTTTCTGTGTCTTACAGTATGGAAATGACATGAAAGGGACCTCCATGTTCTTGCCTGCCTTGGTGAGACACAAAAGTCTTGAGAACCAAAGAGCCAGGATTAGGAGATTGTAAATGGCAGAGATTTCCACTTAGAGTCTGAGACAGGGACCAAGGGCTTCAGTAAAGGGTGTCATAGTTATGCCTCAAGAACCATTAGGGACCAACTGTACCTCTAGTCACAGGATAAGCCACTCAATTTCATGGAGAAGATCCACAGCCCTTGAGGTCCTTCCTTCCAATTCTCTACACAGCCATGCAACTTCTCCTTCACAGACACCATCTTGAGAGAAAAAGGATAAAGGAAGACATCCCAAGAAGAAATAATCAGCCCTGCTCCAGATTTCAAACTTTGAATTGCCTGAATATTTAACCCACTTAAGACAGAATGAGACCAAGAAGGGGCTGAGATAACTTTCATTGGCATATACGATTTTTTTTCTTTTCCCATCATTGGCATATGGGGAACATGAGATCCACTGTAGCTAATGTGTTTAAAAAGCATGTCCAATAATACCTTTTTAAAAGCATGTCTAAGCACAGGTTAAGCTTAAGCTATCCCTCCTCCTTCCCTGCCGTCATCAGCTCCTATGATGTTTTAGGAAAAGATTCAATGAGTAGAAAACAGGATCAACAAGCCTAGACCTGCAAATTGCACAGGAAGACAGTTTCACAGTCTTGGAAACTTAGACACCACTCTTAGCCCCCAGCAGAGGGCAGGCTCTCTTTCTGTCTTTGAGTGTCAGGGGTGTCTAGCACCATCCTCTGCTCCAGGGACCATTGCCTGGGGACTGTTTTTTTTTGGACCCTCTCTGATGCACACTCTATAGATTTAAGTCCTCAGAGCAGATGGTCTAGCCCATCCCATGAGCCCTTAGCCTCTCCTGCAAATCTATCATTGCTCAGGGACACAGAGAAAATGCACTCCTCTGGGTACACTTCCATTCTGTTTGGTTCTTAATGTATCATGGTGATAACCTTATTATCTTAACACCCAAAGCCAAAATTATTCTTGGTTGCTTTGTGTAGGAGAACATTTGCTAAACTCTCAGGGGTAAATACTGAGAAGTGTGGGTTAGCTGTATAAAGGGCAAGCAGGGAGATAGATGGCTGGCTGTGTTCTTGAACTGAATAGGGCTGTGGGTTGAGGAGATGGGATGAGAGGTGGGGGAAGGGTAAGCAGCTCTGTGGAGTGATGCAGGACTTTGAAGAACAGTGATGTACATTTTATGTTTATGGACTGAAACACACCCACACAAAACTTTTTGTGAGCATTTCTGCTTTTGCTTCTTTGGTATAGAAATAATGAAAGGTAGCTGATTTCCCTTTCTGGATTGGAAGATGAGAAGATGATCCAAAACCAGAAGGAGTTCTGCAGGTGACTGTGAGAACATAAGAAACCCAGAAATTCACAGAAATCTTGATGTTTCTTCAAATAGTGGAATAGGAGTTTCAAGATAATTGTATCTAGATTGCAGACCGACATCTGGATTACATTAATTGAAAGTCACGGCCAAACCTAATATCTTTCCATCCTCTCTCTTTGCATCTCAGTGAGCTCTTGTTTCTGAGGCATTTTAAGTTTTCATTCCTTAGGTGAAGCTGTTTTCTATTCTCTTCAGAAAACATGGAGGAGAGCAGAAGGGCCCATATTCTCTATTTGGGTTTCTTATTTCCAGGGTGGAGCCACTGACCAGTTCAAAGAACGCTACATGAGAAACAGAAAATTCTCAACACAGGTCCCTATCAAAATGACATTTTATTGATTTGGCAGTGAAGATATTATGTGTGCAAATATTGAAAGAATTCTTAAATGGAAGAGACTGAGAAGTATGATTTTAAATCTGGCTGTCCTTGCCTCATTCAATATAGGTCTGTTGCACACCCACATCAGTGTCTGGGCACCCAGATTGCTGCAGATTTCATTTTCTCTGCAGCAAAACACCATTGTTCTTGTCCCTCTGAAGCCAGTATCTTGCATTCCACAAACCTTCCACTATGCCACACTGCATCAGTGGTGCTAATGGCCTTTAGCATCACTGTGCTATAGTAGTTTTTTATGTAGAAACAAATAAAATTTAGATCCCTTAGAAATAAAAGGAATGATTTTTTGACTCCTATGGTGGAATAGGCATGGGGTAGAGGCCTGCCTCAGGCCTGCTGGATCTAAGGGCTCCTATGACACTGTTAGGGCCAATCTTGCTTTGTATCTCTTGGTCACTTGATTGTCAGGTGATGAACAAGAGGACTACTCGAAGGCAGACTCATATTGTATCTATGTAGAAACTCTAGGGTGAGAAGAAAGTCTTTTTGATAGGTTTTGCAGATCAGTCTCAGGGAGGAATATGATCAGCTTGGTATGCAATGATTATTTCCTATGGCTGAGCCCATCGCTGTAGCCAGGTCATGGAAGAGTCTGATTGGCCAGGGCTGGATCATGTGCCTGGTCCTGTGGTCAATAAGGATGGGCCAGCTCCACCGGGACCAGGAGAAATCAGTTCCCCATAACAAAAATAGATTCTGGTGGCAAAGGGGGAAGGGAGTGCAATAGGTACAATCAGCAGATATCTACTTCCTACAGAAGAGTTAGAACTCAGAGGTACTGTGGTTTGACAGGCTAGGAAATGAGACCCAATTTGCTCTAGGGGAGGGGAAGCCTGTAAGGTGTGTTTGTGAGGGAAAGCCATTGTAGATACAACAACATAGTCTCTGACTACAGGAATTTTATGGCACAGATACATAATTATATAAGGAGGTGACTGCTATTAAAAGAACCAGTCTGAAGAAATATACATTTAAAACGTAAAGATATAATTTACATGAGTTAAATAAATGTTAAGAATAGCTGAGGTGAAAGAATTTGGGTTAGGTTGTTTATACTTAGAGTTCATATGAGAATGCACATTAAAAATCCCATCAAAATATTCTTTCTCATTTGCTTACATATTTATCTTCCTATTTCATCACTGTCTATAACTTGTCTATTGTCTATTGATAGGAAACACCCACTCACTCACACACACACACTCTTCCAAGCTTGGTGGAGTTATTTAGCAGCCTGCTCACAGATCTGTAAATCAGACAGTTGGCCCAGCTGGTTTAGAGTATGATATAAATTAATCCTCCACTAAAATATATTAGATACTTATGCTGGTACACACAGGTGCCAGTGGAAAGCTGTCCTCCCAGGAGTTGTGAAATTGCAACAAAAAGTCAAGGAAAGAGAAGATGAGACACACAGACACCTTATTAGTCTAATGTAGCTTGGGCCTTCTGGCTTCATAAATGAATTTCTTGTGGCAGATAGAGAAGATCTGTCATTTAAACAACCAAAGCAGATAGCACACTCAGAATCACTCACCCAGCTTCAGAAATCTGAGGCATGGAGTCTGCCTGCTTTGTTTTTGATTTCCAAGAGATACTAGTTTAAATGTTCAAATTTTATTTGCCTAGCATCCCAGAAGAAGGTAGCACAAAATGAAGTTTCCACTACAATACTTTACTGTGGATTTTTAATGGTGAAATATATCATAAATACAACTGTTTAAAGTATATGTACAATTTAAACAGTGGTATATCCAACACCTAGCTTAAGACATAAAATATTACCAGTAATTAGACACATATTATGTGCCCCTCACAAAAAACATCTTCCACTCTCTCCACCAAGAGGTAACCATGGTTCTCAACTTTGTGTTAGTCATTCTTTTGCTTCTCTTCAGAGTTTTATTGCCTATTTATCATCCCTAAGCAGTATATCATTTAATTTTGCCTATTTATGACTTTTAAATATGCAAGATAATACTGAATATATTCCTCTGAGACTTGCTTATTCTGCTTGACATTGATTTGAGATTTATTTATGTTGATGTGGGTAGCTATGGCTCATTCATTTTTCACTACTGTATAGTAGTCCATTGTCTGAATATGCAACAATATATTTATCTCTTCTATTGCTGAACATTCTACCATTTGAGACTATGTTGCTGTGAACACTCTTATCTCCTGGCACATGTGTTCAAGCATTTTTCTTGTAGTTGTTGAGTCATGTTAATTGTGTTTACTCTCCTTTAAAATAAAGACAGGCATTCTCAGAGTTAACCATTCTGAATCAATTTTCCCAGGCCCACAAGGGGCTTTTTTATGTCTGCTTATATTTTCTCTTCTTTTCATAAAGTATTGTTTTTCTTCTTCAGGGACTCCAATTTTCCTGGCTCTTACTTGCCAGTCTTCTATTTCAACCACTTTCTCTCTGACCCATTTTTACTTCTTTATTGTCTCATTTTTATTATCTTTCTTATTTTCCTGCCTTTCTGCATTTGAATCTACTTTACTTTGGGCAGCTTGTAATTTATTCTCCATTTCTGATGAGGTTTTTCTTTTTATTTTCTTCAACTTTTTTCTTGCATTAAATTAAATCTTGTCTCTTTCTTCCTCTTTTTGTACAATTTCTATTCACAGTTTTTGAATTTCTAATGTTACGTGTTTTTTAATACTCCAAATAAATGTTTGAGGGTATGTAGTTTTATTTGGAGTGTCGTGTTACAATTTTCTTCAGATTTGGAGTTTTTTGGGAATATTTTTATCAGGTGAAATATGTTTATTTGCATTTAAAAAAATTTTAGTAGCTTTGAATAGCGGAGTTCTGATTTCTACTAATTTTAGGTATTTTATAGAGGTTCCTGGTTTGAAATTATTCTCTTCTGTCAGTATAGTAAAATGCAGTTTTTAAATGAATGGCATCTTTGTGGTGGTTGGGAAGTGGAGCTGTTGGCATGTCTTCTGATTCTCTTTTATTTGTGCAGAATCACTACTTTTCCTCTCTTACTTCTTTTCTTTCACCTCCACATCTCAGAATGATGCTTCCCTCTCTCGATTTATCTTTGTAATCTTCCAAACATTTTTTTGTCTTCAAGACTGCCATGTCCAGTTTTGCCAAGTCCCCTGTAAGTAGTGCTGTGATCTACAAAGTTTCAGACTTGTCTTTATCATTTTAGTTCTTAGTATTTGATAGGGTTTGGTTCTGTATCCCCACCCAAACCTCATCTTGAATTGTAATCTGAATTGATATCCCCACACGTTGGGGGAGGGGGTTAGATCATAAGGGTGGATCCCCCATGTTCTTCTCACGATAGTGAGTGAGTTCTCATGAGATCCGATGGTTTTATAAGGGGCTTTCCCCCACTTTGCTCTGCACTTCTCTCTCCTGCCACCATGTGAAGAAGGATGTGTTTGCTTCCCCTTCTGCCATGATTGTAAGTTTCCTGAGGCTTCCCCAGCCATGCAGAACTGTCAGTCAATTAACCTCTTTCCTTTATAAATTACCCAGTTTGGGGTATTTCTTCATAGCAGCATGAGAATGGACTGACACAGTAAATTGGTACTGTAGAGAGTGGGGTGCTGCTATAAAGATATCCAAAAATGTGGAAGCAACTTTGGAACTGGGTAACAGGCAGAGATTGGAACAGTTTGGAGGGCTCAGAAGAAGACAGGAAAATGTGGGAAAGTTTGGAACTTCCTAGAGACTTGGAGAGCTCAGAAGACAGGAAGATGTGGAAAGTTTGGAACTTCCTACAGACTTGTTGAGTGGCTTTGACCAAAATGCTGATAGTGATATGGACACTGAAGTCCAGGCTGAGGTGGTCTCAGATGGAGATGAGAAACTTCTTGGGAACTAGAATAAAGGTGATTCTTGCTATGCTTTAGCAAAGAGACTGGCAGCATTTTGCCCCTGCCTTAGAGATGTGTAGGACTTTGAGCTTGAGAGAGACAATTTAGGGTATCTGGTGGAAAAAATTTCTAAGCAACAAAGTGTTCAAGAGGAAGCAGAGTGTATAAGCTTGGAAAATTTGCAACCCGATGATGTGATAGAAAAGAAAAACCCATTTTCGGGGGAGAAATTCAAGCTAGCTGCAGACGTTTGCATAAGTAATGAGAAGCCAAATGTTAATCACCAAGGCAATGGGGAAAATGTCTCCAGGGCATGTCGTGACAGCCCCTCTCATCACAGGCCTGGAGGCCTAGGAGGGAAAAATGGTTTCATGGGCCAGGTCCAGGGCCCCCCTGCTGAGTGCAGCCTTAGAACTTGGTGCCCTGCATCCCAGCTGTTCCAGCTGTGGCTAAAAGGAGCCAAGCTACAGATCAGGCTGTGGCTTCAGAGGGTGCAAGCCCCAAGCCTTGGCAGCTTCCACATGGTATTGGTCCTGCAGGTGTTTAGAAGGTAAGGATTGAGGTTTGGGAACCTCCACCTGGATTTCACATGATGTATGGAAATGCCTGGATGTCCAAGCAGAAGTTTGCTGCAGTGGTGGCACCCTCATGGAGAACCTCTGCTAGGGCAATGTGGAAGGGAAATATGGGATTCGAGCCTCCACACAAGAGTCCACACTGGGGCTTTGCCTACTGGAGCTGTCAGAAGAGGGCCACTATCCTCCAGACCCCAGAATGGTAGATCCACAAACAGCTTGCACCATGCACCTGGAAAAGCTGCAGACACTCAACAGCAAGCCATGAAAGCATCTGGGAGGGGAGCTGTATCCTGCAAAGCCACAGGGCTGGAGCTGCTGAAGGCTGTGGGAGCCTACCTCTTGCATCAGCATGATCTGGATGTGAGACATGGAGTCAAAGGAAATTATTTCAGCGCTTTAAGACTTAATTACTACCTCATTGGATTTTAGTCTTGCATGGGGCCTGGAGTCCCTTTGTTTTGGCCAATTTCTCCCATTTGGAATCGGTGTATTTACCCAATGCCTGTACCCCCATTGTATCTATTAATAGGAAATAATTAATCTGCTTTTGATTTTACAGGATCATAGGTGGAAGGGACTTGACTTTTCTCAGATGAGGCTATGGACAAATGAGTTAAGGCTTTGCGGAACTGTTGAGAAGGCATAATTGTGTTTTGAAATGTCAGAAAGACAAGATTTAGAAGGGTCTAAGGGCAGAATGATATGGTCTGGCTCTGTGTCCACACCCAAATCTCATCTTGAATTGTAATCTGAATTGTAATCCCCACGTGTTGGGGGAGGGACCTCGTGGGAGGTGATTAGATCATGGGGGCAGTTCTCTCATGCTGTTCTTATGATAGTGAGTGAGTTCTCATGAGATCTGATGGTTTTACAAGGGGCTTTTCCTCCCTTTGCTCTGCACTTCTCTCTCCTGCTGTTATGTGAAGAAGTATGTGTTTGCTTCCTCTTCCGCAATGATTGTAAGTTTCCTGAGGCCTCCCCAGCCATGCGGAAATGTGAGTAAATTAAACCTGTTTTCTTTCTAAATTACCCAGTCTTGGGTATTTCTTCATAGCAGTATGAGCACAGACTAATACAGCATTGGACCTTCTCTTTTGGGGAGTGATTTTGCCTGTGACTTGTCTATGATCTCTACTTATCTTTTCTCTTTTCCATGGAGTATCTTAGGACTGCCCTCCCACTATTCCTTACATCAATCATCTTGTAGTGGCAGCAGGAAATCTAATAATACCTCTGTTGGAATATAGTATTTTCTCCTCTACTTTTAAGTAATTTTAAGTTTGGAGTATTCTGTCTCCTGGGTCATGTATGGTTTATTTGTTCTTTTTGATCTTGTGATTTTTGGGAGGAGGGATGCACGAATTTACATTTAAGCACTGCCATTATTCTGGTGCCTATCAGAATTCCTGTGTATATCTTATTGTGAAGAAAAATTCTTATACATACAATAACAATGCCCATATAGAAAATTGGACAAAGTCAAGTTTCAAAGGAAAAAAAAACCCCAGTAACCAATAAATATATAATAAATATTCAATCTCACTAATAATTAAAAACACAAATAAAAACCATACCAATTTCTCACTTTCAGAATGAAAAATATTTGTTTTAAAAAATAATATCTAAACCAGGCATGGTGGTGCATTCCTGCAGTTTCAGCTATGCAGGAGGTTAAGGTGGTAAGATCACTTGAGCCTGGGATTTCAAGGCTGCAGTGAGCTATAATCACGTCTGGGAATAGCCATTGCACTTCAGCCTGGGCAATATAGTGAGACCCCATCTCTAAAAAAAAATAATAATTAATCTTGACAAGAGAGTAGGGAAGCTGACAGTTTCTTCTGTTGCCAAAGATAGCATAGGTTGGCACAATCTTTCTAGAGGGTAGTTTTTCATATAAACAACAATTTTAAAAGGCACATATACTTTTATTTAGTTATTTCGCTTTCAGATATTTATGTAAAGAAAATAGTTATCAAGCAACTAATAATGTAAATCAGTTATTAGGTAATTTTTTGATTTATAAAAATTTGTTATCAGATTAAATAGCCATCTACAGAGGTTTTTTCAACATTAAAAATGATGAAAATCTGTGTTTGCTGACATGAAAAAAGGTAATTACAAAATAAGATTATGTACTAATTTTGTATTTAAGTAAATGTTTGCAAATTCACACACAAATGTATACCTGCACACACACAGAAAAAATTCTGGAAGGAAATATACTAAAATTTTAGCCATTGTTGTCTTGGTGTGGTGAGATTATAGTTTATTTTTATTTTCTTCTTTCTAAATACTTTCCTAAATACCTTTCTTGTTAAAAGGCAGTTGGAACCAATTACTTCTGCATCAGAAATTTATTTTTATTAAAAAATTATGCTGCATATCTTGAGATGGCACTGAATTATGCTGATCCAGTTCAAGAATAATCTCTAAGGCATGGGTATCTATGAAGATAGATGGGTATCCATCTATCTTCAGAATAACCTTAAATGGATCTTTCAGGCAACTTCTTGACCCTAATAAATTCCAGTAGATTCTTGATACACTTGGGAGTTTGAATTAGTAGTATGTCTCTCCTTTTCCCACTCCCATTCCACTTAGTATATGAACCAGGTTGTTGACTGCAAATATTGCTAGAGAGTGGCTCCAAGCACAGCAGTATCATTTATCAATACTAGTATATCTAGAATGTATCAAAAGTAAAACAGTATTTAGTTGGTAGTAAAAAATAATTTATCAAACCTACACTGAGACATACCTCTCCTCTGTACCAAAAAGAAACATCATCTGCTGTGATTTTTTACAAGCCAAGTTGGGTAACGTTAACACTGATAAAAATAACCATGGTTTTCAACCAGTACATACAAAGGTAGAGAGTGCTATTTGGCCCTCTACAGCAAAACCTGTTTTTCCATTCTATCTTGTGGCTTCTTCCTCTTCCATGGTGCACTAGAAGGAGCCCTAGATGGGTATCAGGAGCTTTCTGTTGAGTGGCCCTAACGTGATACCAGACTTAGGACAAAGCACTTAATTTCCTTTGGAAATTTTTTAATGAAGCAATATATAGGAGATTGATGAGTGGATCTTTTAGATTTCCTAACAACTCTAATGTTCTTTGGGTCAAGAAATCTCTTTCATCGACTGGTGTAAATGCTGTGATACAAGTAGTCACACTTGTTTGATTTTGATTTTCCTTACTTCATCTGTGTGGGACTTAAGGATGATAAGTATAAATCATTTAAAAATTACTTCTCAATGCACACTCAATTATTAGAATGCAATGGATTAAGGTTTTAAAAAATGCTTTCAAAATTGTTTTAGCATCATTTTAACATTTGCAAAAGAATGGAAATTCCCTTTCTCAAGTAGAGACAACTACAGAATATATGTGGATTTCTTGTTCTGATAATTTTTTGCTAAGTTGTAATGCGTAGGCACGGCTTCGTGTCCATCTAATTTACCACTGTGGGAAGAGGAAGACAAGAAGCAGAAGGTATACTCATGGCTAGATAACATCTTTTCTACAAATTTATCTCTATTATCAGCCTGGAAATAAAATGAACGTAATTTAAAAATTAATATCTTTTTATTTTATTTATTGATTCTTTCTAGTCCTTGTTATGTAAAAGTATTTTTATAATACGTTTGTATTCCCTTTAATTATTCTAATTGCTTCTCTGTGTACCTTGGAGAAGTCATCTAAATGCATTGGCTTTGTTTTAGTCATCTGTTAAATCTGTTGGATAAGATGATCTAAGATACCTTCTTGCCCTAAGACTTTTATTTATACATCAAAACTGGTGATATTGATAAAAAGGAGTTTATAACTTTGTTCTTATTCCATATGTCCATTGTAGGATAATTAGCAAATAGAGATACAGAAATATGATGTATAATCTGAACACCCAATAATAACTATTGTTAATGTTACTATAGTGATGGCATATAAATCAGTTTTAACTCTAGTGTAAAGGTTCAAAGAAAAAATTAAAAATGATAATAGCTATAACACTTTATTAATGGATATACAATATAAAAATATGTAAATCGTGACACCAAAAACATAAAATGTTTAGGGGGAGTAGAAGTGTAGAGTTTTTCTACGTGATCTAAATTAAGTTGTTATCATCTAAAAATATACTGTTTCAACTATAAGATGTCCTATGTAAGCCCCCATGGTAACTACAAACATAAACCTATGGTAGATACACAAAAGAGAAAGAGAAAGGAATGAAAGCCACTGTATAAAATCATCAAATCACAGAGGAAGTCAGCAAGAAAGGAAGAAAGGAACAAATGCACTACAAAACACTCAGAAAACAATGAACAAAATGACAATAGTAAGCCCTTACCTAACAATAATTACTTTAAATGTAAATGGACTAAATTCTTCAATCAAAATAGAGAATGGCTAAATGGATAATAATTTTCTCTCTACCCCTTCATAATTCTTAACTGGACCTTCCTTTAATAAAGTCAGATTAACAAGAGAAAAACAAGTTTATTTGCATGGATATTTTATACATATGTAAGAGAAAATCTAGAGAAATTAGTAAATTTCTAGAGTAGATGTCAAAAAAGTTTTAGACTTCAGGCTTAAATACCTCTGCTCTCTGAAACAAAGAAAGAAGAGTGTGGGGAAATGCCTGGTTAAGAAGAGATGGCCAAGAAAAGCACCATAAAATAAAAGTAAGGTTTGTTATGCAGATTAAAGTCTATGCCTTCTCCATTGTATAGTAATTACTAATTACTATAAGTAACTAGTAATTTGTTTAGTGATACATTGCCTATGACTATCATTGTCTTCCTGGTGCAGAGAGGGAGACACCCTTACCAATGGAGGTTTTCTTTATAGATGCAAATTTCTTTGACAAAAGGGCAACTTTTCAGAGCTAATTCTGTGTCTGCAGTTTCTCAAAATAACCAGCTCAAAGTAATCAGTATGCAAAATAGTCATATTTTGGGGTGGCCTATTCTGGTCTCCTACAGTCATATTTTACAGTGGTGCATCCCAAGCCCCATCAGTTTGTTTACCCACTCACGAGTTAAATGACATGTATATGAATTTTTTCCAGTTTTGGAGATTATGACTAAAGCCACTATAAACATTTTCATTCACATTTCTGTTTGAACATGTTTTCATTTATTTTGTACCTAGGAGGGGTTTTGCTGGGTCATATGGTTGGTGTATGTATAACTTTTTAAGAAACTTTTGGGGGCATTCCAAGATGGCCGAGTAGGAACAGCTCCAGTCTGCAGCTCCCAGCGTGATTGACGCAGAAGACGGGCGATTTCTGCATTTCCAACTGAGCTACCTGGTTCATCTCATTGGGATTTGTTGGACAGTGGGTGCAGCTCATGGAGGGCAAGCTGAAGCAGGGCAGGGTGTTGCCTCACCTGGGAAGTGCAAAGGGTTGGGGGATTTCCCTTTCCTAGCCAAGGGAAGCTGAGTGACAGACTACCTGGAAAAATGGGGCACTCCCACTCAAATACTACGCTTTTCCCAAAGTCTTAGCAACTGGCAGACAAGGAGATTCTCTCTTGTGCCTGGCTTGGTGAGTCCCACGCCCAAGGAGCCTTGCTCACTGCTAGCGCAGCAGTCTGAGATTGATCTGCCAGGTGGCAGCCTGGCTGGGGAAGGGGAGTCCACCATTGCTGAGGCTTGAGTACGTAAACAAAGTGACTGGGAAGCTTGAACTGGGCGGAGCCCACCACAGCTCACAAGGCCTACTGCCTCTAGGCTCCACCTCTGTGGGCAGGGCATAGCTGAAAAAAAGGCAGCAGAAAACTTCTGAAGACTTAAACATCCCTGTCTGACATTTGAGCTCTGAGAACGGACAGACTGCCTCCTCAAGTGGGTCCCTGACCTCCGTGTAGCCTGACTGGGAGAAACCTCCCAGTAGGGGCCGACAGACACCTCATATAGGCAACTGCCCCTCTGGGATGAAGCTTCCAGAGAAAGGATCAGGCAGCAATATTTGCTGTTCTGCAATATTTGCTGCTCTGCAGCCTCCGCCGGTGATACCCAGGCAAACAGGGTCTGGATTGGAACTCCAGCAAGCTCCAACAGACCTGCAGCTGAGGGACCTGACTGTTAGAAGGAAAACTAACAAACAGAAAGGAATAGCATCAACATCAACAAAAAGGTCATCTACACCAAAACCCCATCTGTAGGTCACCAACATCAAAGATCAAAGGTAGATAAAATCACAAAGATGGTGAGAAACCAGAGCAGAAAAGCTGAACATTCTAAAAATCAGAGCACCTCTTCTCTTCCAAAGGATCGCAGCTCCTCGCCAGCAACAGAACAAAGCTGGACGGAGAATGACTTTAATGAGTTGACAGAAGTAGGCTTCAGAAGGTCGGTAATAACAAACTTCTCCAAGCTAAAGGAGGATGTTCAAACCCATTGCAAGGAAGCTAAAAACCTTGAAAAAATTTAGACAAATGGTTAACTCGAAGAAACAGTGTAGAGAAAACCTTAAATGATCTGATGGAGCTGAAAACCATGGCACGAGAACTTCGTGACGCATGCACATGCTTCAATAGCCAATTTGATCAAGTGGAAGAAAGGGTATCAGTGATTGAAGATCGAATTAATGAAATAAAGTGAGAAGACAAGGTTGGAGAAAAAAGAGTAAAAAGAAATGAACAAAGCCTCCAAGAAATATGGGACTATATGAAAAGAACAAATCTATGTTTGTTTGGTGTACCTGAAAGTGATGGAGAGAATGGAACCAAGTAGAAAACACTCTTCAGGATATTATCCAGGAGAACTTCCCTAACCTAGCAAGGCAGGCCAACATTCAAATTCGGGAAATACAGAGAACACCACAAAGATACTCCTCGAGAAGAGCAACCCCAAGACACATAATCATCAGATTCACCAAGGCTGAAATGAAGGAAAAAATGTTAAGGGCAGCCAGAGAGAAAGATTGGGCTACCCACAAAGGGAAGCCCATCAGACTAACAGAGGATCTCTCTGCAGAAACCCTACAAGCCAGAAGAGAGTGGGGGCCAATAGTCAACATTTTAAAGAAAATAATTTTCAACCCAGAATTTCATATCCAGCCAAACTAAGCTCATAAGTGAAGGAGAAATAAAATCCTTTACAGACAAGCAAATGCTGAGAGATTTCGAAACCACCCGGCCTGCCTTACAAGAGCTCCTGAAGGAAGCACTAAACATGGAAAGAAACAACTGGTACCAGCCACTGCAAAAATAGGCCAAATTGTAAAGACCATCGATGCTATGAAGAAACTGCATCAATTAGCAGGCAAAATAACCAGCGAACATCATAACGACAGGATCAAATTCACACATAGCAATATTAACGTTAAAGGTAAATGGGCTAAATGCCCCAATTAAAAGACAGAGACTGGCAAACTGGATAAAGAGTCAAGACCCATCAGTGTGTTGTAATCAGGAGACCCATCTCACATGCAAAGATGCACATAGGCCGAAAATAAAGGGATGGAGGAAGATCTGCCAAGTGAATGGAAAGCAAAAAAAAGCAGGGGTTGCAATCCTAGTCTCTTAACAAAACAGATTTTAAACCAACAAAGAACAAAAGAGAAAAAGAAGGACATTACGTAATGGGAAAGGGATCAATTCAACAAGAAGAGCTAACTATCCTAAATATATATGCACCCAATACAGGAGCACCCAGGTTCATAAAGCAAGTCCTTAGAGACCTACAAAGAGACTTAGACTCCCACACAATAATAATGGGACACTTTAATACCCCACTGTCAATATTAGACAGATCAACAAGACAGAAGATTAACAGGAATATCCAGGACCTGAACTCAGCTCTACAACAAGCAGACCTACTAGACATCTACAGAACTCTCCACCCCAAATCAATAGAATATACATTCTTCTCAGCACCACATCACACTTATTCTAAAGTTGACCACATAATTGGAAGTAAAGCACTCCTCAGCAAATGTAAAAGAACAGAAATCACAACAAACTGTCTCTCAGACCACAGTGCAATCAAATTAGAGTTCAGGACTAAGAAACTCACTCAAAACCACACAAGTACATGGAAACTGAACAACTTGCTCCTGAATGACTACTGGGTAAATAATGAAATGAAGGCAAAACTAAAGATGTTCTTTGAAACCAATGAGAACAAAGATACAGCATACCGGAATCTCTGGGACACATTTAAAGCAGTGTGTAGAGGGAAATTTATAGCACTAACTGCCCATAAGACAAAGCAGGAAAGATCTAAAATCGACAGCCTAACATCACAATTAAAAGAACTAGAGAAGCAAGAGCAAACAAATTCAAAAGCTAGCAGAAGGTAAGAAATAACTAAGATTAGAGCAGGACTGAAGGAGATAGAGACACAAGCCTTTCAAAAAATCAATAAATCCAGGAGCTGGCCTTTTGAAAAGATCAACAAAAATTGGTAGACCACTAGCAAGACTAATAAAGAAGAAAAGAGAGAAGAATCAAATAGATGCAATAAAAAATGATAAAGGGATATCACCACCGATTCCACAGAAATACAAACTACCATCAGAGAATACGGTAAACACCTCTATGCAAATAAACTAGAAAATCTAGAAGAAATAGATAAATTCCTGGACAAATACACCCTCCCAAGACTAAACCAGGAAGAAGTTGAATCTCTGAATAGACCAATAACAGGCTCTGAAATTGAGGCAATAATTAATAGCCTACCAACCAAAAACAGTCCAGGACCAGACGGATTCACAGCTGAATTCTACCAGAGGTACAAAGGAGCTGGTACCATTCCTTCTGAAACTATTCCAATCAATAGAAAAAGAGGGAATCCTCCCTAACTCATTTTATGAGGCCAACATCATCCTGATATCAAAGCCTGACAGAGACACAACAAAAAAAGGGAATTTTAGACCAATATCCCTGATGAATATCGATGCGAAAATCCTCAATAAAATACGGGCAAACTGAATCCAGCAGCATGTCAAAAAGCTTATCCACCACGATCAAGTCAGCTTCATCCCTGGGATGCAAGTCTGGTTCAACATATGCAAATCAATAAATGTAATCCATTACATAAACAGAACCAATGACAAAAACCACATGATTATCTCAATAGATGCAGGAAAGGCTTTTGACAAAATTCAGCAGCCCTTCATGCTAAAAACTCTCAATAAACTAGGTATTGATTGAACGTATCCAAAATAATAAGAGCTATTTATGACAAACCCACGGCCAGTATCATACTGAATAGGCAAAAACTGGAAGCATTCCATTTGAAAACTGGCACAAGAGAAGGATGCCCTCTCTCGCCACTCCTATTCAACATAGTGTTGGAAGTTCTGGCCAGGGCAATCAGGCAAGAGAAAGAAATAAAGGGTATTCAATTAGGAGATGAGGAAGTCAAATTGTCCCTGTTTGCAAATGACATGACTGTATATTTAGAAAACCCCATCATCTCAGCCCAAAATCTTCTTAACCTGATAAGCAACTTCAGCAAAGTCTCAGGATACAAAATCAATGTGCAAAAATCCCAAGAATTCCTATACACCATTAACAGACAAACAGAGAGCCAAATCATGAGTGAACTCCCATTCACAGTTGCTACAAAGAGAATAAAATACCTAGGAATCCAGCTTACATGGGATGTGAAGTACCTCTTCCAGGAGAACTACAAACCACTGCTCAACGAAATAAAAGAGGACACAAACAAATGGAAGAATATTCCATGCTCATGGATAGGAACAATCAATATCATGAAAATGGCCATACTGCCCAAAGTAATTTATAGATTCAGTGCCATCCCCATCAGGCTACCAATGACTTTCTTCATAGAATTGGAAAAAACTACTTTAAAGTTCATATGGAACCAAAAAAGAGCCTGCATTGCCAAGACAATCCTAAGCAAAAAGAACAAAGCTGGAGGCATCATGCTAACTGACTTCAAACTGTACTACAAGGCTACAGTAACAAAAACACCATGGTACTGGTACCAAAACAGATATATAGACCAATGGAACAGAACAGAGGCCTCAGAAATAACCACACATCTACAACCATCTGATCTTTGACAAACCTGACAAAAACAAGAAATGGGGAAAGGATTCCCTATTTCATAAATGGTGCTGGGAAAACTGGCTAGCTATATGTAGAAAGCTGAAACTGAATCCCTTCCTTACACCTTATACAAAAATTAATTCAAGATGGATTAAAGACTTAAATGTTAGACCTAAAATCATAAAAGCCCTAGAAGAAAACCTAGGCAATACCATTCAGGACATAGGCATGGGCAAGGACTTCATGACTAAAACACCAAAAGCAATAGCAACAAAAGCCAAAATAGACAAATGGGATCTAATTAAATTAAAGAACTTCTGTATGGCAAAAGAAACTACCATCAGAGTGAACGGGCAACCTACAGAATGGGAGAGCATTTTTGCAATCTACCCATCTGACAATGGGTAATATCCAGAATCTACAAAGAACTCAAACAAATTTACAAGAAAAAAACAACCCCATCAAAAAGTGGGCAAAGGATATGAACAGACAGTTCTCAAAAGAAGACATCTATGCAGCCAACAGACACATGAAAAAATGCTCATCATCACTGGTCATCAGAGAAATGCAAATCAAAACCACAACGAGATACCATCTCATGCCAGTTAGAATGGCAATCATTAAAAAGTCAGGAAATTACAGATGCTGAAGAGGATGTGGAGAAATAGGAACGCTTTTACCCTGTTGGTGGGAGTGTAAATTAGTTCAACCATTGTGGAAGACAGTGTGTTCATTCCTCAAGGATCTAGAACTAGAATTACCATTTGACCCAGCAATCCCATTACTGGGTATATACCCAAAAGATTATAAATCATGCTACTACAAAGACACATGCACATGTATGTTTATTGCGGCACTATTCACAATAGCAAAGACTTGGAACCAACCCAAATGTCCATCAATGATAGACTGGATTAAGAAAATGTGGCACATATACACCATGGAATACTAAGCAGCCATAAAAAAGGATGAGTTCATGTCCTTTGTAGGGACATGGATGAAGCTGGAAACCATCATTCTCAGCAAACTATCACGAGGACAGAAAACCAAACACCGCATGTTCTCACTCATAGGTGGGAATTGAAGAATGAGGTCACTTGGACACAGGGCGGGGAACGTTACACACTGGGGCCTGTTGTGGGGTGGGGACCTGGGGGAGGGATAGCATTAGGAGAAATACCTAATGTAAGTGATGTGTTGATGGGTGCAGCAAACCAACTTGGCACATGCATGCCTAGGTATCAAACCTGCCCGTTGTCCACATGTACCCTAGAACTTAAAGTATAATTAAAAAAAAAAGAAACTTCTAAATCATTTTCCAAAGTGGCTAAATCATTTTTCATTTCTAGGAGCAACGTGTAAAATTCTAATTGCGTAGCACCTATGTCAGCACTTGATATTTTCATCTTTGTTTCTTGCCAATCTAATAGATACATATTGGTATCTCATCATGGTTTTAATTTGCATTTACCCAACGACTAATGATGTTTAACATCTTTTAATGTGCTTATTTGACATTTTTTTTTTTTTTTTTTTTTTTTTTTGAGACGGAGTCTCGCTCTGTCGCCCAGGCTGGAGTGCAGTGGCGCGATCTCGGCTCACTGCAAGCTCCGCCTCCCGGGTTCACGCCATTCTCCTGCCTCAGCCTCCCGCGTAGCTGGGACTACAGGCGCCCGCCACCACGCCCGGCTAATTTTTTTGTGTTTTTTTAGTAGAGACGGGGTTTCACTGTGTTAGCCAGGATGGTCTCGATCTCCTGACCTCGTGATCCTCCCGCCTCGGCCTCCCAAAGTGCTGGGATTACAGGCATGAGCCACCGTGCCCGGCCTTATTTGACATTTTTATATCTCATTTGGTAAAGTGTTTAAATCTTTTGCCCATTTTTATATTCTTTTATTAAATTTTGAGAATTCCTATATTTTTGATTTAAGCTCTCTTTCAGATATGTGTTTTGGAAATATTTTTTTCCAGTCTGTGGATGGTTCTTTCATTTTCTTTACAGTGTCTGATGAACAAAAGTTTTAAATTTTGATAAAATTCAGTTTCAGCTTTTTCTTTTGTGTATCACGCTTTTTGTGTCGTGTCTTAGAAATCATTGCCTAACCCAAGGTCACGATTTTTTCCTGTATTTTCTTTTAGAAGTTTATAGATTGGTTTTTACATTGAAGTCTATGGTTGATATTAGGTGAATATTTATATACATATGGTATGAAGTATGAATCAAGATTCAGTCTTTTGTATATGGGTGTCCATTTGTTCCAGTATGATACTTTATTGCATTATCTTTGATATATTGTATTTTGATAAATAACATAAACCAGTAATCTGCATATATTGTCAAATGCTAGTTCATAAGCTTCTTTGGCTGGATTTGTTTTGTGTCACATGTGTAGCTAAGATAACAAACTATGCTTGAAGAGGATAATCGGTGCTTCTTAGGGCAGGTTGAATTTTCACATTTTTCTCCAATGTATCAGCACACATTCCACTTTATTTTGTGAGCTGACCCATTTAGAAGTCCTGACCTCCCTTAGAAAAAAAGCAAAACGTACTCTTTACTTTTGGGTTTGCTTAGTTTAAAGCTTTTCATAATTTTAAAACCAAAACTAGAATAAATTCCTAATTGATGGCTCTTTGGAATTTAGAATGCACTTTTGCATAGAAGTAATGTTTGTAAATGATGGTCATTCATAAAAGAAAAACTTCAGCATAATTAAATTTAAAGGAGTTTAATTGAGGAATGAGCAATTCGCAAATCAGGCAGCCTCCCGAGCCAGAGCAGGCTCTGAGACTCCAGCGCAGCTATGTAGGGGAAGAAGATTTATGGACAGAAAAGGGAAAGTGACATACAGAAAAGGGAAAGTGACGTACAGAAAATGGAAGTGAGGTACAGAAATAGCCAAATTGGTTACAGCTTGGCATTTGCCTTATTTGAACACCGTTGAAACAGTTGTCTACAGTTGATTGGCCAAAACTTGGTGATTGGCACAAATGTAGGCTACAGTTGGTTTACACTTCCACTTACTATAGTTCACAATGTACGGCAAAACCTTTAGGCCGAACTTAAAATATGTAAGGAGGTTTAGCTTTAGGCTAAGCTTGATTTAACATTACATACCCAGACTATCTTATAAATATTTGATTTATCTATCATGAAGAAGAAATACTATTTATAACAAGGATAAAACCAGCAAGTACATGGACCCCTGTGGAAGTTTTGATGAGAAATTACTGAAAAGATTTTAAGTATTATAGACACTGGTTCTTAAGTAGAACAAATTTAATCCCCAAGAATATGGCTTTCCTTTTTCTTGATACAGCAGCATGATTATTTTATGCATTACTCATGATGGTGTGGAGATGAGTGATAGTCATTAAATACTGA
This sequence comes from Homo sapiens, assembly GCF_000001405.40. Lineage (NCBI taxonomy): Eukaryota > Metazoa > Chordata > Mammalia > Primates > Hominidae > Homo > Homo sapiens. The sequence continues at coordinate 53,432,000 of NC_000014.9, forward strand.
TTATGTGCAATTAGATAAGGCTTTTCTTAAGTCATCTCATTCCTCTAAGAACTCTGTGAAGTAGCAAATTTATCTCCATTTTATGGATTTGAAAACTGACATTTAGAAAGGCCATACAATTTGCTCAACATCTCACAATTAATGCATTGGCTCTGGAATTAAAATTCAGTTCTGTCTGATTTCAGAGCTCACTATTCTCTGATGATTGGGTGAACATTTTGGCTAGTGAAATAAATGATGAAGGGAGAGAGATCCTCCTTCAAAGAGAGAGGATTGAGGAGAAAGGGAGTTAAAGGAGATGAGTGTATGTAAGTGAAAAAGGTTAAGGGAGAATTGAATGAACCCTGAGTGATGACTTAATAGAGGTAGATATATTCTGCCAAAAAGTCCTTGAAGAGGAATAAAAGAATAGGGTGTAGAAAAGGGAAGTCAAATAAAGGAGTTCTACCTTCTGACCACTAGGTGACACCATTGACAGAGAACACCTTGGCTGCTGTCTGGAGGTTGGTGGTGAGGGTGGTGGGGGGTGGTGCGTGAGGCAGGGAGCCAGGGAGAGACAGTGAAGAAGGTTTTAGGAGTAAGTTGCAGGTCATCCACATAAGGGACATTTGAAGCAGTCAGAAGTGATGTCAGTCACATGGAGAGTGCCTTATGGAGAAAGGCGTCCAAAGTGTATAGCCTGTTCAGGTGTCACTGTTGATCTTAATGTGAATCATTTCTATTTCTACCAAACACCAAGTAGGGAGGCAGTGTCAGTATAGGGATTAAGAGCAAGGAATCTGGAGCTTGGCTTTATAGGTCTGGAACCTGGCTCTGCCACCACCAACTCAGGCAAGTCACCCAATCTTTCTAAGCCTCAGTTCCTTTCTCTGTAAAAGGGATATAACAATATCTACCTCAAAGAGATGCTGTGCAGATTAAATGAAATGATAAATGTAAAGCACTTGGTATGGTGCCTTCCCCAAAACATACTTGTTTAATGCTGTCATTATTGTTAGGTAGAATTTTTTTTTTAAAAAGACAGCTAAATTAAAATTAAAATGAATGAATTAATACATTTCCAGAACAGTAAGAGACAGGTTTTTTAGTTCAGATAATGCAATTTCTTTTGCTTTTGTTGATTGTACACAAAACACTATCAGTTTAGAGGAGCACTGCATTTTAACTTCTTATATGCTTTTTAATTTCTTAATTGAAAAAAGCTCTATTCTTGCATATTTTGCTAAGAGATCACATAAATATTGTAGCATTCATGGTCAACTCTAGGCAAAATTTCAAGATGGTGAAATTCATCCTTGATGCGTTCTCAGCTCTCAATTCCATCTTTGTGCCCTTCAGTCTCTCTTCCCCACCTCCATTCTTCTCAACCTTCCTTTCTCTTCTCCTAATATTTCTAATGATCTTAATCTGCTCTTCAGCTACCACTGACCACTCTAAGAAACACCCCAGAAATGCGTTTCCTCTCGTGTCTTCCCAATCCAAAACTTTAAAGTTACTTCTTTCTTGTTCACCTCATTCCCCACAGACTCCAACTCAGTCAATCCTTCTATTTTTGGAGATCAAAAACTGGATTTGACTAACTAATAATAAATAGAGAACGAACAGATATTTTTACCATCCCCAGGAGTGTTCACATTTTGTGAAGACTTTTTAACTGAGATAAACCTGTAGCAGATTGTGTGTCAAGCCATATGAGAAACTTAAATGAAGAGTTTTGGGTATTCTGAAGGAGGGCTTAGGAATGGAGTGACTTTCCTTAAGGTGGCCCTAAGCACTAAGGTGGCCACCAAGGAAATACAGATCATTGAAAATTCCCCAAAACTCAGAGATTTTCATTTACTCAGTAATTTAAAATTCTTGCTAAGCTTTTTGAAAGTGTTGTTTGCAATTGGAAAAATTCTCTTTAATTGCTTTGTCTCTCTTATTTTACAGTGTCTCAACACTATTAGTGTGGCAGAAGCCCCTGGTTACTTTCCCATAGCCATTCTCCTTTCTTTCCACAGTAATACAACCCTTAATTTTATAACGGTCATAATAAAAACCACATTCCCCAGCTTCCCTTGCAGCTAAGAGTAACCTTGTGTTTACCTTTTGGACAATAGAATGCAAACAGGAATGTCATTTGCAACTTAAGGAGTATCCTTACAGGAAAGGGCTTACAGTTCTTCCCCTTTCTCTTTCCAGTTGGCTGGAAGGCAGATATAAAGACTAGAGCTCTAGACAGCATTTTGAATCAGGCTACTGAAATTCATTCCTTATAGGGGACACAACAGCAAGTGGGCATGATCCTGGTTACATGATGAACAAATCAAGTTACTGTACCAGCTTTGGACTGCTCATTTCTGGAACTTGGAAATAATAGAACACTTTGTGTGTTTAAGCCACTATTGTGTTTTTTATCACGTACAGCTGAATTTAATTCAAGCTACCTGTCGCTGATAGAAAGTTATAGGTGAGGCCAGGTGTGGTGGCTCACGCCTGTAATCCCAGCACTTTGGGAGGCCGAGGTGGGCAGATCACGAGGTTAGGAGTTGGAGACCAGTCTGGTCAACATAGTGAAACCCCGTTTCTACTAAAAATATTAAAAATTAGACAGGTGTGATGGCGGGCACCTGTAATCCTGGCTACTCGGGAGGCTGAGGCATGAGAATTGCATGAATCCTGGAGGCGGAGGTTGCAGTGAGCTGAGATCATGCCATTCCACTTCAGCCTCGGCGACAGTGCGAGACTCCGTCTCGGAAAAAAAAAAAAAGAAAGAAAGGAAAAGAAAGTTATAGGTGAATTAAATAACCTGCTCATGGATAATTCTCAATACAAGAAAAGTTTAATTCAAATTCACTAAGACAATTAGGTGACTTTTTTTTGCAGTTAGTATCTGTAATACATGGCCTTAACCTGTTAGCAGTGGAATCTTCTATTCTGATGCTGTAGAGACCAGTGCTATTCAATAAAACTTTTATGATGATGGAAATGTTTATGTCCTGGTTATTCCTGGAAAAGCCACTAGTCACACATGGCTATTGAGCACTTGAAATGTGGTTTTTGTAACTAAGGAACTAAATCTTAAATTTTATTTGTTTTAATTAATTTAAACTTAAGTAGTTACATGTGGCTTGTAGCTCTGATTCTGAGAGTTTGGCACATACTCAACATACTCAACTTGTCCACAGTTTTTCTTCATTTGAGCTACATTTTAAGCAAAGAAACTGAATGCTGTAAATGATCAATGGGTTGGTGAAGCCAGTTACAGCTAATGAAAGCTGCCTCTTAGATGGAGTGAGAATTGAAGGAAGGCTAAAACAGTTTCCGTTTTCTCCCACAAGAAGAATATGCCAATTACATTGACCTTAAATGTTTCACAATGGAATATTTTAGGATCTTAAAACATGGAAAGCTCAAATACAGATGTGTTCCTCTGGTAGCAGCCTTCAGAAGCCATAGGTGATGCGTGGTAGATTTTGTTTCTCCTCCATCCCTGACAAAATTGACTCTTGATTTTGTGCTATTGCGTTAGGGGTCACACTGATTCCCAGGCTTATCTCCTTGCTTCTGCTAAATTACAAGACTTCTTTCATGTATTTCAGGTGTTTGTGGAGGTTTCTGGGCTCTGCTATAGGTGGTGGCACAGCATGAGCATGGCTGTTTATTCCAGTCTCCTTACAGTCAGTTGTAAAACTGTAAATGGCTAAAACAAACAACCTTTGCTATCACCTATTCTATTAACAGCCCTTAGGACCAGGGCTGTCATTAGCAAAGTAGACCCTGCTTCTATTCTAACTTTGGACTACAATCAGAAGATTTGCAGCAGTTAATGAGGTGAAGTCAGGTATATTGGCTTCTGTATGGATGTCAGGGAACTTGCCTTTAAAGACTGCTTCCAGATTTAGAAATAAATGCTGTAATTCCAAAAAAGTAAAAGTCTTTACTAAAGATGACACCTGCTATACATATGTGTACAGTGCTGTGCCAAATGCTGTAATTTTCTGAGCAAGTTGATTTTCTGGCTTATTAATTATTCAGTAGAGGGGTCTCTCTGAGTCTCTGCTTGGATTCTAGAGATTAACTCTTGGCAGATAATAGAGAAATTGTGTGAGTGGCTCTATTTTCCAAAGGCCAAAAAATGGAGTTCTGAATTGACCTTATTTTTCTTATGCCTGTCTTTCCCTCCTTTCCTATCCAAACAAGCACTGACTGTGTAGCTCAGGGCAGGCTATCTTTGTTACCGCAGTTAAGGTACACCTGGAAAATTTCTGTTCCCTTTGTGGGCACAGAGAGTTTTGTGTCATCCAGATTTATGGTCAACTCCCGACTCTACCACTTACTAGCTGTGTCATCCTCGGTAATTTCTAAACTTCTCTGTGCTTTGGTTTCAATAAAATGTAGGTGATAACAGCTCCTTTGTGCAGGGTCATCATGTGTTTATGTGTGCTAAGGTAATTTAATGTGGTTAGTATTACACCTGCAACATAGTAAGCATTCAGTACATGGCATAGTTATTGTCATACACTCTTTCAAATTAGTGAACAAATGCATTATTATTATTCTTTTCATCAGAAAGCATTCAAGTGCCCACTGAGACATATTCTCCTTCCTGCTGTCCCTCTTCACTGTGTTTTGGAAATGAACAAGGAAGCTGGAAACAGAATTGCTACCGACATCCGTCTTTCAATAGGAGAAGAATCAGTCTAAGGAACAATTTGACATATAAAGGAGAATAAATCTGAGAGAAGCAGAGCCAGGGTTCTGATCAAACCATACCTGAAGCCCATGTTACTGCTGATCTATTCCCTTAGTCAACAAGTAAATTATTTTTATTGTCAGTTTGGCTTGGTTGATCTGTCCTTGCAGCCTAAGTGATGCATGAGCGAATGGAGAAATGAACTAGTTGCTACATAGAAGCTTGAGGTCAGGTTGAAATTAGGGGCTCAAACTAGATATGAAACCCAGGGCATGGAAATGGTCACAGTGCCTCTTGAATAAGAAGCGCTACTTCAAATTGGAATGTTGATGTAACAGAATCAAGAGATAGTATTCTCAGGGCTTGGTCAGCAAGGTCTGAAGGTTCAAAATGTGGCTGTGTTGTAAACTACTGAGAAAGCCAGTGGGGAGAAGAGATTTCCCTAAGACAGTCTGACAACTATGTTCCGTCTCATGCTAGAGATACCTGGCTGCTAGTCAAAGGCCTTCCTAGAAGGTGCTAAGAGAGTAAAGGGATATCCAAAAAAAAAAAAAAAAAAAGTAAAAATAAAGAGAGATAATTAAGAATCCTCAATTATCCTCAGAAAAGAAGTAGTAAAATATGAAAAGAGTATGGACTTTGTAGTCACACTTGGTTTTAAATTCTGGCTCTGCCATTTTCCGGCAAGTTATCTAACAAGTTGAACCGTATTTCCATTTGTAAAAATAAGAGAAAAATAGTAACACCTTCTTTGAGGATTGTTGCAAATAGTAACGTGATATTTTTATGTAAAGTCTGGAACATAGAAAAAATTGATTAAGAAAGAACAGTTATTATTATTTGTTATTAATAGTACTAGGACTGTGCCTGTTGGTAGAACTCTTGGGCTATTTAAAAGATGGGTGGGCTGCATGATTTTGCAGCTTTAGCTGGAAAGCGTCCTGGTGTACAATGATCACATGATTATTCACCATTGGGATTCTCTTGGTAATTTTTATACCTCTCATGCCAACCTTTAGGGAAGAGAGAGAAACCATTCTTGGTTACAATAGTTTCTAATTTCCACTTGACCCAAACTTTGCAACAGTTGTTTTACTGGAGTCATACTTGGTTCTCTGGAAAGACATGGGAACAAGTACTGAAATTGCAGTACCAGGTACGTAGTAGGTTCTCAATAAATGCTACCTGAAGTCTGGGTGTCACCAGAGATGACAATTAAAGGATACTTTGGGAAGGGCCCTGGAAGATATAAATATTCCATATTCTGTTACTGTTTCCACATTTTTAAGACCTTTGGGCCCTGAGTTCATTTATGTTCTGGAGTAGAGTCCAACCTCCCTGTGAAAAAGACAAATAAGTTGATTGTAGCCTACCTCATGTAGCAATGGTTCTGCTCAAAGTTTCTCAGAGCTCAAGCCTGTACAGAGGGCCAAGGGTTAGTGGAAAGTTTGCTGTTGTTGTTAGCTCACTCTGTGGCCTAAGGCAAGCCATTTAATCTCTTGGTGTCTGAATTTCCTCATCTGTGAGCCAGGGATAATAATACTTCCTACCTCACAGGTGTGTTGGGGGCATTAATTAATGTTTGTCTAGTGCTCAGGGATCTGTGATGAAAGGCAAGCATCATTATTGTTGGTTTGCTGCAGGCAAGACTAGATTATAGTCCTCCAGATGGGTTGCATATGGGAAGTGGTTTTAGCAAAAGATTTTCCCAAATGAAATGCAGGCTTTAAGGTTTGGGGCCACTTCAAAAGAAAAGGTGCCAGTAGAACTTCATCCTTTCTCTCTTGCATCCCAGCACTATCCTTTACCGTATTTGACAAGAAGCATTTAGCTAGTTTGTTTCAGAAGTCTCTGCTCTGCATGGAATTGTAAAGATCCAGATTAACTAGATGCGGTTATTTTTACAGAAAACTCTTAATTCCTTGTGAAGAATATTTAGTGTATAGGGACCATTTAGTGTGTCTATCCTATGATAAACAAGATTAAAAAGCCATTGTTTTAACAGCACCAGTGGACAAGTCAAACAGGCAAGAGGTTTCAAGCTTTTCATTTTGTTTTGTTTTGTTTAGCTCCCTCTTCCCTGCCACCCACTATTTAAAAAATAGCTTTCTACACTAAAGAGCATTGGTGTGTTCTTGAAAATTTTTAAAGAGGAACATTTGAGAAAGGAGTTCTGGTGAAATAGTGAGTAGAGTGTCTGGATACATTAAGGCCTGGAAGGAACTGGCAAAGAAGAAAATCTCTTCTCTGAGTGCTAGACAAATTTTTGTTTTCCAAATATTTGAAAAATTGATACAATTAGTACATATGTCAAGTTAAAGGTCAAAGATAACTTTTCTTTTACCAAGAACAGAAGTGTATTTTCTCTTATAAATATAGAAGAGAGCAAAATGAAATATTTTGTTAATATTATCAATTCAGATAATATGAGAAATAGGAAGAATCTTCTTGTTGGTTAAATTCATGCTGCTGAAAACCTGCTGGAACAAAAATTCCAAGGCAGAAATGTAAGTGATGATAGCCCTGTTACTGCATTTGCTTCTGTTATAAAGCAACCAGTATTTTATTCAGCACATATTTATTGAGTGTACTCTAAGTTTGAGGCACTGTTCTGGGCAATGGGAAATGAGCAGTACAGATAGGGTCTCTGTTCTCATGGAGCTTACATTTTGGTGGAGGAACACAAGAGCACACCAGAAAACAATTATAAATGCAGAGAACCAAAATGATGAGACAGAGAGTTTAATGGAGTGACTAGAAAGCCCTCTCCAGGAGGTGGCTTTAAGCTGGTAAGGCCCCTAGGTATGAGACAGTGTAAGACAATGTTAGAAAACAACTTTGTTGTAATAAGGCTTTCAATTGGTATGGGATACAGCTTGGGATTCATATTAGTCCATTTTCATGCTGCTGATGAAGACATACCTGAGATTGGGTAATTCCTAAAGAAAAAGAGGTTTAATGGGCTTACAGTTCCACGTGACTGAGGAGGCCTCACAATTGTGGTGGAAGGTGAAAGGCACATCTTACATAGTGGCAGGCAAGAGAGAAGAGAGTCAAGCAAAAGGGGAAACCCCTTATAAAATCATCAGATCTGGACTTACTCACTACCGCGAGAACAGTATGGGGGAAACTGCACCCATGATTCAATTATCTCCCACTGGGTCCCTCCTACAACACATGGGAATTATGGGAATTACAATTCTAGATGAAATTTGGGTGGGGACACAGCCAAACCACATCAGGATTCTAGCATATCATTCCAATGTGGTGTCCAATTATTTCTTCTTAATTTAGATTCCTCCATCATCTACTGTGTACAAAGGAAAGTGGATTATGTTTGGAATCATCAAGTTAGGGTGGTTGACTGGTGCTCTAGAAAGGACTGAGGACCATGTTGGGAGACCTGGTTGGTCCTGGATCTTCCACTATCTTGCTGGGTTAGTCGTGCAGTCTCATTATACTTCGGTTGGAAAAAAAAAAAAGTGAGGTGCTTCTAGGAAGAATATAAAGCATGAGTCAATTATTGTAAACCCTTTGTTTTCATAAATCTGTGAAAAGAAAGCTGCAAAAACCTAAAAAGTGCTTATATTAGTAGCTTGAAAATTTAGGATAATTAGGTAGAGAGCTGGGTTCAAAAGTTAGATATCATTAGTACTTTTATAATGAGTTTTTAAAATTCTTTATGTCTTTTTTAGAAAATGGGAGTCTTTTTAAAAACCTACAGTAGAGGGTTTTCCAAACATTAGAAAAGTAAATAATCATTACTACTATGTTTGTAATTTCTTTACTTTTGAGTTTTTCCTGCTTTCACAAACTTCCAGAAGTGAATACTTGTGAAATGTCTTAAAGTTCTTAAAGTTAAGCATTCCTTTTGCAACAAAAATTGAACTGTTAAAAGTAAATTCAATAAGTAAATTTAGAAAATGATTTATACTCTAATATCCCAAACTCTTCACAAGGAATTAAGAATTTTCTTCAACAATAATATCCCAAACACAATTTTATGAGCAAGTGAGATTATGCATATTTTTGTCTACAAACTAACAAAGTGACACTAACAGCATTACCTTCTGTAGTGCTTAACACTTTTCAAAACAATTTTATTTCATTTAATCCTTACAACTGCTTTGGAATTAAATTGGACAGAATTTATTATTCCTGCTTTAGATAAGAAGCTCAAGAGTTAGAATTTCCCTGGAGTTGCACAGCTGGTAACTTAAGCTTGAATCTAGGATCCTGCTGCTGTCTAGAGTTTCTACTTCTAAAAATGGGTATACCCCTAACCTAGGTTTCTCTTCTGTATTTCTGGGTTTTTTTTTTTCAGGATTCCAAACTACTTTCAAGAATTTTCTAGAAGGCTTTGAGGCTGATGTGTGGCACACGAGTTTATAAATAAGTTTGGGAAGCTATAGTGATTCTGCAACTTGCATCCCTTCTGCTGCGTTCCTGCTCCTTGGTGTCCTACATGTCTGTCTGGCACATCCGTCACTTTTGTGGGACACTCTTACCTATGGCCAGGGTGAGACCTGTGTTGGATGTGTTGGATGTTTCCCTTGTTTTTAGAAAAACCTAGGCAGGAATGGTACATCTCATTTTTAGTTCATTTAACTATATTGTGGCAATGTAAAACTAAGACCAGACACTTTTAAAAACATTTTTTTCATGGAGTATCAAATTTTAACAATGTGATTTCTAGTATCTGATTACCTTTGGCTTACTGTCAGTAAACGTAATGTTTAGAGTGATGAAGAACAAATAACATAACTTTGAACCACCCTCCAGACCTTATATTCTACCGCGGTCACAAAATATTAGACCTTTCCATTAGAATATGATGGAATGATTATGTGCAAGATTTTGAGACACTACTATAAGATCTGCTAAATACATCTACAGGTCAAAGATTGGGGGGGGGAATAATCTACTTGAAAGCTGTGGAGAAAAGATGGACGAAACACAAGGGAATAAATAAGAGTTGAGTTTAGAGAGAAGAACCAGACATGATTTTGTTCAAAATTTCATTCTTTATTAGCAATAAATTAAAATAAGGTGGATTTTTTTGATGAGTCATAAGATAGATGTTGCATGAAAGGGCAGTGGAATCAACAGGCACAAAATAAGATGGCCAAACATGGAAAAATGATCATAGGTAGATCATTTGTTCCAGTTGCCTTTTATCTTTTACACCTGTGTTTGAATTCACCCAAACTTGCGTAAATCCTTTACACAGCTGTCGAAATTGCACCTGAAAAAAGGCTGAAGTAGTCTCAGACGGGCTAACATTTCATCATCCTGAATACTTAAACCCAAACAGGTTTAAACACTTTGCCAAACCCAAGGATAACGGGCTTCCCATTGATCTTCGCTCTGCTCAAATGTTCAACTGTGTGTGCCAAAATGTACACTGCAGACTGCATTGTGTCGATTCCAACAATTTTTAGCTGCAGACAAGCTCAAAAACAAAGTTTTAAGGATGGCAGGTCTCCTTTAAAATCTACAAAGAAACACATACTTTCATATATGTAATTAGATAAAGAGCAGTTGGCCGTTTGTACAAACAGATCTTCTAAATTTATTTTTTCTTGTAAACAAATAGTTTAAATTTGTATAATTCGAAAAGAGCTAGTCACATTTCTGGTATTTTCACTGGACTATTTCTGATGTGTAATCTGACCTCCACAATCTTATCACCTTTAATTTGGGGTCTATAATTAATTTTTTCCATTAATAAATTATAAACGTATATATCAACATTGTAATGAAATTCACACAGCACAGAAAGATATAGAGCTAACAGTACAAGTCCTCCTTTACTCTGTTTCCTCAAAACTCCCCTCCCCAGAGGTAACCTCTTTCAACAGTTTGATGTATATCCTTCCAGATCTTTTGTAAAATGCATTAATTTGCATGTGTGTGTCTGTGTAATTATGAATAAATTTTATCATAACATACTGTGAATAAATTCTATCATAACATTCTGCCATTATCTTTTCCTTAGAATATCATAATGTATTATCAATCTTTAAAAATTTGTCCAGCCTAATCAGTGAAAGGTGGTATCCCCGGGTATAGGATTTTCTCTGGGTGGGGACTAGATGCACTTAAACTATTTTCTTCAAACTTAATTCTTCACTCTCTGCTTCCTTGTTCATACTAGCAAAAGTTGGGAGGCTCTTTTTCTGGCTAAACATGGCATTAAGAGGAAGTGAATCTGAAAGTTGACCCTGAGGAAAATTTGGGGCTTGTCTTCATTATGGAAAAAAGAAAGGAAATTCCACGTAAGGGAGCTTTTTTCTCTGTGCAAAGCCATAGAAACCTGAGTGCCTTCCTGTTTTCTTGGTCCAAACTATCTGGAGCTATCTTCAAGGCTAACCTGATCCGTGTTTTTTCCACTGTGCTCTCACTAAGGACTACATTCAGTTATACATGTATATTTTATTTTTGAGACAGAGTCTCGCTCTGTCGCCCAGGCTGGAGTACAGTGGCAAAATCTCAGCTCACTGCAACCTCCGCCTCCTGGGTTCAAGTGATTCTCATGCCTCAGCCTCCTGAGTACCTGGGATTATAGGCGTGCACCACCACACCAGGCTAATTTTTGTATTTTTAGTAGAGACGGAATTTCACCATGTTGGCCAGGCTGGTCTCAAACTCCTGACTTCATGTGATCCACCTGCCTTGGCTTCCCAAAGTGCTAGGATTACAGGTGTGAGCCACCAAGCGCAGCCCAGTTCTACATTTTAATGGGCTTCCCATATGGCATGCTTCCATACCCCTGCTGGAATGTTTATTTCTCTTCCTCAAAAGGAGTTTCTTCCTAAGGGAAAAGATGGATTTCCCTCAGTTTGGCAGAGAAGTCCCCAGAGCAGACCCTTGACTGAACTTTGTAAGTTGATTTGAAAATAGTTATAGAGAGATTTGGCTGCTGGGGGGGGAACTTGAGAGAAACCTGATTGGCAAGATAATCACCAGGCCATTGAAGATGGCATTGGTGGGAAGCTGAGGGTTAGTGGGTGTGATAGAGTCAAAAGACAAATTGATGTAAGCAGCATATCTCTAATGTTGAATAATGAGGTTGAAAACCTGACGATGCAACAATGCTTTTAGTATTTGGCTTTTGGATCTGAGCCAGAATAAATTAAGGAGAGAGTCCTGATAAAATGAAGTGACCTTCATTAATTTTGTCACCATGTGCCATTTATTGTCTTTCAGCTTCAAGCCCACCCTTCTATATTCTTTAATTGATGCTGAGACTGGGCCCTTGCAAACAAGTTGGCTTTGCCAACTGGCTCCCTATGAGGCTTTGCCATTGGGGGATGCTAAATGGAGAAGACGTGCTCCTTCCTGTTTCCTCTGGGTTTCCTGTTTCTGTGACCATCACCCAGCCTCACTTCTTTCCCAAACCTGGAACCAGTACTTGATTCCAGGTGCAGCCATGGACTCCAACCAGTTGTTTTTCCAACACTCACAGAATCTGCTTTCTCTCGTCTCCAACTCCTGAAACACCAGCCCCACAGCTGAGATGCTCCCTTGCTCAGAGGTTTGAGTTTTGCAGCTCCCTGCAGGCCCACTTTCTAAGTTTTAATACATCTAGTCTCTTCTCTTTGCTTCCAGAGCCTTAAGGTTGGTAGTTGCTTCCTGTAATTGTAACCTCTGTGATATCTTAATGTTTCCCTTTTGAATGTTCTGCTCTTCAATATCTAGTTAACAGTTCTTTATGGTACCCTATTTCTGTCTTTTTACCAGACCTGACTGACACAGGCTCTCCCAAGATGGAGAATAAAGGGGAAACTCATGAATTTCTATGTCATTCAGGAATGACACTGAGGCCTTCATTATGTGGGGATGGTGAGAATATAGGGGAAGAGGTACATTTGACAAATGTCAGGTGGGAAGGAACCAATAGGACTTGATGATTAGAAACAGGGAGTGAAGACAGAGGACAGTATAATAGGTGAAGTTTCCATCCTGGTGGTTGGGAAAATGATATTGCTTTAGAATACTGGGAAAGTTGGGAAAAGAAATAAGTCCAGGTAAGGGACGTGCAAGTGGAGATATTTTAAAGGCATGTGTTAAAGAGGAACTGAAATTCAAGGGAGAACTGGAGAGATGACCTCAACTGTGAGCATGGAGACAGTGGCTTAGTTCCCTGAGGATGTGAGGATGGAACAGCAGTTGCCAGGTAACTTGCAGAAAGGAGCTTAGTCTAAAGTCCAGCATGTGGCCTCCTGCCCATAACAAACACAGATAACCTTCTTTTTAATAACCTGTACAGGTTAGGAAGAATAGGAACTACAGGACCACTATTTTAACTAGAAGAAGATATTAGTGATTATTTGAGATTCTGTCATTGCTTGCATAAGCAAACTTCACTTCTGGGTGAGTCAATCGAATGGAGTGTCAATGAACAATGTTACCTTTAATTTTTTTATGATGGAAGCAGATGAGCAAGCTACATAAACAGCCACTTTACATGAGCAGAAGACTATGAAGCTTGTTGTCATCAAATAAAACGCACAGCAAAGCTCATCTGACACACGTTTGATAATATTCACGGTTATTATTGTGCTACACTGTAATTAGGCACAGGTGCTAAGCAGTTCTTGTAAAATATTGTAATTCATATTGATGAAAGTCAAACCAACTTTTTATACTTTTTACTTTTTAACTTTATCTAAAATGGATCTCAGCAGTTTTCATTGATACCATGTACCATCAATTAAAATCCATCTGTCAAACATGTATTGAGTTGTTATTATTTTCCAGGTACTGTGCTGGGCTCTGGGGCATAAAAATATGAACAGAATTGCCAAAAGTTGAGTTTATGTGTGCACTTAAATCTGAGCACATGTACGCTCCTGAGTGATCCACACGTTTCTGCATAATGATCCTGTATCCTGTACTCTGCATTCTCCTTGAGTAAAAGTACAACTTCCTCTGATATCATTTCTTGCTTCAGTTGACAACCTTACTCCTCCCATGCCTGCCTTTTTCCAGCCCTCTGTGGGGCATTGAGGGGTTCTCCACCAGCATTTCCCATTCTAACTTTTCTGGAGGGTAGGTGTCTTGACACGAGAGAACTCGGGCTCATGACGTCGGAATAATAGACACACGGTAGATTGGATGGCATGGGCAATAGAGAAACACAGGAAGAAGGGGCCTTTCCTCCGTAGAAATGGACTGTCTTACAGAAGGGAGAGGTAAAGGTTAGGAGCAAGAGCCTATGTCAGGGCTGGGAAAATAGCTGGGAGCTGACTAGGATAGGACACGTGCTTGAGTAGGACGGTTTCCTTCCCGAAGAAACTATCACCCAGCAACTCTAGGGGAGGGGCCCTGAGTAACAGAAGCTGGTATAGTCTCTAACCTGTTCTCCCAAATAAGACAGAAGAACATATTTGAGAGAGATGCTGAAGAACATTGCCCCCTTCTTTTGGCCCCTCATGAATCAGTCCGGATAGGTTAAATAATGTTGCTGTAATAAACAACCTTCAGGTCTTAGTGGTGCAGTACTACAAAGATGTATGTCTCCCTTAGTTTGCGCACCCATCGTAGGATGGCTAGGTGCTTTGCTCCATGTCCTCCTCACTCAGGATGCAAGCTGACAGAACCTCCACTATCTGGGAACATCATTGATTTCTCAGTCAAGGGGAAGGAAAGGGCAAATCACACACTGGCTCTTAAAGGTTCTACCCAGAAATGCATAAGTCATTTCATTCACATGTCATTGTGAATGTGTAAATGGTAAAGCAAGTCACACACATGATAATGCCATTCTTCAAGGTGGCAGAGAAGTACACTTCTACTATTTGCCCAGAAGTAAGAGTGCTAGAAACATCCTTCCTAAGATACCTATGCATTATGCAATGGGTTACTGGTGATTCTTAAGGAGCAACTACATGGGTAGTAATAGTGTGATTTTCCAGGGTCACTGGAATGAGAATCTTCCACTGTCCTTGAAATATCTTTTTTACCTACTCTATGATGCATGGAGTTCCTTTAATAGCACATAGTATTGTGTGTATTAAGTAAGGAAGTCTTAAAATACCTAATTAATAATGCTTGTTTATATGGTTACAAATCTGGTCCTTTGTGTTTTGCTAAAAGGGAAGGGCTCTCTACAGGGCATGAAAGACAAGGTGCTCTGCTGCGTACTGTGCATTTCTAATATGCGAGGGAGCTTTTAGGAAAGTTGTTTGGTTTAACCCTCTCAATAACTCGAGATGGTTTAGTAGTTAAGAACATAGACTCTGGAGCTAGACTGCCTAGGTTGAATTCTACCTTTACTATTTAGCACTTCTGTGACCTTGGGCAATTCCATCATTCCTCTGTGCCTCAGTTTCCTTATCCAAAAAATAGAGATAATAATAGTGTCTACCTCGTAGGGTTTTGAAGAGGAGTTAGTGTTTGCAAAGTGCTAGTAACAAAGACTAGCAAAAGGTATGCTCTCTATAAAAGCATTGGTTATATAAATAAACTATTTTATTTAGAGTTTATTACCAAGTAGTCTCATTTACCAAGAGGAAACTAGGGCTCACAGAAATTAAATAATTTTCTTGAGGAGAGGAAAGATCCAATATTTATATCACTTCTCTCCAAAGTCCATGTTCTTTGTTTTACACCACATTGGGGGCTGTATAACAAAGTCAAAAGGAGAGAAAAATATAGAAATGTAAGACATGAAAAGCAAGCTTTTCCATCTTCTCAACATTGCCTTCACTTGCACCCACAAATTTTCATGTTCTTAGTAGCTCTTCCATAGGAACTTGTCAGTGAGCCAAAAACTATTGCTCCACACAAGGCAGATACTTCCCAGTGCTCTAGGACAAGGACATTGTCACTGCCTTTTTTTTTTTTTTTTTGAGACTGTGTCTCGCTCTGTCACCAGGCTGGAGTGCAGTGGCACGATCTCGGCTCACTGCAGCCTCTGCCTCCTGGGTTCAAGTGATTCTCTTGCCTCACCCTCCCGAGTAGCTGGGACTACAGGCTTGCGCCACCATGCCCAGCTAATTTTTGTACTTTTAGTAGAGATGGGATTTCACCATGTTGGCCAGAATGGTCTTGATCCCTTGACCTCGTGATATGCCTGCCTCAGTGACCTGTTAAAGTTACAGTAGCTGGGAGCACTTTTCAGCCACTGCCCAAGCCTTGAGGATTTGACAATCTTATGTGAATAAGCATAATTGCTCCATGTATGAAATGTTTGGTTGAAGTATGAGTGGTACATTTTCACCTTGAAAGAAAAGTCCTTTTGAACATCCTCAGGTCCATAAAAGAGCAAGATAAATTCAGTGTGTTTCAAATGTTAGGTGTGAAAGATAAATGGGAGCAAATGAAGACTTTCCCATGTCAAGTTGCCAAGAGTCAAGAGATGTGCATTCTGAATTCTCACCTTCTTTTTTTTTTTTTCTGAGACTGAGTCTCACTCTGTCACCCACGCTGGAGTGCAGTGTCACCATCTCGGCTCACTGCAACCTCTGCCTCCCGGGTTCAAGTGATTCTCCTGCCTCAGCCTCCCAAGTAGCTGGGACTACAGGCGCACGCCACCACGCCTAGTTAATTTTTGTAGTTTTAGTAGAGATGGAGTTTCACCGTGTTGGTCAGGCTGGTCTCGAACTCCTGACCTCGTGATCCACCCCCATCGGCCTCCCAAAGTGTTGGGATTACAGGCATGAGCCACCGTGCCCAGCCTCACCTTCTTTTTTTAAAGAACCCATATGATTATAAGAAGGAACTAGTGTCTAGTGGTTAAGAGCAAACTATGAAGTCAGAGAGCCCAAATTTGAATCCAAGCTTTATCACTTACTAGCTTTGTGTTGGTCAGTTTTCTCATTTAAACAACAGAGATTATGACATTATAGTTGCCTCCCAATAGTCATCCCACCTCCCTACAACTCTGCAGAATGTGCTTTAGGTGAAACTGACCCCATCCACAACTTCAGAAGTGGGTCCCTATTAGTCTCAGCCAATCATTGTATTCCCACCCTTTGTCCCAGTGTTGATACCAGGGATGTGCAGATAACTCATGCCTCTGTCTGAAGCTCTGTATAAAAAGCCAGTTTTGTTCATTGATTCTGAGATGATATCCAGTCTCTTGAATGCAAATGAGAAAGCATGTAGGCCGGACTATTGCTAGCAACATTTTATGATGGTGAGGGGAATCAACTTGGTGACAAATCTAACACATGGAGGAGAAGAGAGCTGAGGGAACTGCAGAGAAATTGATCTAAGCACTGATCAAGATGTATCTGAAGCCCACAGTACTGATGGAATTTTTGGTTATATGAGCAATAAATCTCCCTTACTTGTTAAGCCAGTTTGAGTTATTTGCCACATAAAGCATAACAATTCGTATGCTTACTTCTAGAATGGTTGTGGGGGTTGAATGAGACTGTGTGAGTAAATTTCTTAGCAGAGTGCCTGGTGTGATCTAAGACAGTCTCCATCGTGGCAGTACAATTACTGTCACATAGTAGGGGAGAGGTGGGAGGCTACAGATAATGACATGTAACCAAGCCCTGGGAATAGGGTGGTGGTGATTTCTGGTGCAGAGGTTAGGAATTAAGAATAGAAGAAATCACTTAAACCTTCTATTTCATCAATCTCTCCGGCTAATTACTAATTAGTTTACTATTTAATTGGTAACTACAGCTATTAATTATGTTAGGAAATAAAAAGGTTTATAAATATGCAGTCTTATATATTGTATAATTTAGAATCATGAATCAGAAGGAGATACGTGATTTGCTTGTCAATTCAGAGGGCTCCAGGTCTTCAGCATATCTTAGAGAATGGAGTGCAGCAGAGCTCTTAAATATTTGTCAACAGTTGGATGAATGGGAAAGTAGAATTTTTAAAATACCACCACCACTGAAGTAAAATCAGTTGAGATCACAGTGTTGTCACAGTCTTCAGCTGTGAGGGAATGTAGGGGCAGAAACCTGTCTTTCTGAGGAATGTGGGTGAGGGACTGCTCCGGGCCCCTCTGGGAGTTCCAGGGACTGGGGCCTGAGGAAAGGGTGCTATTGACAGCCTGGAGAAACAGGGAGACAACCAAGGGGGAGTGGAGAGATAATGAGCTCTGCATCTGACATGTTTAGTTTTAGGAGGTGGTGGGACACCCAAGTAGAGATATTCTGCAGACAGAAAGAAATATGGGACTGAAGAGAGGGTGAGAGGTCACGGCTGGGGCTGGAGATGGGGAGTCATATGCATTCAGGTGGTAATTAAAGCCATCTGATGGGAGCTTCCATGAGGAGTGTGCTGTGAGGGAACAAAGCCCATGGCCCCAAACTGAGCCTTGCTGGAGGAAAGAAGGAAAAGAGAGGGAAATGCACTCACAGGAGGTTCAGGAAAGAAATGATGAGAGAGGAAGCAATAGACAGAGTATGGTTCTGATGGCCCAGGGCAAAGAGGAGATGGATGGAGACCTATAAAAAGGCTTACAGAAGTTGGAAAAGCTATAAAGAGCGATTAGGCAATTGGATGTTTCCATCATTTTACAGACATCATTTAGAAGGAAGCAAAGGCCATTTGCCCTTAAAAGAGCCAAAGAATCACTGGTATAAGCTGAGTAATTTGGGGGAGGCAAAGAAGATTCTCAGTGCCTTCCTTTTCTACCTAAAAAAGAAATAATATCGATCAATTTGGGAAGTTGATAAGGCTAGTCAACACAGACGAAATAAATGAGAACTTCTCATTCATCATAATGTTATGGAGATTATCAGCATAATGTTACTAAGATTATTTTTAAAAGATAGTTCTTGAAAGTTATGAGAAAGAGGACATGATGAGGGAGTATTGCTTACTGGGATAAACCATACACTAGGGACTCAAGCATTAAGAAAAAAATAAAAACAATTGAGAACTACTCTCTTATAAATGTAAAGGCCCAGAGAATTCATCCACAGAAATGGTGCCGTTGAAACTGGCTAAGCAGACCAAACTGTAGAAGAGGCTATGAGGTTATGGTCAGAAAACAGACACTTATTTATTTGTTTTTTTCTCCATGACAGAAGTTAGTGGTAAGTCTTATTTTTATACCCTAATGTATTTTAATAATGCCAGGTGTGATAACCTGCTGATTTATTCAATTCATAGTCCTAGAGGAATTTTATAGTGACAAAGGGCTGGGAATCATATCCCTTTAATAGCTTAGCAAATCCCTTTAAACAAGATGTACATTAATAATGAGGTGATGATAAGATCATTTCCTCAGGACCTCCAGAGCTGGTGTGTTGATTAAGGTGGTACAGGATAGCTAAGAGGACTGCAATTACAACTCTTGCCCAGCCATTAAAGCAGACCATAAAGTGCTGGGCTAGAACATGGCTTTGTCAGGGTTAGCATTTAACTCCTGGTAATAACAAATAGCTGTTCCGATATGGAGGAAGGCAGCCATATTTACATAACGAATCACAGTGTTTGGGTAAGGCGGATATAGCTGCTTAGAGAGAGGGTTGGGCTGGGGCCAAGGACAAATGGCTTCCTTACACATTAAAAGCATAAAATTTTGCTCTGAGGCATGAGGTTTGTTTTGCTCTAATTTTTGCATTTATAATTTAATATAGCATTGGTTTTCCAGGCCCCTTTAAAATTCCATTAATTGAACTTGATTGAACTGTTATAAAACTTAGACTGCCTTACAGATGCAAAGGAAAAACATGACAAAATTAGACTAGCAGGGGCAGAGAAGGGGGAAGATTGGAAAGAGTGGGGTGGGGGTGAGGGCTAATGGGGAGGAAATAATCTCTGCCTACTCTTGGAGGTTACAGTAATCTTTACTGCATTTCAGGGAGAAAAGGGAAAAAGGGGAACAAAAGAAGAGAGAGGGATCTAATATTCACTAAATGGGTTTTTTTTGTTGTTGTTTGTTTGTTTTTTGAGGGAGTCTTACTCTGTCGCCCAGGCTGGAGTGCAATGGCACCATCTCAGCTCACTGCAACCTCTGTTTCCTGGGTTCAATTGATTCTCCTGCCTTAGCCTCCTGAGTAGCTGGGATTACAAGCATGTGCCACCATACCTGGCTAATTTTTGTATTTTTAGTAGAGACAGGGTTTCGCCATGTTGGCCAGGCTGGTCGCGAACCCCTGACCTCAGGTGATCCGCCTGCCTTGGCCTCCCAAAGTGCTGGGATTACAAGCGTGAGTGACTGCACCCAGCCCACTGAATGGTTTTTATGACCCAGATCTAGCATATGTTCATTCATCTAATTCTTTAAGGTGTGTATTATTGTTCCATTTACAAACAAATGAATGGGGGCTCAGATTATTTTCATAACTTGTTCAAGGTAGTGGCAGGGTCAAAATCTGAAAAAAGTCTTCCCTGTTTTTCCCCACCCTTCCTCCTTTCCTTCTTTCTGCCTTTTTTTCTTCTTATTTTCTTTTTCTGATGTTTTGGGGGCCCTTTATGAATGACATAGGAATGAGCTTGAATTTCCATGTACGTTATCTGTGACAGATACTGACTTGCTGCATGCGTGCCACTTGTTCAGCTGTATCTTGCTGCACTTGCTATCACCAGGGCAAGCAGCATGCTATGCTGGTGGCTGCAGAGTACTCTGGAGGTGCCCAGGCATCTTTCATGGTCCCAAGTGATTTTCACACATAAGGCTGCTTTCATGTCATTCCGTACAAGGGCAATATGTGCTCCTATATCTGACAATGACCAGGCTGGGTATTAGGACCCATATCTCAGATTGGAAGTTGTGGCTAAACTCTGAGCTTAAGAAGAAGAAGGCAGAAGTGCCAGGCAGAAACAGCTCAGAATTCAGAAGGAGGATGAGACCAAAGTCCAGTTTCACAATGAGTCCTGTATAGGAGTGAGGGCTGGAGAGGGAGAGCTGCACCTGTGCCTCACCCCTGACCTATTACATCCCAGTCCTGGTAGTAGCAAAAGGATTGGAGGTTGGTCATCTAACACAGGGACCTAGGGATGAGGGTGGTCTAGCTGATCTCAGCAAGTGGGGAGGTATTGGAGAATATTAAGACGTGGGGGTTGGGGAAGGATTAGTCAGAATTCTTATTAAAAATGAATTTTATTAACAAGGCAGATTGAATGGAGAGTAAGGAATTAGGAGGTCCATGTTCACTAGCACCTAGGAGAAAGGCCAAGAGTTTTTTGTGTCCCTGAAAGAAGATATCCAGGCTAACCAGGGGTGTGTGTAGCAGTAAGGGGAGAAGAGATGGGTTGGTTCACCAGTTTGATGCCAGATGAGTCTTCTCCTTTCTGTTGCTGTATGGTTAGAGCATTATATTCAGGTTCAACAGAGAGGAGGGTGAGAAACTTTGACTCTCTGGCCTCTTCTCTCACCAGAGCTCTAACACTGGTACTCAACTGGGGGAGATTTTGTCCTCCAGGTAGGGTTGCCAGATAAAATACAGGATGCACAGCTAAATTAGCATTTTAGGTAAACAACAAATAATTTTTACTATAAATGTGTGCCAGATATTGCATGGTACATACTTATACTGAAAAATTATTCATTGCTTATCTGAAGTTCAAAATCAACCAGGTGTCTTGTACTTTCGTTTGCTAAATCTGGGAATCCTATATCCAGGGGATGGGCAAGGTCTGGAGACATTTTTGATGATCATGACTGGGAGGGAGATACTGCTGGCATTTAGTGCATACAGGTCAAGAATGCAGCCCTAAATATCAGCAGTGGTGAGACTGAGAAACCCTGCTCTAAGACAACCTGGCAGGCCAGCGTCTTAGTGTGTAGCTCCAAGATCCAAACCCAACCAAAGTAAATTCACCTCTCTAGCATTCTGTGTGCCTGTGTTTAAGGGGAATTTTTAATTAGTGGCTAAGCACAGTGGGGAGAGAGAATTAGATACCCAAATTATGCTTCTTCCATGATATACTAATTGTGTGGTTTTGCATAAGGTACTTAACCTTTCTTTTCCAGAGTTTTCTCACATATCAAATGAATAAAATAATAACACTATCTTACCATTCTTGGGTGTTCCTAATATGGTTTGGCTCTGTGTCCCTATCCAAATCTCATCTCAAATTATA
Organism: Homo sapiens; assembly: GCF_000001405.40. NCBI lineage: Eukaryota > Metazoa > Chordata > Mammalia > Primates > Hominidae > Homo > Homo sapiens. The sequence goes on from NC_000014.9 coordinate 53,453,691, forward strand.
ATCCCCATGTGTCAGGGGAGGGATCTGGTGAGAAGTGATTGGATCATGGTGGCGGTTTCCTCCATGCTGTTCTCGTGTTAGTGAGTAAGTTCTCATAGGATCTGATGGTTTAAAAGTGTGTGGCTTTCTTTGCTCTCACTCTGTCTCCTGCTTCCATGTAAGACGTGCCTTGCTTTCCCCTTTGCCTTCCTGAGGCCTCCCCAGCTATGTGAAACTGTAAGTCAATTAAACTTCTTTTCTTTATGAATTACCCAGTCTCAGGTAGTTCTATATAGCAGTGTGAAAATGGGCTAATACAGTGCCTGTGAAGATTAAATGGGTTATTATATAGAAAGTGTTTATTATATAGAACAGTGTCTGGAACACAGAAAACTCTCAATACACATAAGCTGTTGTTACTGTTACTATTGTTACTAATTTAGAAAAGAAAATAAAGAAATCTCTTACTACTTTAAGTATGCTTTGAATATATATAGTTCATAATTCCCTTCATTTTTATGAGCCACCATTTTAAGATTGACAAGTAAAATATAAAATGCTCCATTTAAATTTGAATTTCAGATAAACAATGAGAAATATTTTAGTATAAGTATGTCTCAACTAAGTATGCATGAGACATACTTATACTAAATCAATCAATCAATCATTGTTTACCTAAAATTCAGAAGTAACTGGGCATCTTGTATTTTTATTTGCTAAATGAAGCAACCCTACCCATTTTGGAGCAGAGGGGATTTGTGTGTGCCCTTGCCTTTGGTGAGCATGTCTCAGTGTGGTCATTTCTGGAGTGTGCTTGTAGGTGTGAGCTGAAGAAGCGTAAAGGGCTACTCTTTAAAGACAATGGAGCAGCATAAATTGCGAAGGTGACATTTGTAATGTTGCTAAATAGCTTCCTGAAACCAAACCCTGGCATTTTATATCACCAGTTAATAAAAAATATGTGGTACTCAAAATAATTAACAGGCACACAAAATATTCTAGAAAACTACCTTGTTCTCATATTGTAATGATATTCTTATAATCCAGTACAAAGATCAGCAAATGTTTTCTGTAGAGGGCCAGATAGTAAATATTTTAGACTTTGGGGGGCATGTTTGGTTTCTGTCATATATTCTTCTCCTTCTCCTCTTCTTTTTTTAAACCATCTCTTAAAAATGTGGGAATGTAAAGTAGTACAACCTCTATGGAAAATGCTATGGAGATTTCTCAAAGAGCAAAAAATGGATCTGCCATTCGATTCAGCAATCCCACCACTGGGTATCTACCCAAAGGAAAAGAAGTCATTATGTCAAAAAGACACCTGCATGTTTATTGCACCACAACTCACAACTGCAAAGATATGGAATCAACTTAAGTGCCTATCAATTGATGTATAGATAAAATAAATGTGACACACACACGCACACACACACACACGCACACACCATGGAATACTACTCAGCCATAAAAACAGCAAAATAATGTCTTTTGCAGCAACTTGTGTGGAACTGGAGGCCATTATCCTAAGTGAAGTAACTTAGGGATGAAAAACCAAATACCACATGTTCTCACTTATAAGTTGGAGCTAAGCTATCGGTGTGCAAAGGCATACAAAGTGGTATAATGGACACTGGAGACTCAGAAAGAGTGAGGGTTGTGGGGCTGACACATGAAAAATTACTTGTTGGATACAGTGTATACTATTCAGGTGATGGGTACACTAAAAGCCCAGCCTTCACTGTGCAGTTCATCCATGCAACTACAATCTGCTTATACCCCTAAAGCTATTGAAATTTTTAAAAATTAATTTTAAAAAGGTAAAAATTATTCTTACCTTGTGGGCTGGACAAAAACAAGACAGGGGCTGGATTTCGCTGGTGGACTGTGGTTTATGGACCCTCACCACGTGAGCATTGAGATGATGTAAGGGGCTCTGATGAGGAATATTTATTTGTAATTATCATGTTTCTATTTATGATAGAAGGAAAGTTAGCATCTGCTTATAATTAATTAGTACTTATTTAGCATTTATCATAAACAAGACACTATTCTATGTTTTGTACATATATTAATGTGCTTAAACCGAAACATGGACAGTGTAGGTAGCAAGCTCAAGGCCATAAAAGTTATATAAGGAAGTGGTGAAGCTCAGATTTGAACTCAGGCAGTCAGCTCCAGAGTCTACAACCTTAGTCATGATGCTACATTTTCTCTTATGAGTGTTGTAACTACTTTAAAAAGTGTATAATCATTAAACATTGAACACAGGTATCAAAATACCACATGCCCTCTCAAAATATGTGCAACTACTCTATTTCAATTAAAAAATTTAAAAAGTAAACTAGAAAAAAATGTATAATGCTTTTGCCCCCATCTCTTTTCATCTTTCAAGCAGCTCCATATCTCAGATTTCAACTATATATACTCAGATGACATGGTCAAATAAAAAATACTCTTGTTTTACTTTCCCTCAATTTGGAACTTAAAGAATTTTCAGGCTGATTGGGATAAATCAAATTAGGTAATGTCAATTGTGGGTAAAGATCACGTACAGGTTTTCTGGCATAAACAGACCATGCAAATATATGGATTTTGAGTACCAAGGACTGCAGTGGTCTAGGACTCCCCAGATAACAGAGAAATTTCTATAGCTCAGAGAGCCTAGAAATGAGATTTTCACTGGGTTTCCTATAGGCAGGAAGAGCTTAATGTTTAAAAGAAAAAGGAACAGCTCTGGCAACCTCTTGCTGACCATATAATATTGTTTGGGGGGTTCCCAGATGATGATGCTTATGACTATTCTCTTACTTTGGCATTTCTAGTGAACCTGGGAATATTGACCAGACTGCGTGGGGCAGTTTTCTTATTCTTCACTGACCACATCTTGATAGCAGTCTTGGAAAGAATATATCAAGCAGTTTAAAAAGCAAAAAAAAATAAATAAGAACATTCCTAGGAGAAATATGAAGATGATCAACCTTTCCTCTCTCAAGCTCCCCAGACCTTGGGGGCTCTTCTTTTGGTTTATTTTGTTCATATTTGCTGGAGATGTGTTTGAGTTTCACTGCATCTGTCACCTACTCCAAAACATTTGGGATCCTGATATGCCATTCCGGTAAGATTACAATTCAGTGCAGGACCTCATACCCTTATAGGATGTTTTCTCGCCTCTGGCATATCCTTAGCTGGGTGCTGGCTTTCCTTGACTGAGCCCAGCGTATATTGTATACAGGGATCAAAATATCATATGTACCTCCAAAATATATGCAACTATTATATATCTTTTTTTTTAAAAAAAGCAAACTAGAAAAAAATGTATAATATTCTTGCCTCCATCTCATTTCATCTTCCAGGGTCACATTGCAGACCCAGCATTTGTGGAGGGCAAAGAAGCAACATCTTAATCTCTTCCTCTTGCCAAATCCAGTTTATCTTTTTTCCTTGGCCAGACTCCTCTTTATTTTTTGGCTCTCCCCTATACTGTTTCCTCTGTGATACTGAGACCCCAGTAGTAGACTTCCTAGATAAATTATCAGCTTGCTATGACATGGTTTTGGACATGTTTATTGAAATAAAACATAAATGCAGAGAAGTATAGGTCATAGTAATTTTGAAACATGCTATACGTATCATGAAAGAGTGTCATTAGCCTATTCTTCAACAGATACTGTTTTAGTTTAACCTATTTTTATCCATCTCCCCTCCAAGATAATTCTTGTGAACTCAGAAATGTAATATTCTTGGAAATTTTTTGGCCCAATTTTTCTTCAAGTGATAGAATATGGTTTCAAAAACTATGTTTTGAGGGATGAAGTTATTGATTGATTCCACAGATCACTTGAGTAATTTAGCTGCATATTTGTCATTATAAAATAATGTCTCAATCTCTTGGAGGTGCTGGAAGCCCTTAATGTGTCTGTAAGGTGATTATTCTCTCTTGGGTGTGCCTCTGAGTAAAGCTTCCTCCATTTATCCTGTTTTTCTCCTAGTAGAAGAGTGCTCAACCTTCTGAATACTGTGAGAGAGGGTGTGCATGCATGTGTGCTGTGCGGGGTGATGGTGTTGGTGGGATGAGAGCATAATGTAACACCATGGCCCTTCATGTGCTTTCATTTGCCACTGAAAACAAATAAAGGAAACATTAGTATTCATAATTGTTCCACTTGATACAGCAAACTTTTATGGAATTGGGAAACTTGATTCAAATGATTGCAATATAATGCTGTTAAGAATTTTAGACAAGAAAATTAAAGCATATGATTCTGGAATGACATAAATATAGGAGTTTTTTTTTTAACTTATTAATCTATTTTTACTTCTTCTGGTGCAACTCGTCCTCTCGCCATCCACATCATATACCCGTTTTGGTTTCAGAAAAGTAGATCTACATGTATACAGCATAATACTTTTCTTTAAGGTCACAACATATCCTGAAAGAAAAGCTAAAGTTTAAATGAAATTACTTTTTTTTTCAATAGATTTGCTCCAAGATAGTGTGATCCAAATAGTGGATACTCAATAAATAAATGTCGATTTGATATGCAAGAAAAAGCTAAGGTATTTTTCAAATGCATATGCAGAGTGGACACTTGGCCCCTTAGCCTATACTGTTCATTCAGATAAGGTGTAAATATGGGGTTAGGACAGCAGGAAGTGATTAATTTTCTTAGATATTTAACATGGTCCTTTGAAGGGGATCAGCTTTTGAATCTTTACGATTATATTTATTGCAATGGTGCTTCCCTTCTATGTTTAGACATGAAAGTGAATGTCACTGTTGAACAGTAAACACAGGAGAATGACTATGTGACAGAAGTATGTAAAGTATTTTGTAATTCGGTAGAGAATCAAAGTCAGCTTCAGTTCTTTGCATTCTCAGGGATTCAGAAAGGATTAGATAACAATAGTTGGAACCTATGCCAGAGAGTAACTGAAGGATAGCATTCCTTGAACCTCAGAAACCTGGGTGAAAGGAATTGGGCAATTAAGGTTTTTAGGAAGTCTAATGGGGTCATTTGTGAATGCCATCTTCATGGAACTTGGCAAACTGTCATCTCAGAGATCAAGGGAGGTCACTGATGTGAGGGTTGGAGGAATGAAAGTGGAGTGACTGTTTCCTGCCAAGTATGTTTAAAGGCTCTTGTCTGAAGGTAGCTACAGGTTTTTTTTTGTTTAATTTGGTTTTGTTTTCAACAATATCAGGGAGCTAAAGATACATGTCTTTGTAAAGTGAGCTCTCCTGGTTTTCCACCAAAGTTATATTATATCCAAAGAGCCTATATTTGTTTTCCCCTTTATCCAATGACTAAACATTTATTAAATATAAATGATGTGTCATGCTGAAGATAAAAGTACAATGTAAAAATTTTTTTTTTACATTAGCTTAAACTTTCAAATACATTCAGGCTAGTACTGATTCATTAAAAATATGTATGGGGGGATTTCCTGTTACTCTGGGTAGGCATGGAGGAATTTGATTTTTTTTTTTTTTGGAGACGGAGTCTTGCTCTGTTGTCCCGGTTGAAGTGCGCTGGCACAATCTTGGCTCACTGCATCTTTGCCTCCTGGGTTCAAGCAATTCTCCTGACTCAGTCTCCCAAGTAGCTGGGATTACAGGCGCCCACCATCACACCCTGCTAATTTTTGTATTTTAGTAGAGATGGGGTTTCACCATGTTGGCCAGGCTGGTCTCGAACTTCTGACCTCAAGTGATCCACCTGCCTTGGCCTCCCAAAGTGTTGGGATTACAGGCGTGAGCACCATGCCTGGCCCAAGGAATTTGAAAGTGGGAAAAAGTACAATTACCTATTTATTTCAAGAGTGTTGTATATTTTAGGTGGGGCTATGGCAGTAAGTCTAAACAATGATGAGGAATCTGAAAACAAAGTCATCTGAAGAGAAAGGGAAGGAATTAAATGGAAGGAAAGAATATTAAGCAGATGCATGAGAGCTGTTTTCAAACATCTGATGGACTGCCTAGTAGAAGAAAGAATTAACTTTTTCTTTTCATGCACAACAAATGGATATGCGTTACAGGAAGGTAATTAACTTTATATAGGAAATAGTTTTGAGTTGACCTGGGAAGGGTCTTCATGCTTTTACAAGTACACAAGGATGAGGTGGACAGCTTGTAACCATTGAAGGCTTATGATAAAATAGCAATGTGTTAATAGTTTTTAGCGTGCATTTTGCCAAGTTATACAAAGGTTTGGAGCACAGGAGAACTTGTCATAAGGGATGTTGCCTGGCAGCTACTGTAACCCATGTGTGATGTGATAGATGCTCTCCTAGGATGGTGGAGGTGGGAATGAAGAGGAAGCTTGTATTTGAAAGACATTTTCATGAAACATAAACAAGACTGTGAAAGGCAGATGAACAGAATGAATGAGAAGGAGGAATCTAACATAACCCCAGGACCATCATCTGGGTGGTGGGGAGATTGTTGGTATCACTGACAGAGTCAGGAAAGCCATGTGAAGGAGTCACATTATGGGTATTTTTGAAGAAGAGAAGGAAGAGAAAGGGAGCAAGGGGAGATGCAGACATGCATAAGTTTTCTCATAGGTGTCAACTTGATTTTGGCCATTACCCAAGTGGACAGACATGGTAGTCAGTCTGAGATTTGGAATTGGCTCAGGTGCAGATTCAGATGTGGAAGAAAGCTCCTGGGGGAAGCTCCCGCAAAGGATAGGGAAACGGAGGTGAGGAGGGAGCTTGTGTAAACCCCGTTATAACGGGCATTTAGGGTCTTTTGATAGTTTGCAGAAGTTTCTGAATCTGTGTAGGAGGGGGTTCGTGGCATGGGAGGGTAGAGGGCTACAGGGGTTCTTATTTCTAAATTAGCCTACACTTTCCGACAGGTTCCTCTTTCATTTCAGACAGAGACTAAAATAATAGCAACTCTTAAAACCTCAGTTTGCTCATCACAATATTCCAATGAGCTATTTTACTTTGGCTTGGGCGTAGCTGAAGAATCATGACTGTTGTGAATACTTTTACAGAAACTCTTGCTTTTCACTCTTAACAACTCATAAAGAGAAAGCCAAACTTTTTTTTTTTTAAATACATCTAGCAACAAATGCCTCTTGCTGGATCATCTGCTTCATAAGGTTATCACCCACCCTGTACATTAACCTCATGATTTCTTAAGAATACAGGAGTGACAGTTCAACAAAGGGTAGGCTTTTTATTTTGTTGTTTCTATCTATAGAAATTTGAGTACATTATTTTCCAAGTGACCCACAAAAGGATGTCAATGGAACTACATTAAGACAAGTATGGGGGGACTATAGTATATAGATACCCATTTAATTCCAGTTACTGTAACACCTGACTAAAGCTCTTTTGAAAGAACTTTGAAGATAGAAACAGACTTATCTGTACAATACCAACTGCTCCTTTATTAGTATTATTTCAAGTATGTTCACACTGATTCCTTGCATTTTAATGAAGTTACTCTTTTAGGACTGGAAGAGAACTGTTGACTAAGTGTTGAACAGTTGAAAGCCATTGTTCGTAATAGAGTTTTACCTTTGGGACTGAAAAGCTCTGTTTTTATAATTCTGAATAATCATCAGGTGATTAGTGAAGCTAAACACAACTGATTTACTCCTCAGCTTGGCAGATATAGGCCATGCTGATTGGGTGATGATAAATTTAGAGCAACAGGTACCTCCCTGTCAATTTAGTATTAATGCTACTTTCAAAAAGCTCCTGTTTTATTCGTAGAAAATACAAACATTGAATTCTGTGGTGGCGAGGTTTCTCAAAAGTTTACTTTGGCTACTCAAAATATTTATGAATGTGTATAGCCAGCTTTAAACTGTTTTGAAATATAATTCTTATAAGTTATTATAAACAGAAATCTTTGTTTGAGGCATCATGCACTTTCAGATTATCATAAACCAAACTGGAGCTGTTTAAAATAAGCATATTATGTTTGCAGCCAGGTATTTTTTTTTTTTCATCAAAAAACCCATTCCTAATTCTTCAGAAGAAGAGAAGTAACAATTATAAACCTCCGGGGCCCTGGTGGTTGAACTATAAAGATAGAGAATGATGGTCTTTTTTTTTTTTTCCCTTGTTAGTGTTAAAAATATCTGCAAATGGACTTGTTAGTGGTCAAGTAAAAACCATTTGGATGGTAACTTTCATCTATATAACAGGAAATTTCATGGTTCACATCTGTTACCACATATAAGTCTGAATCCAGAGGTGGCCTCAAGTGGTATTTTTGATCTAAGTGCGAACCCAGCTGCAATGTGCTCTAATATTAGCAAAGGGGACCTGCTTTCCTAAAGGGAGGATGATTTAAGGCTCTATTTCTGTTGTTCAGCAAATGCTGTTAGAAGCAGCAGAAGGTTACCCTTTTCCCATCACCTTAATTCCAGAGATACTCACAGACCTGACATTAGGCTGTTGGCTACTCGTCATAAGACTTCTCTGTCAAAGTGAATTCAGCTGATGAGCCATGAACACGCTTACAGTCAGATAATAGATGAAAGACTCTCAAGATAAACGAGGTGCTTATAAATACTGGCCAAAGTTGTTTAAAAGAGGATGGCAAAGGCCGTTAATTCTCGTCAGGCAGTTTCAAAAGACAGGGGATACTTGACTTCTTACTGAAGAGCACATTATCTTACCTCTGTGCGAGGGTGGGGCTCGGATGCATGTTGAAAGGGCGAGAGGCCTTTTAAAACTGATGCTAAACCCCATGTTCTCCCGAAGGGAGGAAGGAGAATTTTTTTTTTTCCAAATGTGATAAAGGACTTTGTACCCACCCTTACAGGCTAACATTTTGACCAGGTTATATCACACAAAATACTCTTGTTTTTCCATGCTTGGTTCTTTCTCTCCCACCCTGAAAGCTCAAATGATATCTGTAGAAGATAAACATTGATAATCTTTTCTTTTCAGGAGCTGATCACATCTAAACTCAAATTGAATACTCTTCTTGGTGATCTCTTATTTCTATCTTCACACTGTAGAATGTGGATTTCAAAATGTAGGTAAAAGCACAGGTTGTCCACAGTTTTTTTTTTCCATTGAAATAGCCAGTATGCCTCAATTTACAAGTAAGTTGCATTTGGGGTTGGTATCTGTTAGTATGATTTATTAATAACACAAAAATTTAAAAAATATTTAAACTTAAAAAAATTGCCAATTGGATTGGGATATCTCCTTTCTCACAAACATAAAAGTTTACCTTTGCTTAGAGTTTGCCAAAAGAAAGAATTTTCATAGCTTTTCTTTTTCCTTTTGATGGGCAATAAATTTAAAGCTCAGAAGAATGCAGTCAAAACCAAATCTGAAAGATAAAAAGGAAGTGTGTTAAAATACAATTCTCCGAAAAGGAGATCAGAAACCCAGATATTGGGATTCTAGATAATTCAAAATGCCTCACACAAGTGAGAATCCTCCTGCAGACTCGTCTGCTGCAGCCGATTTCACTGTTGCTTAGCCATTCATTCAGCAAACATTTCCTGAGTGCTTATCTGCATGTAGGTGTTGTGCTGCAAGCCGGAGTTACAAAGAAGACGTGGGCACCACTCTCAAAGAGTTTGCCTTCTAGAGATGGGGGTAGTTGGCTACCAGTGCTCGGCAGTGTGGACTAGACACACTGGGAAAATGAACAAAGTCCATCAGCTCAGGCTGGGGGAAATCAGGGAAGGCATCCTGCATGAAACACACCTGCCCTTCTGGAGTCTAGGAGAAAAAGCACAAGAACAAGTTAGCTGTGGAGTTCAGAGAGAGGGAGGCGAGGGGTAGCAGGGGATGGAGGACAAGGCCAGCCTCGCCTGCCCATCTGAGCTTTGTAGTCAGACCATGACCCAATTGCCTGAAACTCTCAAGTGGCTTCTCACATCACTCAAGGAGCAAAAACCTAAAAGGCCCTACACAGTTGGCTCCCTGCCACCTCTCTGATCTCTAACTCCACTCCAGCTCCTATCTGCACTTTGTCATTCATTTCTCAAACCCTCCAGGGCTTAAGCACTCCTTGTTCCTTTACGACATTCCTCATCTACAGGTCTGTTTGGCTCACTCACTTACCTTCTTCCACTTTGCTCAAATGCTACCTTCACAGTTAGGCTTTCTCTGAACACCTTACTGAAAATGGCAATCCCCTTCCTTCACCATCCTGTCCCCAACTTTTTCCCTATCCCCTTTCTCTGCCCCAATTTTCCCCAGTAGCTCTTATTGCCATTAGACTTTCTATGTATTTGACTTATTTGTTTATTAAATGTAAGCTCTCTGAAGGGAGAGATTTTAGTCTGTTTTGTTCCTTGAGATAGTCCCATTGCCTGGAACAGTTTCTGATTATGTAATAGGCACTTGATAAATATTTTTAAATACATTCTAATATACTTATACTTCTGGTAAAGTTGGATAATTGGCACATGTGACTTAAGAACAATCAAGGACCATTCCAGGATGAGTTTGACTATATATGATTTAGGTTTTAGTTGCTTATGGAACCTAATTCCTATGTAAGATGCAACTCCCTGTAATTCTGAAGACAACATGGAGGCTCTGAAGGATTTTAAACAAGAGTTTGACAGGATCAGATTGATATATTTGGAAAGATCACTCTGTCTGCACTGGAAGCACACACTGGAAGGGGATTGTATTAAAGGCAGGGCAATTGTAGAATGTTGCCAGAATCTCCCAAGAGATGATGATGCCCTCCGCTAAGGAAATGGTGATGGGGATGGAAAGGAGTAGATGATTTGAGAGATATAAAGAAATAAGATTTATAAAACTTGTTGTTGAAACTGTGGATTTTAGCTAGCTGTTCTGTAAAGACTTTCTAAGTTACACAGCTTATCCACATATCGCCAAGCTAGAAAAGGGGTCCTGAAACATCGTTTGCAAAATTGTGCTTATCTATAGTTTATGGCTGTGTAAACACAGATGTTGGTTAAGACTAAAACTAAGTAACTGGGGATGGAGAGTGAAGGCAGGAAAACAGAGTTAAATTAATGCTGTGATTATAAACAGAACATAATGTTAGTGAAAATAAAGATGCTCCACTTAAGCCTATAGTAAACCATCAATTCAAAATAAGGTGTGCTTGCAAAATCATTTTTGGTTTCTTTTTTGGAATATGGGATATATTTCCTAAAGATAAGAAATTCTAAGATTTCTAAGATGTGGTTAGGTTTATACCAATCTATTTGAGTAAAAAATGTAGATAGAAGGCATATTCATTAACATAAACAAATACAAGGAAGATTACTGTTGTAAAGACATTAAATAATATAGAAAATATGTAATGCCAACAAGATATTTAATAATATTAACTTTTATTGTAGGTCCTTGAATACTAGCAAATTTAATTACATGGAAATAAGGACATGAATGAAAACTTGGAGATTATAAAGTGAATTTCTGGGTTCTTTTAAAAGATATAGGACTGGATCCTTAGCATATACAATGTAGAAGAAGATTAGGAGTTTTGGTTATGCAATGTATGTCAACTGAGTGGCATGGCTGCCAATATAGTTAATGTCTTAGACTGTATTAGTAGATATATTATGCCCACTCTGGGGAAAGTGGTAATCCTACTCTATTTTGCTCTGATCAATCTGTATGTGGATACATGGAGTATTGTAGTTAGTATTGGACATGACACTTAGAAGAGGACAAAGACAAGCTAAAGGTTGTTCAAAGTTGATAAATTAAGAATCTGAGATTACTGGATAACCAGAAAATGTTTAGGGTGGATGTGAAGGGAATAAAAGATATGAAGGTGTCTTGTGCAGGAAGAATTAAGGATCCTGTCCTATACCCCTGAGGTATGTTCCTTCTACACTCAGGGTTTTGAGGGTTTTACTGTGAAGAGATGCTGAATTTTATCAAATGTGTTTTCAGCATCAATTGAAATAATCATATGATTTTTTGTCCTTCATTCTGTTGATATGATGTATCACATTGATTGATTTATACATGTTGAACCATCCTTGCATCTCTGGGATTAATTCCACTCGGTCATGATGAATAATCTTTTTAGTGTTATTAAATACTGTTTGCTAGTGTTTTGTTGAGGATTTTTGCATCAGTGTTCATCAGAGATTTTGGCCTGTAGTTTTCTTTTTTTATTATGTCTTTTTTTTTTTTTTTTGTACCAGGGTAATACTGGCCTCATAGAATGAGTTTCTAAGTATTTCTACTTCCTCTATTTTTCAGAATAGTTTGAGTACGTATTGGTTCTTTTTTAAATGTTTGGTAAAATTCAGCAGTGATGCCATCAGGTCCTGGGCTTTTCTTTGCTGAGAGACTTTTTTATTATGGCTTCAAACTTATTACTTGTTATTGGTTTGTTCAGGTTTTGGATGTCTTCTTGGTTCAATCTTGGTAGGCTGTATGTGTCTAGGAATTTATCCATTTCCTCTAAATTTTTCCAATTTATTCCCATATAGTCGCTCATAGTAGCCACTAACAATCCTTTGAATTTCTGTGTTATTGAATGTAGTGTCTCCTTTTTTATTTTATTTACTTGGGTCTTCTGTCTTTCTTTCTTTCTTTTTTTTTTTTTGAGATGGAGTCTTGCTCTGTTGCCCAGGCTGGAGTGCAGTGGCACGATCTTGGCTCACTGCAAGCTCCGCCTCCCAGGTTCACACCATTCTCCTGCCTCAGCCTCCCAAGTAGCTGGGACTACAGGCACCCGCCACCACGCCTGGCTAATTTTTTTGTATTTTCAGTAGAGATGGGGTTTCACCATGTTAGCCAGGATGGTCTCGATCTCCTGACCTCGTGATCCACCCGCCTCAGACTCCCAAAGTGCTGGGATTACAGGTGTGAGCCACTGCGCCCGGCCTTCTGTCTTTATTTCTTAGTCAGCCTAGCTAAAGATTTGTTGATTTTGTTATCTTTGCAAAAAGCCAACTTTTTGTTTTATTGATATTTTGTATTGTTTTCTTCATTTTGATTTCATATATTTCTGCTCTGATCCTCATTATTTCTTTTCTTCTACTAATTTGGGGTTTGGTTTGTTCTTGCTTTTCTCATTCTTTAGGATGCATCATTAGGTTGTTTATTTGAAGTTTTTAAACTTTTTTGATGTAGGCACTTATAGCTATAAACTTCCCTCTTAGTACTGCTTTCACTATATCTCATAGATTTTGATGTTGTGTTTCCATTATCATTTGTTTCAAGGAAATTTTCAATTTCATTCTTAATTTTTTCATTGACCCACTGGTCATTCAGGAGCATATTATTTAATTTCCATGTGTTTGTATAGTTTCCAAAATTCCTGTTGTTATTGTTTTCTAGTTTTATCCCATTGTGGTCAGAGAAGATACTTGATATTATTTCAATTTTTTTGAATGTTTTAAGCCTCATTATGGGGCCTAACAAATGGTCTCTCCTTGAAAATGATCCATGTGCTAAAGTGCAGAATGTGTATTCTGCAGCTGTTGGATGAAATGTTCTGTAAATATCTATTAGATTCATTTCGGCTATAATGCAGATTAAGTCCAATTTTTATTTTAAATTTTCTGTCTGGATGATATGTGCAATGCTGAAAGTGGGGTGTTGAAGTCTCCATCTTTTATTGTGTTGGGGTCTATCTATCTCTTTAGCTCTAATAATATTTGCTTTGTGTATCTGGATGCTCCAGTGTTGGGTGCACATATATTTACAGTTGTTATATTCTCATGCTGAACCAATCCCTTTATCATTATATAATGACCTTCTTTGTCTCTCTTTATAGTTTTTGTCTTGAAATCTATTTTGTCTGACATAAGTATACCTACCCTGCTCTTTTTTGGCTACCCTTGTAAGGAATATCTTTTTTCATCCCTTTATTTTCAATCTGTGTGTGTCTTTATAGGTGGAGTGTGTTTCTTGTAGGCAACAGGTCATGGGGTCTAGTTTTTTTATTTATTCAGCAACTCTGTGTCTTTTGATTGGAGACTTTAGTCCATATACATTCAATGTTATTACCGATTAGTAAGGACTTACTCCTTTTGTTTTGTTATTTGTTTTCTGGTTGTTTTGTGGTCTTCTGTTCTTTCTTTCCTTCCTTCTAGTGAAAGTAATTTTTTCTGGTGGTATGTTTTAATTTCTAGCTTTTTGTGTATCTGTTGTATGCTTTTTTTGATTTTAGGTTGCTGTGAAGCTTGCAGATAACATCTTACAATCCATTATTTTAATCTGATGACATCTTAACACTGTTTGCATAAACAAACAAATTAATGAACAAGCAAAGAGAAAACTAATAAAAACTCTACATTTTAACTTCATCCCCCTGCTTTTAAACTTTTTGTTGTTTCTATTTATACCTTATTTTTTTGTCTGCATCTTGGAAAGTTGTTGTAGTTATTATTTTTCATTGGTTCATTGTTTAGTCTTTCTACTTAAGATTTGAGTAGTTTACATACCACAATAACAGTGTGATTATATTCTGTGTTCTTTTGTGTATGTTCTAATACCAGTGAGTTTTGTACCTTCAGATAATTTCTCATTAACATTGTTATCTTTCAGATTGAAGAACTCTCATTAGCATTTCTTGTAGGACAGATCTGGTGTTGATGAAATTCCTCAGCTTTTGCTTGTCTAGGAAAGTCTTCATTTCTCCTTCATGTTTGAAGGATATTTTCACCAGATATACTATTCTAGGTAATGTTTTGTTTTTTTTTCTCTCTCTCTCAGCACTTTAAATATGTCATGCCACTTTCTCCTGGCCTGTAAGGTCTTCACTGAAGAGTCTGCTGCCAGATGTACTGGAGCTCCATTGTATGTTACTTGTTTCTTTTCTCTTGCTGCTTTTAGTATCCTTTTTTTTTTCAATCCTTAACCTTTGAGAGTTTGCTTATTAAATATCTTGAGGTAGTCTTCTTTGGGTTAAATCTGCTTGGTGTGCCATATTTCTTTCTCTAGGTTTGGGAAGTTCTCTGTTATTATCCCTTTGAGTAAACTTTCTACCACTATCTCTTTCTCTACCTCCTCTTTAAGGCCAACAAGTCTTAAATTTGTCCTTTGGAGGCTATCTTCTATATCTTGCAGGTGGGTTTCATTCTTTTTCATTCTTTTTTCTTCTCTGACTGTGTATTTTCAAATAGCCTGTCTTTAATCTCACTAACTCTTTCTTTTGCTTAATCAATTCTGCTATTAAGAGACTCTGATGCATTCTTCAGTATGTCAATTGCATTTCTGAACTCCAGAATTTCTGCTTAAGTCTTTTTAATTATTTCAATCTCTTTGTTAAATTTATCTGACAAGATTTTGAATTCTTTCTATTTTATCTTGAATTTAATTGACTTTCTTCAACACAGTTATTTTGAATTCTCCGTCTGAAAGGTCACATATCTCTGTCTCTGGGATTGATGCCTGCTGCTTTATTTAGTTCATTTGATGAGGTCGTGTTTTCCTGGATTGCCTTGATGCTTGTGAATGTTTGTCAGTGTTTGGGCATTGAAGAATCAGGTAGTTATTGTAGTCTTCCCAGTCTGGGCTTGTTTGTACCTGCCATTCTTGAGAAGATTTTCTCCATATTTGAAGGAACTTGGGTGTTATGATCTAAGTTTTTAGTCACTGCAGCTGTATCTGCATTAGGGTATACCCCACAGTGATGCTGTGACTCCTTCAGACTCACAGATGTACCGCCTTGCTGGTCTTGGTGGTCTTGGATAAGATCCCGAAGAATTCTCTGGATTACCAGGCATAGACTCTTATTCTCATATCTTGGTTTCTCTCAAACAAATGGAGTCTCTCTGTGCTGAGCTGACCCAAGCTGGGAGAGGGATGACACTAGCACCCCTGTAGCCACCACCACTGGGACTGCACTAGGTGAGACCTAAAGCCAGCACAGCACTGGGTTTTGCCTTAGATCTGCTGTAACCACTACCCGGTTACCACCTGTGTGCACTGAAGTTCCTAATGCTAAGGTCCTAAGCAGGTGGCAAAGCAAACCAGGCTTGTGTCTTTCCCTTTAGTGCAGCAAGTTCCCCATGGCCCTGGGCAGGTTCAGAGATACCATCCAGGAGCAAGGCCTGGAGTGGGATACCATAGAAATCTACCTGATGTTCTATTCTACTGTGGCTAAGCTGGCACACAAGACACAAAACAAAGTCCTTTATACTCTTCCCTCCCTTTCTGTAAGCGGAGGAGTCTCTTCCCATGGCTACCACTGCCACAAGCCCAAGATGAGTATTGCCAGGCTATCGTTTATATTTGCTCAAGGCCCAAGGGTTCTTCAGTCAGCTTGTGGTGAATGCTGCCAGGCTTGGGACTCACCCTTCAGGGAGGGAACTGGGCTCCTCTCTGGCCCAGGGCAGGTCCAGAAATGCCATCCAGGAGCCATGGCCTGGAATCAGGGATCCCAGGAGCCCTCTGGGTGCTCTACTCCACTGTGGCTGAGCTGGTACCTAAGCTACAAGACAAAGTCCCCTTTACTCTTCCCTCTGCTTTTCTCAAGCAAAAGGAATATCTCCTCATAGCCACTACAGCTGAGAACTTTCTGGGTCTCACTTGAAGCCAGCACATCTCAGAGTGTTAACCAAGGCTTATGGTGAATACTACCTGGCTACCACTGCTGATTATTCAGGGCCCATGGGCTCTTTAGTCAGTAGGTGATGAGTTCTGCCAGTATTGAGTCCTTCCTTTCAAGTCAGTGGGTTCCCTTCTGGCCCTGGGTATGTCTAGAAATGTCATTTGGGAGCTAGGCCCTGGAGTGAGTGCCTCAGGACTCTGCCTGGTGTCCTATCCTACTAGCTGGTATCCAACTTGCAAGACAAAGTCCTCTTTATTCTTCCCTCTCCTCTTCTTACTTAGAAGAAAGAAGCTCCCCTGGAGCTGTGAGCTGAGCTGCTGGGGTTGACAGAAGAGTAATGCAAGCACTCCCTTGGCTGCCCCAGCTGGTGTCTCACTAGGTTGCATGCCCTCCATTCCACTGGCTCATAGCCCAGCACAGTATTAGAACTTGCCCAGGAATTGCAGCCTTTGTGTCCTAGATCACCTTTCAAGTTTATTTAGTACTCCAGAGCATTTTGGCCCATGAGAGCAGGGCTTGCCTAAGCTCAATTTTGACCGCTGGGGTAGGTAATTCCCTTCTGGCTAGGGCTGCCCTAAATGCTCCCTTCATGGTTGTTGGCTGAGTTCTGCCAGGTGAGGTGTTGCTTTTGGCTGTGACAATATGAGTTCCAATGCAAAGTCCCACAATCACTGTGCTCTCTCTCCCCCAAGTGTGAAGATTCTCCATGCCACACCATTGTTGCTGGGGGGTGGGGGAGGGATGGTATCAGCTCTTCAAGACTCTCTTTCCTAACTCTTCATTGTCTCTTTCAGTGATATGAAGTTAAAACCAGGTACTGTGATCGCTCACCTGATTTTTTTGTTCTTATGAAGTTGCTTTTTTGTGTGTAGATAGTTGTTAAATTTGGTGTTCCTGTAGGGAGGATGATCAGTGGAGGCTCCTATTTGGCCATCTTGCTCTGTCTCTTTCCTAAAATTTTTGACACCTGTGTTAGCATCAGACAACTTTCATAGTTGGGAAGTTTTCCTTTATGTCTAACTTTGTTGTTTATTTTCTCCCCATTAAAATATTTAAGAAATCTAATGGAACCATCCTTGAACACAATTTTCTTACAGCTTGGTCGTCAGTGTGGATTCAAGATTACTGATGATTTTCAATCAAATGGGGACAATACAGTTGAAAGGTCTTTGAAAAATATTAAGTGCTATATAAATATAACCTGTATTATTGTGATTCAGATTATATGACTAGTATTGCTATTTTTCTTCAAAATTTACTCTCTTATCCTATAGTCCTTTTTTATCTTTCTGTGTAGAATCTGTTTTTTTTCCCTTCTCAGAATTGATTAGAATATATCAGGATGAACAGTATTAGAACTCAAATCATTCATAAAACACTATGTGGCCCTCTCATCATCTGCTCTGGTCTTTTGGAGCTATTTCACATAATGTCAACCTAACAAACATAACTGGATTTCTTAGCAAGTGTGGATTACACCCTTAGGTATATTACATTATCGAAATACTCTTATGGCTCTTGTCTTCTAAGACAGTATGGAAATAAATGCATAACAAACAAAAAATATGGTAAAATTTAGCAAATGAAAAAAATGTAGTCCTTTGCTAAATCCGAGTTTGTTTTTCATTAGGGTAATTATGTGTGGGGTGAGGAGATGAGAGATGGCTTGGGAGAAGTTAAGGTGTAACTGAAATGAAAGATAAATTTCACTAAAGGAGATTAATACAGTTTAAATAGAGGAGGGAATAACCACTGGAGAGATGAGAGAGAATGCATGAATAGTGCCAGAATACAAACCATTATTGTCTCTAAGAGCAATCCTCCTTCCTAAGTTCCCTCATGACTTCTTATTTTTAAATCAGTTTATTATTCAGTTTTGAAATCAAAGATATAACATAAAGGAAGTTTTCAATGAAATGGGATAATGTATGAGTCTTCGATTAGAAATGAAATGGCCAACATGTCATGCTGATATTACAGTTGCACTTCTTTTCTGTATAATTTATAATTTTTAAGTTGTTTAATAAAAGATTCACTTTTTAAAATGCAGTAAGAGAAAACACCTGACCTTCATTATTAAGCACATATTGAACGTATTTTCCTGAAATTAATGCATCTGATGGATGACTTACTCCCCTACTCCATGGTAAAAGTTTATTTGCCCCACAACACATGATCATGCTTCAGGAGAAGGAAGCCACCTTGATTCCCAAGCCCTGAAAGAAATTGTTATTCTCTGAGGTTCTTAGAATCTGGGCTGATTCAGCAATCTCTGCTTCCAGAAAGGATGAGCAAGTAATCTACTGACCTCATTAAGTCAAATAATGCTTTTTCCTGGTTGATCTTTGGTGTTTTGAATTTGAAAACAAATTCTTGAAGTTCCAAACTGGGCCTAACTTCTGTACCACAGCCTTCTTTAATGTAATTCTTGGAAATGCCCATCTTATGTCTTGCCAGAGATTGAATTTTCTTGTGTGTGTTAGAAAAGTAAGCAAAAAACAGAGGCTCAGGGAATCCCAAGCATGGCAAATTCTTCTTTAGAGTCTCACTCTGTCACCCAGGCTAGAGTGCAGTGGTATGTTCTCGGCTCACTGCAACCTCCGCTTCCCAGGTTCAAGCCATGAAGAGATGTTTTTAATTGAGTAATGATTATCCTTTCATCTTACTGAGTCCTGTTTGTTTGAATCCTTCTCTGTCTGTATCAGTTTGAAGGTGATCATCTACTAATATGCTGTTGGAGAATCCTGAGGGATGCCGGGTTTATTTGCCAAGTTTATTATTATTATTATTATTATTATTATTATTGTTATTATTATTATTTAATCTTTATATGTTACTGAGTCTTAGGGGTGTGAAAAAATAAAAGATTCAGGGACAAAATATTTTGAGAAGAAAGAGTAGTTTACTTGTAAAGTTTTGCAAGGAAGACTAGATTTCAGAAGAACTGGCTCCTCAAAGGATCATGGCTATTTAAGGCATAAAACCTTCAAAATTATTATCAAGGTCAGAGTTTGTCTACTCACAGTGGAAAGAAAAAGAGCTATTTCCTCACTTGGTTGTCCTTTCTGCAATATATCCATTGCAAAAGCATCAGGGGAAAGCTGTTTTTTTAGGGAGACAGTAACTTATTGGAAAGGGCTCAAGGTTTCCTCTATTATGGGGACTAGAGGTAGACATAGTGGCCTTGTTTTTGTCTTGGTTTTTGTTTCTGCTTTTTTCTCTCTCTGACTATGAGACATGATGTGATGTGCACACTTACTCAAAATGACAAGTCTGCTCTCTCATTGAAAACTAATCCTTTGCATAGTAGGCAGCAAAGCCCAATTCCTTTGAATTACTTAGACTGATACCTGAGAGGAATCTGTCTCCTTACCCAATTCCCATAGCTCCTTCATTTGCCTTAGGAACAGTAGTTTACTGTGACCTGACTTACCACATTGTGGTAACCAACCACTCCTATCTACTGGCATAGGTTTTCTTTCCTCTTACTGTGATTCTTCAGATACACAACAGCATCCCTGCTGGCTAAGCTTATGCTAACCATGCTAGAGAACAGGCTCATTTGGCTCAGCCCTTGACTATACACTATCTAACAAGATAAAATTATTTTAAAATTGATTTGTGAGAGAAGTTTCTTTCTTCAGCAAAATAAGTAAATATCTTCTGTAGGTGAGTAAATACGACCATTCATTTCCTAGTAAGTGAAATTGATCAAATGAAAAGGTGAGGTGTTAATGGCTGTCTGGCATCAGATTGGTGACTGTTAGTGTTGCCACTGGTCAACCTGGAAAATAAGTGGTTAGAAAAAGGCTTATAGTCAGCCACTGAGAATTTGCCACCATTGTCTCAAACACAAAGAAGACATTATGGTAGTTTCATCACTGTTGGTGAATTGCTCCAGGAAGCCTGTAGTTTAAAAATTATAAAGGATGTAAATTCTAGTCCATGATTGAAGAAGTGCTGCTGATGTGATTAAACAGTGTGAACGTGTTGCTTGGTAAGAAAGATTTGGAAAATACTTATTTCTGTCTAATCAAATGAATAATTAACTTTTGAATGAAATGATTAAAAATGTCACCCTATGACACCGGGAAAGAGAATTGGAATAGCAGTTATTACTCCAAAGTTGCTTTTGCATTATCTCACTCAAGTTTTTTTTTAGTGAAGCTTTAAGGTGTGAAACCCAAGCATCTAAAATAGCTCACCTCTTGAGTGTTCTTAGCCATAAGTCTTGGTATGGAAAATACAATGAAGCCTTTGGCAGTTTACCCTGCAGTATGTGTAGGAGTTGCTTTTAAACATACAATTGATCATTTGTGCCTACAAAATTTCTTTCATATACACTTGCCTCTGTAAAAATGCATTTAACATTAATATATACATTCTAAGACTTTAATCTGGATTTTTGGTCTTAAGTCAAACTTGCAAAAGAAGAAAAGAAAGGCTGGAGGAGAGAGAAAAAGAGATAATTAGTTCTGGTTATGGGTGTGTTATGTTACTGCTACTGATTAATAAAAGGAATAGATCTCCTTTCTTTCACTTATAAATTCCAAACAGCAATAGAAAATAGAATTAATAGATTTCAGTCTCATAAAAATCAGGCACCATCTGTAGGATTTAGGAGGGACTTACCAGAGTGAAGCTGCCAATATTGAATGGTGAATGAGTACTGAATCGAAATTTGCAAATGGAAGATTTATGTATTGTAGGTGATGTAAAAACCGAAACTATGAAATTTTGAAGCTCTTCCAATGACTAGAATGGAGGGAAGCCAGAAAAGAAGGGTAATTAATGTTCCTAAGCGCAAGGTCTCATGAATAGAATCAGCCTTTGCTTTATGATTCAAAAATTCTGTGGTAATCAGCAACTGTCATCAATGAAATTAGACCTTATGTCTATCTTACCTAATCAACCTACCCATTAGTGTGCTCACTGAATGTTTATTAAGCATGTGTTATGTGCAGCACCACTGCTGAGTACTGAAATGTCAAATATGGCTAAGACATATTTGCTACTTACAAGAAATTCCTTGTGCAAGGTGATATGATGAGGATTTCTGGTTTTATATTTAGTTAGGAAAGTAGTTTACTCATTCCCATTGTTAAATGGATTTTCTAACTTTGACAAAAAACTGCAAAGCCTAACTTTGGGGTTGGTCTACTCCAGTGGGTAATGATGCATTTACTCAGTGGCCTCATAACTTTTGCACTTTTTGACTGCAATCCAGGACACAGAAGCTTGCTCCTGCTGAAAATGTGGCTTCGGAAAGCTTGGCATCCTGGAACTGGGCTGTATCTAGCTTTATATATGTAGTATAATTGCCATTCAAGTGTATGTTATTGTCAACAAAAATAAATCTGTGCTATCAACACCAAGACAGCAGGTACCAAAACACAGAAAGACTCCTTTTCAATGAGTATACCCTGGGAAAGGTGGGAGGCCACAGAACCAGTTGGGAACAGAAGGACAAGGCAAGCTAGTAGGGTATCAATGCCTGGTGTCATCAAGCGTGAGAGCTGGTCTAATGCAAAAGCTAAGCATTTATGTGCCACTCAGTATAACGCATACTGCTTCTTGGATGAGATCTAATTGAAAATGTTAACATCTGTTGCAAGCATGTGCTAGCAGGAAATAAGGCTTCCAACCATGGAATCTTAAAGAAGAGAGAGGCAAATGGTAAGTGTCCTGAGGCTTGACCCATGAACACGAATGCCTCATCCATAGGGTGCAGCCCTAGGGTTAAGGATGCCTCAGTCCAGCATGTCTCAATGATGGTGAACTGAGGGTGTTGTCTGGTGGCTGGCCTTTGTTATATGGTCACTAGCCCTCCATGTCTTGGAGCTCTAGGCAGAGGCTCTTTTCTTCATAATGCCATAATGCTAATGGTTCTGGGCCATCTGGCCATTAGATGAACATCCTCAGAGCTTGGCTACAGCTCCTACTTTTCACCTGAGTCACAGCCTTCTCCCACTTTTCAAGTCTACTTTCTAGTGCCAAGTTTTCCCCTAAGATTTTTTTTTCTCTCAGATTCTCTTTTGCCATGTTATCTGACTGTCCAAACACCTACCTGCCTGAAATCACTTTATACATCAGGTGGGACATTAATGACTTCTGTCATTCACACTGCTGCCAATTTACCACCAACTTTCCATGGGTGAAACATGGCTTCATTTCCCTTCCTTTCCCACTGACTTTGGCTGAAAGATGTGATGTGGTCACATTTCATGTTAATTGACTGGATGCTCCACAGGGGAGCATCTACTCCATGTGGGGAGTAGAGATGCCCAGGCAAGGTACCTCTTAAACATCTTTTTTTCTTTATATTTTAAAATTACAATGCAGAAATATATAAAAGTATATAGTATATAAAGCATATCAAATATGAAATGAAAATTCTCCCCTTTTGTAACATTTTTCATATTCCACAGAGGTATTCACAGCTGTTTGGCAGGCACACTTGAACCTCTTCACAGCCCTGCAGATGACATATGTGTACATACATCTATAACTGAGCAGGTTTCCTAATAAGTCCCCACCTGTTATCAATGAATTTTTTAAAAAAACGTTTATTTAACATTAGTCCATAAAAACAATGTTAAAGTTCTCAACTTTTTTTTTTTTTTTTTGAGACGGAGTCTCCCTCTGTCACCCAGGCTGGAGTGCAGTGGCGCGATCTCGGCTCACTGCAAGCTCCGCCTACCAGGTTCATGCCATTCTCCTGCCTCAGCCTCCCAAGTAGCTAGGACTACAGGCACCCACCACCACGCCCATCTAATTTTTTGTATTTTTTAGTAGAGACGGGGTTTCACCATGTTAGCCAGGATGGTCTCGATCTCCTGACCTCGTGATCCATCTGCCTCAGCCTCCCAAAGTGCTGGGATTAGAGGCGTGAGCCATCGCACCCAGCGCGTAACAGTTCTCAACTTTTAAAGAATATGAACCACAGTAAGAAACAGATCTTACATCATCACCCAGTACACAATTGCCTGTGTATATATAAGTATAAAAAACAGAAATGATGTGTTTATGAAACACAATACTTACCCTTACTACGTTCAATTCACTCGAATACTTTCCTTTTATGTCTTATTTTATTCCATTTTTTTGGTTTTGTTTTTTTCCCGAGACGGAGTCTCGCTCTTGTTGCCCAGGCTGGAGTACAGTGGCACGATCTTGGCTCACTGCAACCTCCGCCTCCTGGGTTCAAGCGATTCTCCTGCCTCAGCCTCCCGAGTAGCTGGGATTACAGGCACCCACCACCATGCCTGGCTAATTTTTGTATTTTTAGTAGAGACAGGGTTTCACCATGTTGGCCAGGCTGGTCTCGAACTCCTGACCTCGTGATCCGCCTGCCTTGGCCTCCCAAAGTGCTGGGATTACAGGCATGAGCCACCGCACCCAGCCCCTTATTTTATTCTAGACTTTAAAATTAAAAACAATGTCAGTGGTGACCTCCTGGATTGACTTTATGACTGATTAATTGATCATGATCTACAGTTTTAAAAATACCAATTTAAACAGTTCATTTTGGAGCTTGTGTTTTTGGATAATTTCTCAGTTTCTGATTTCTAAATCCCTCCCTGCTTTTTTTTTTTTTTCCGACATCTGAGTGTATGGGGGTGCCTCCCAGGACTTCAGAGTGGTGGAATGTAGCAGTCCCATAGCTCCTATCTGCATATATAATTGCTGTGTATTATGCTTGTGTGAGTATTTTTATAGGCTGTGTATTACTCAAGGTGTAAATGCTGGACCAAAGCATATATGCCTCAGACATTTTAATTTGTGTTGCCAGATTGCTTTCCTAGAAATCATCCATACATGTTTTAGAACACATAAATGCATGTGGGGAGTAGAGATGCCCAGGTAATAATAACAGAGCATTAAGGCAATTCTCATTCACTCTCGGTGTCTAACCAATCCACAGGTATTTTGAAATGTCTCTAATATACACATCACTATGAAATAAAAATAAAAGGAGATATATCCCTACTGCTTCAGGAAGTTGCACGCTAACAACCTCCTAAGTGGCTTTCTGCATCTGTGGACAAGACCCTCATTCTTCAATCTGGTGTTAAAGACTGTTTCCCAATTGTGATTTTACGTTTTTATCTTTAACTTCCTCTACATTTTACCAGGTTCCCATGCCAACCATCCTATACCACTAAATGCCTGCATTCTTTGTTGTATAGTTTTCCCAGCCTAGAATGTCCTTTTTATCCTTCTCTGCCTATTTACATTTTAAATCCTGCTTGTTTGCTAAGCCCCAGTTCAAATCCATCTCTGCAGAGGCCTTTGGAACCCCACTCTAGGCATACAGAAGCAACAGCCTTTGTTGGGGTTTCCACAGCAGTTTGCTTTTATAGCCCTTATTTAATATTCCTTAGTATTATAACTGGGTGTTTATTTTCCCTAATATGATAAAATTCACATACCTTACTCTGGTCTATGAGTCTCTGTGTGATAGGCCTGCTTAATTCTTCTCCATTCATTTATGCCACTCCCTTTTGGCCATCTACTCACCCATGAGCCCTCCTGATGCTCCTGAAACATGCCAGCCTCATCCCATCGTGGGGAACACTCTTCCTCAGACCTCTGCATGACTGGCTGTTTTTCTTCATTTATGGGCTAACTCATTTTCTTAGAGAGGCCTTTCTAGGCTGGCTACCTAATCTAAAGTAGCCACCCAATCACTCTGCTGTACACCTATTTTTATGGCACCTATTACTACCTAATTTTCTTTGTCCATTGTCTACCTAGCTTCACTATAATGTAAGCTCCATGGGAGCCAGAATAGTTTTTGTTTTATTCAGAGATGTGTCCTCATGATCCAGAACAGTGTCTGGAACAGAGTAGGTGCTTATTAAATGGTTGTTGGATTAATACAATGAATGGAGTAGGTATTCCTTAATAGAAGGACCTATGCTGATCTTTGAATCTCTACAGTTCTGAACACAGTAGCTTGAACATAATCAGAGCTCAAATAATGTTACAGACTAAATTAATACATCTTATATGAGAGTAAAGAAGTGAAAAATAAACAGTGGTAATCTCAGAATCCTTCATAAAATGAGTGGCTATTTTATATAATGTAAATGAATATATAGTACTATTTTCTGAAACAAGAAGCCAAATGTTAATTTAATATCTACTATATGCAAAGCACTTTAAATTGTATTACATAATTTAATTTTCTGAGCAATTCTATGTGTTATTATACTCTGGTATATGGTCTAACTGCCTATTCCATGCTATTTCATTATATACATGTCAATAATGTTATAAAAATCTTTGGAAATTAAAGAAATATAGTGCTGAAAATCACTGTCTTTGAGCTGGTTGGTGCAACTTTTATAATTTTTCCATCAAATATTGTTTTCTCTTCAGAGTGAAATGGTTTCTTATTTGTTGATGCTGATAATCAAAGAAAAGAGCAAGTCTTGATCCAGTCTGATGGACACCCCTCATGTGTCTGTCAGTGTGTTCCACTGATGTGTCCATTCTTAGAACAGAATTTTGTAATCTCATGTCTCTCAAAATGACTTTAATGTGGTTTTTAAGTAAGCACTCATTTTCTTTTTTAATGGTAGTATGAGGTAATATTTTTAAGGGATAAATGACGATGTGGAGAAATGTTTACTTTTGTTGTGTGTCACACGTTCAATGTCTAATTTGTTCATTTTTGGTCCTTGGTAGATGACCGCCACTCAGGCAGGAAGCTCAGGACCCCACAGCCACTACAGGGCATGTTCATTGGTCCTATAGCTCAAACACTTGGGATGTAGCCTCATGTTGTGCATAGCAAAGGTCCCAGTTCAGTCCCTAAGCATTTTTTTTTTTTTTGGTTTTACAACTTGATAAAATTTTTGGAACTATCATTTAATAGTCAAGAGATTTCTCTCTCTTACACACATGCACACACACACACACCTACCTGGTTTCTCTTGAAAAATTAAAATATGCAGCAACATTAACTCGCATTCTATGTGGTAATAATTAAGAGCTGAGCCACAGCTGTTCATTTTAGATGGAACTTGCACCCTCTCCTTGGTTTACTACTGCTTTACCATTCTTGCATGATCTGGACAGGCTTGTTCATTATTCTACTGCTTGGTTCTCAATCCTGGACTCATGTTTGAGTCACGTGGCAACTTTTTATAATGCTGGGACCCAAAATTAGAGATTTGACTAATTTACTGTATTAGGCTGTTCTCACATTGTTGTAAAGAAATGCTTAAGGATCGGTAATTTATGAATAAAAGAAGCTTAATTGGCTCACTGTTCTGTAGGCCATACAGGAAGCATGGTGCCAGTGTCTGCTTGCCCTTTGGTGAGGCCCCAGGAAGCTTTTACTCATTGCAGAAGGCAAAGTGGGAGCAGACACATCACGTGGCTAGAGCAGGAGCAAGAGAGGATTGGGGGGAGGTGCCACACACTTTTAAACACCAGATCTCATGAGAACTCACTGACTATTGTGAGAATAGCACCAAGCCATGAGGGATCCATCCCATGACTCAAACGCTCCCACCGTGTCCCACCTCCACCACTGGGGATTAAATTTCAACATGAGATTTAGAGAAAACACATATTCAAACTATATCATTCTGCCCCTGGTCCCTTAAATCACATGTTCCTCTCACATTAAAAAGTACAATCATCCCCTGCCAATAGTCTCCCAAAGTCTTAATTGTTCCAACATTAACTCAAAAGTCCCAAGTCCCAAGTCCAAAGACTCATCTGGAGATAAATTCCTTCCACCTATGAGCCTGTAAAATCAAAACAAGTTATTTACTCCCAAGATACAATGGGAGTACAGGCACTACATCAATATTCTTGTTCCAAAAGGGATAAATTGGCCAAAAGAAAGGGGCTACAGGCCTCATGTAAGTCTGAAACCCAGTAGGGGAGTCATTAAATCTTAAAGCTCCAAAATAATCTCCGTCGACACCATGTTCCACATCCAAGGCACACTCGTGTGAAGGGTGGGCTTTCAAGGTCTTGGGCAGTTCTGCTTCTGTGGCTTCACAGGTTCCAGACCCTGGAGCTGCCTTCATGGGCTGCAGTTGAGTGCCTACAGCTTTTCCAGGTGCAGGATGAAAACTGCTGGTGGAGCTACCATTCTGGGGTCTGGGGGATGGTGGCCCCCTCCCCACAGACCACTAGGACTGCCTCAGAACTCTGTATGGGGCCTTGAACTCCATATTTTCCTTCCACACTGCCTGAGTAGAGGTTCTCTTTGAGGCCTCTACCCCCACAGCAGGCTTCTGTCTGGGCAGCCAGGCTTTCTAATATCTAGTTGGAGGCTATGAAGCCTCCTTCACTCTGGCACTCTGCATGTCTGTGGGCTTAATACCACATGAAGCCACCAAAGCTTATGGCTTGTGCCCTCCAGAGCAGTGGCCTGAACTATACCTGGGGCCCTTTGAGCCACAGCTGGAGCTGAGTGGCCAGGACAAGAGAAACAGCCTTCTGAAGTGGCACAGGGCAGTGATGCCTCAGGGCTGGCCCATGAAGCCATTCAGTCCTCCTGGGTCTCTGGGCCTGTGATGGGAGGGGCTAACTTGAAGATACCATTGTCTTGGCTATCAGCACCTGGCTCTTTTTTTAGTCATGCAAATCTCTCTAACAAGTGGCTACTCTCCAGCCTGCTTGGATTATTCCCCTGAAAAAGCTTTTTCTTTCTTTGCCACATAGCCAGGCTGCAAATTTTCGAAACTTTTATGCTCTGCTTCTCTTTTAATGATAAATTCCAACTTTAAGTTATTTATTCACTCTCACATTTGAATGTAGGCTGTTAGAGGCAGCCAGGCTACATCCTGAATGCTTTGCTGCTTAGAAATTTCTTCTGTTGACAAAAAGAGTCGAACTCTGTAAAATATTTGAAGAGATTTATTCTAAGCCAAATATGAGTGACGATGGCCCATGACACAACCCTCAGGAGGTCCTGAGAACATGTGCCCAATGTGTTCAGGACACAGCTTGGTTTTATACATTTTAGAGAGGCATGAGACATCAATCAAATACATTTAAGAAATACATTGGTTTGGTCCAGGAAGGTGGAACGATTCAAAGCAGGGGTGCTTCCAGGCTGTGGGTAAATTTAAACATTTTCTGGGTGACAATTGGTTGAGTTTGTCTAAAGATCTAGGATTGATAGGAAGGGGATGTTCAGGTTAAGATAAAGACTGTGGAGACCAAAGTTCTTTTGAAGTCTTATAGTGGCTGCCCTTAGAGACAATAGATGACAAATGTTTCCTATTGAGTTCTTAGTTAATCTCTTTAGGATTGGGAGGATTTGTAAGAAAAAGATCTAGCTATGTTAATAGAGATTTTTACATATGCAAATTTCCCCCCACAAAGAATAGCTTTGTAGGGCCATTTCAAAATATGGTAAAGAAACATGTTTTGGGGTAAAATATTTTGATTTTCTTCCTTGTCTCGTAATGTTATGCCAGAGTCAGGTTGGAAAGTAAATCATGATATACAGGGTTAAATAAAACCCATCTGATAAGAAATTATGATTTGTAGGGCATGACTCCCTAGACCCCTTAGATAGGAATTTGGGCAAGATAAAAAAATCAGAGTTTGGTCCTTACTTTCATCAGATATACTAAATCACCACTCTTAAGTTAAAATTTCCACAGAGCTCTAGGGCATGAGCACAATGAAGCCAAGTTCTTTGCTGAGGCATAACACAGGTGACCTTTGCAGTTCCCAATAAGTTCCTCATTTCTGTCTGAGACCTCCTCAACTCAGGCTTCACTGTCCATATTACTATGAGCATTTTGGTCACAATTGTTTAACCAGTCTCTAAGAAGTTCCAAACTTTCCCTCATTTTCCTGTCTTCTTCTGAGCCCTCCAAGCTTCCAAGCTCTTTCAACCTCTGCCCATTACCCAGTTCCAAAGTTGCTTCCACATTTTCAGGTATCTCTATAGCAATGTGCCCCTCCTTGGTACCAATTTTATTAGGCTGTTCTTGCATTGCTATATGGAAATACTTGATGCTGGGTAATTTATAAAGCAAAGAAATTTAATTGACTCATGGTTTTGTAGGCTCTACAGGAAGCATGGTACTGACATTGGCTAAGCCCCTGGTGAGGACTCAGGAAGTTTTGATTCATAGCAGAAGGAAAAGTGGGAGCAGTCACATCACACGGCCAGAGCAGGAGCAAGGGTGGGAAGAGGTGCCACACATTTTCAAACAACCAGATCTTGCAAGAACTCACTATTGCAAGGACAGCACCAAGCCATGAAGGATCCACTTCCATGATCCAATCATCTCCCACCCGGCCCTACCTCCAACACTGGGGATTACATTTCAACATGAGATTTAGATGGGATACATACCCAAACGCTATCATTTACTAAACCAAAATAATGAAAAATTCTAGTGTGTAAGCAAATGAAAAAAAAAAAGCATATACATATCACCAGAAATAGCCAGATTGAAGAATGGGCAGAGGAGCTCTAAGAGATAAGATGGAACCCTCCATTCCCACTCTCCTAGAACAGCCTTCAAAACTGCATCAAGGTCCTCCAGCTTTCTCAAGGCATTTTGGCTTGTCTTTGATTAGTATTAGAATAAAGCGCAGCTGATGGTGCCAACGAAATTTTGTTGCCTTGCTCTGGGCATGAGCCTCATTTTATACAATGTACAAATACATAAATTTCTTTTCTTTCTTTCTTTCTTTCTTTCTTTCTTTCTTTCTTTCTTTCTTTCTTTTCTTTCATTTTCTTCTTTTGAGACAGTCTCACTCTGTCATCCATGCTGGACTGCAGTGGTGTGATCTCAGCTCACTGCAACCTCCACCTTCTGGGTTCAAGCAATTCTCATGCCTTAGCCACCCCACCCTCCAAGTAGCTGGGCATACAGGTGTGCACCACCATGCCTGGCTAATTTTTGTATTTTTAGTAGAGATGGGGTTTCACCATGTTGGCCGGGTTGGTCTCAAACTCCTGACCTCAGGTGATCTGCCTGCCTCGGCCTCCCAAAGTGCTGGGATTACAGGCGTGAGCCACCACGCGCAGCCCAAATACATAAATTTCATACTTAGAGGAAGCTTTGCAGAAGAATTCACAATAGTTTTCCTATAAATCATCAGCTCTCCGAATAATTCAAGTTATATTCAGGTTACAGATTTTACACATGAATTTTGGCTATTTTACTGCTGTGTACGATCAAGTTTTTTTGAAATTATTTGTGAATGGGTGTTAATTTTCATGGTTTATATATACTATTATGGAGAGATAACTTCAGAATAATTACTTTCATTTTAGATTACACATGAATCCAGTGGTACATCAAATCAATTAGTATATGCTAATAAATGGCTTACCATTAAATCCTATATTGTTGAAATCACACATTAAATGAGTTTTTTTCTAAATCAGATCACTAGAAAATGTAATTGACCCATCCAGATATGCAACAAACTCCTACTAATTGAAAACCATAATTCATTTTAATATTAGCAATATTTCTATCATAAAATATATCATTAATTCAAAAATAATTTAAATTTAAATTTTCTTTTTTAATCAAAGTAAATGGCTCAGCAAACTCAGTTTCTGAGTTTATTATTAATTTTGTATGTTAAAGGAATTATATACTTATATACATTATAATATGATGTAGCCTTGTTATAAATTCTAATTTTGCTTGTAAGTTATACATTTTTTTATCTCTGCCATAGGCAGTCATATGAATTGATGAGTATTTGAAATTCATATAATTTTAAGAATTCTATAATTCAAATTTTTGACTTAGACTAGTCTGCCCCTTATTACAGTTTAATGAGGTTTTATTACATATTTCCTAATCAATCAATTACTATATGAAGAAAATTTTATGTAGACACAAAAAACATAAATATGCCCTCAAAGAGGATGAAGCCAAAAATAGGAAAAAAAAAAAAAAAGACATAAAGGTGGTCCCAGAAGGGAACTGATAAAAGTGTGTTATTTTTTTCTGAATTTTGTGACATTTGTGGAATGTCAACTTTTTAAAATTTTTAAGTTGTGGTGATTTCTTTTTCATTCTAAGTATATATTTATAACAAATTTTATAACTGTAATTTTGTATTATTTCTATAAAGAAATCGCTTCCCTTACCCTCCAATTGTGTAAACTTCAGGCCCTATACAACCTAGATTCATTCCTGCCTATGATCATATATTTTATTCACTATGTTATTGAAAGAGCCTGAGGCACACTCCTGGAGACTCTCACCAGGTTGACACCAAGTTGAGTTGTTCAACCAGCTAAAAAGTAACTGTACTTGCACTCTAAGTGCACATATCTTGCATACCTTCACGGGTGCCGCTTGTATATTATGAGAGATATAATGGTCTAATATCATTTGGTAATATGATTACGTGTTTTATTGTTACCTTAATGAACAAAGTTGGCATGTGTATAGAAAATAAAAGTGATCAATTTCAGCATTCTTTGCAGTAATTATTCCATTCTTTTAACACTAACAAACCACACACTTATTTACCTATTACAGAATGTTGTAAAGGCATGATGTCTGGAGCATTTATCAGTATTTAAGATCTGTAATCTATTTATTTAGAAAAAGAAAACATATAGCAAATTGCAAATCTAAAAAGCTGACACAAACACTGTAATAGCTATGAAAATAACAACAATTTGTAATTTTTGTACATATCTTTGTAATACCTTTTTTTCCTTTGTTTTTTTGGATGCTTACTCTTTGATGGTCTCTTTATATGAGAATAGTTTTGAAATGTCAGAGAGAATGTAAAGATAATTGTCCTATCTCTAGAATGGTTAATTAAAATTTGTTTTGGTAATGCCATGTGACTTTTTAGAATAGTTGTCAAATTTGGAAAAATTTCTATGAGTTTCTTTCATACGAAAGCTGTAAGATTTGAAAGAATTAATTTTTGGCTTTATATATTTCACATCTTGTTTTTCCTTCAGTCCCACATACTTGTGTGCTGGATGCTTTAGGACACATGTGATCGAGGGGAAGATGAAGCAGAAGATCAAGAACTGATTATAGTTAAAATATCTTACTTATGCTAATTCTACAAAAACTTACAACCATGTAGACACATTGTTAGAGCCCCTCCCAGGGTCTTAGAAGGTGTCAGTGTAAGTGAGGGGTCCTGAAAGCTTAACTTTTATTCTCTTTATTGTAAAATCCACATTTAACAATAGAATTAAAATACAAAATTATCTCAAACTTCAGACTGAAATAGACAGATGAAATTTAACTTAATAAAAGTAAAATAAAGCAAGGTCAAAATATGAATTTCACAAGCACGTTAAAGGTCACATGATGAATTAGGATTTTAGATGACCTCCATTTTATCATGAACCAACTGTATGATGCAAACATAGAAATGGCTAGCACAATAATGGGCCACATTAATAGAAATAGTTTCCAGATCATGGGACCTAATAATTCCTCAAAAAGCTGTCTTGGTCAGATCACAGCTGCAATAATATGTCCAATTTAGACTCCATAATTTAGGAGGCATTGTGACCAATTAGATTGTATCCAGAATAAGCCATTTAAACTGGTAAAAACATACCAATCCTTCTCAAACCCTTTAAACAAATTGAGCAGGGAACACTTCCAAGCTCATTTCGTGAGACCGTCATTATCCTACTACCAAAGCCAGACAAGGACACTACAAAAAAAGAAAACTATAGGCCGATATATCTCATGAACATAGATTAGAGAATCCTCAATAAAATAGTAAATTGAATTCAACAGCACATTAAAAGGATCAAGCACCATGATCAAGTAAGATTTATTCCTGGAATGCAAGGATGATTCAAAATATGTAAATCAATAAATGTGATATACTACATTTAACACAATGAAAGATAAAAACCATATGATCATCTCGATAGTTGTAAAAAACCCTCACCACTTGACTGTATTCAATATCCCTTAATGATAAAAACTCTCAACAAATTAGGTATAGAAGAAACATACCTCAACATAATAAAGGCCATATATGACAAGCCCACAACTAACATCATACTCAACAGGTGGGAAGCTAAAAGCTTTTC
The DNA here is from genome assembly GCF_000001405.40 of Homo sapiens. Classification (NCBI taxonomy): domain Eukaryota; kingdom Metazoa; phylum Chordata; class Mammalia; order Primates; family Hominidae; genus Homo; species Homo sapiens. Next base: position 53,487,209 of record NC_000014.9, read on the forward strand.
TTTGAAGATGAAGAACAAGACAAGAATGACCACTTTTGCCATTTCTATTTAACATAGTACTGGAAGTTCTAGCCAGAGCAGTTAGGCAAGAAGAAATAAAAGAAATATAAGGATAAAATCCAAATCAGAAAAGAAGAAGTAAAATTGTCTCTTTTTGGAGAAGACATAATTTTGTATATAGGAAACCCTAAAGACTCCACCAAAAAATGGTTAGAGCCAATAAACAAATTCAGTAAATTTGCAGGATACAAAATAAACACACAAAAATTAGTTGTATTTCTATACACTAACAGACTATCTGAAAAAGAAATGTGAGAAACAATTCAATTTACAATAGCAGCAAAAAATAAAATACTTAGGAGTTTATTTAGCCAAAAAGGTGAAAAACTTACATACACTGAAAATTATAAAGCATTGATGAAATATACTGAATAAGACACATATAAGTGGAAAGATATCCTGTGTTCATGGATTGGAAGAATTAAAATTGTTAAAATATCCATACTACCCAAAGTGACCTACAAATTTAATGCAACCTTTATCAAAATTCCAATGACATTTTTCACAGAAATAGAATAAAATTCCTAAATTCGTATAGAACCACAAAAGACCCTAGATAGTCAAAGCAATCTTGAAAAAGAAGAACAAACCTGGAAGCATTACATTACTTGACTTCAAAATATACAACAAAGCTAATATAGCCAAACCAATATGGTACTGGCATTAAAAACAGACATATAGAGCAGTGAAACAGAACAGAGAGCCCAGAAGTAAACTCACCCATGTGCAGTGGTAATCTTTGACAAAGATGCCAAGAACACACAATGGGGAAAAGATATTCTCTTCAATAAATGGTGTTGGGAAAACTAGATATCCACATGTAAAAGAATGAAACTGCATTTTCTCTTTCACCATAAACAAAAATCAACTCAAAATGGTTTAAAGACCTAAATGTAAGACCCAGAAAAAAACATAGAAGAAGAGCTCCTTGACATTTGTCTTGATAATGATTTTATGAATATGACTCTAAAAGGACAGGCAACAAAAGCAGAAATATGCAAGTGAGACCACATAAAACTAAAATTTTTCTGCACAGCAAGGGAAACAATCAACAAAATGAAAAGGCAACCCATGGAATGGGAAAAACATTTGCTAAATTACATATTTGATAGTGGGCTAATATCTAAAATAAGGATATTCCAATATAAGGAACTCATATAACTCAGTACTAAAAATACAAATAATCCTGTTTTACAATAGACAAAAGACCTGAACAGACATTTTCTCAAAGAAGACATACAAGACATTCCATGAGATATTGCCTCATACCTGTTAAGATGGCTATTACCAAAAAACTAAATGATAAGTTTTGGTGAAGTTGTGGAGCAAAGGGAACCTTTATACACTGTGGGTAGGATTGTATACTGGTATAGCCATTATGGAAAACAGTATGGAGGTTTCTCAAAGAACAAAAATAGAACTACCATATGATCTAGTTATCCCATTTCTGGATATATAGCCAAAGGAAATGAATTCAGTATCTCCAATAGATATGTTCATTGCAGCATTATTCACAATAGCCACAATATGAAAACAATCTAAGTATTGGTAATTAATGCATGGATGAATTAAAAATATGGTATATATAGATATATACAATGGAATATTATTCAGCCTTTGAAAAGAAGGAAATCTTACAATTTGCAACAGCATGGATGAACCTAGAGGACATTATGCTAAGTGAATTAAACCAGACACAGAAAGGCAAATACTGCATTATCTCAATTATATGCGGAATCTAAAGAAGTTGAACTCGTAGAAACCAAAAGTAGAAAGGTGGTTTCCAGGGGATAAGTGATGAGGAAAATGGGAGGATTTTGGTCAAAGGATACACATTTTCAGTTATAAGTCAAATAAGTTCTGAAGATCAAATGTACAGCATGATAACTAGAGTTAATAATATTGTATGCCTGGAATTTGCTAAAGGAGTAGATCTTAAGTGTTTTCATCACACACACACACACAGAGTAATATGAGGTGGTGGATATGTTAATTAGCTTGATTATGGTAGTTATGTATATGTGTATACATACATCAAAACATCATATTGATATATGCAATATTTATTTATTTTATTTATTTTGAGATGAAGTCTCATTCTGTTGCCCAGGCTGGAGTGCAGTGGTGCGATCTTGGCTCGCTGCAACCTCCACCTCCTAGGTTGAAGTGATTTTCCTCCCTCAGCCTCCCAAGGAGCTGGGATTACAAGTGCCCACCACCATGCACAACTAATTTGTTTTTTTGAGATTAGTCTCCAGCACTTTCTCCCAGGCTGGAGTGCAGTGACATGATGTCAGGTCACTGCAACCTCTGCCTCCTGGGTTCAAGCCATTCTCCTGCCTCAGCCTCCCAAGTAGCTAGGCCTACAGGCCACCATGCCCAGCTAATTTATATTTTTTTTTTAGTAGAGATGGGGTTTCACCATGTTGGCCAGGCTGGTCTCGAACTCCTGACATCAAGTGATCCACCTGCCTTAGACTCCTAAAGTGCTAGGATTACAGGCATGAGCCACTGTGCCTGGCTGATATATGTAATTTTTAAATATGTGAAATTTTTATTTGCCAAGTAGACCTTATTATAGCTGGAGAAAAAATATAAGCTTAGAGAATAATGGGTGAGGGAACTGGTAAAGACAGTTGGAATTCATGGCACCAAATGAGTAGTTAATGAACCTGAGAATGTTAGATGAATACTTAAGGGAACACGATTCTATCTTCAAATACCTGAATGCTGTTTTACCAAAGAGAATTTTATAGAAAAGTTGTTCTAAATTGCCACCAGTGGGCAGGGATAATATCAATTAGTATTTTATTTCAATCTGACAAGTAGTTTTCTGATATTACGGTTGCTTGCAATGGACCTGGCCATCCCTGGAATATTTGAGGGAGTTGAAGTATTAAACATTGTGACCAGATATTGGTATCACAAAGAAGGGCTTTGTGTGAAAGCAACAATATTTATTTAACACTTACTCCTAGCCAGTTACTGTTATAAATACTTGCAAAGGGTAAAGAGCAGAAAGAGATGGCCCTCTTGGCTTCTCTTTCTAATATTTGGTAGTTCTGAGGAAGTGATTTTAAAAATCATTGCTTTGGCCAACACATTAAGAAACAGCCATTTTTTTTTCTGCTGGTAATTTCATTGTCATGCTTATTATATGAGCATTTCTGATTGAAATGACCCACCTTAGTATTTTAAAAATGTTATAAATTCAAGGTCTATGTTTACAGATGAGAGAGTTACAGTTCCTGTTACTTTTTACATCATCAATCCTAGTTTATTTTTGTGTAATGGATGACGGTAAGAGTGTAGACCGAAGCTGGACTCCCTGGTTCTCAACTCCATCACTTAAGCTGTATGTCTTTCTGTGCTTCGCTTTTTAAAACTGTACAATGGGAATACAGTAATAATAGGACTACTCCATATGACTGTTTTGAAGATTGAGTGACTTATTCTATGTAAATCACTTGGAATGTTGTTGGGCATTAAAATGGTGTTGTTTCCAATGGCTGTCAATATGTCACTTGTTTTTATTTTTCCATTTATTCATTCATTCAACACATATTTGTATTGAGTGCCTAACGTGGACCAACACTGTGCTAAGGGCTGAGGATTTATTTGTGAACATTGAAGGTGTGGTCGCTAACTTCACGAAGTTTATAATCCAGTGGGTTTTTATGCAGCCAATGTCAAAACTAGGGAAAAATAATTGTTAGTATCTCAGTTAGCAACTTATGGCCCAATAATGCTTATTAAGGATAATGACTAGCACTCCTAAAACTTTAGTTCTACTAAAAACTTAAACCTCTGTGGTCCCTAATTTTACTAAGGTTTCGTGTGTGTGTGTGTGTGTGTGTGTGTGTGTGTGTGTGTGTGTGTGTCTTTCTTTAAGAAAGGTTTCAACCATGGAACTGATTAAAAGACAGTAGAAATGAAGCATGACTACCCAATCTCTATGATGAAAATGATGATGATTTTACTGGTAGATGAAAATTGGCCAGAAACGTGAGGACAGAGAGAAATGGAATCTGTAACTTTCTCCCTGTTGATGAAGTTCTACCAGAGGATACTACTAATTGTAAACAATCCAAGTGAACCACTGTGATCTATCAACAGTGAAAGATATGTGAGTAATAATAAGAACATTGGGTTTTATAGCTCCTTGGTTAACCAAAGTCTTTAGTGAGCTCTCCAAGGGCAATCTCCCTTTTGGTAGAGACTGAATCCTTTTCCTAACTTTAAACACCACTGAGTCTTTAAATTATTATTGGCAAGTTAAGGGATTTTGAGGTCTTCTCAAAAAATGTTACATGCTGTTAATTGATCTGTCCTCTGTTAACACTTTAGATAGAATAAATAGACTTATGTTCTTGGGATTTGAGATTGGAATTTTTTTTGACTTGTGTAAATGTTAAAGCAGTTACTCAGATCTTAGAGCCATTTCCTTTGTATTCTGAGTTCCAATTGGAAGCTTAGCTTCTAACATGCCTTGGCAAGTCTTTCTTCTCTACAATTAACACGTTCAGTTTAACACCAGTTAATCAAATGTCATATTACTTTTTATGCTATTAAGTTTGTTTTCCTACGTGCTATGTGTGTTTAACATTAAATTTGAATTAAAGTGTTATTTCTGAAAGAATTTTTTCCTCTTCTTTCCCCATTTCTTAAGCGAGACCATGATTTTGTGGCAAAACTACTATAACAAACCTGTGATTTTCATTAAAAATTTTAGTGACATTCTTTTCTAATTATAAGTACAGAGTGGGCGAGTCCAAGAATTTGTGTACCAATTAAAAAATGTCAGCTACACCCTTGTTTTTATCTGTTTGCTCAAGCAAGTTGGATTCTTTGAGATCTTGAAAGAAACACATTTTCTTTTCATTAGTAACAGTGCATCAGATTGTTAAGTGCAATCAAGCAAGCGTGCCTAATCCAGACCCCAATTCCGGAGCACAAATGAACATATGAAGGATTTTTCATTAAAAAAATTACCGTAGTAAAATATACATAATGTAAAATTCACCGTCTTAATCATTTTAAGGTGTACAGTTCAGTGGCATTAAGTACATTCACACTGTTGTGCAACCATCACCACCATCCACCTCCAGAACTTTTTCATCTTCTTGAACTGAAACTTTGTACCCCTTAAACAATAGCTCCTCATTCCCCCATCTCCCTACAGCCCCTGACAACCAGTATTCTACTTTCTGTCTCTATAAATATAACTCCTCTAGGTACTTCGTGTAAGTGGAATCATATAGTATTTGTCCTTTGGTGTCTGGCTTATTTCACTTAGCTTAGTGCCTTTAAAGGTAATCCAGTAACATAAGTCAGAATTTCTTTCCTTTTTATAATAACATTATTTTTATAATAATATTCTGTTGTATGTATATACCACCTTTTATTTATTCATCTGTCAATGGACACTTGGCTTGCTTCCACCTTTTGGCTATTGTGAATAATGCTGTTATAAACATGGGTGTACAAATATCTGTTCCAGTCCCTGCTTTCAGTTCTTTTGGGTATTCATCCAGAGGAGAATTGCGGGATCATATGGTAATTCTATTTTTAATTTTTGAGGCACCACCATACCGTTTTCTGTAGTGACTACACCATTTTTTAACATTCTGAATAGCGGTGCAGAAGGGTTTCCATTTCCTCACATCCTCACAGACACTTGTTATTTTCCGTTTGTTTTTTTCTCATGATAGACCTCCTAATGAGAGTTTACTAAGGCTTTTTTCTAAATTACTAGTATGTTATTGTAACTTCTTATATGCAGATACAAAAGATATAAAATTAAATGTTTTCATTGGATATATGCAAAAACATAGAATTTCTTAATTATGTTCCTGTTTAAATAATACATCTCCAGTATAATAGAATAGTAGACACAATGAATAAAAATATCTAACAAGTGGAGGAAAAGACTAAGAAAAGAGGAACAGTGGAAGACCTCCAAATTGAACTAGAAAACTCTTCCCAAGTGATACTTGACATGTACCAATTAATGGTTGGGGTGTTTGGGTGCTTTTGAAAACATCTAAAACATGTTATGATAATGAAACTTTATAATTTATATTAATAAAAAGGTGACAACATACTTAACAACACTCTTTTTTAAACATCCAAATGTACACAGCAATGTCTGTTTTTTATGTGCTCTAGTTAAAACTCCACAGCCTTGGTTTTACAAACACATTCAGTATATGACAACACATTCCTATGTTTATACTCCTTTTTCCCTCAGGCTTTTCACTGTTTTCAAGGTTCATTACCCTGACCTGAACTCCCCAGTTTTGCCCTGGTAGAAAGTGGATTACTTCATTAGCGATCCAGAAGTGCCAGGTGAAAATCTATCTAACATCTACCTCTCTGGAACAAATATGCCCAGTTACTGGTAATATAACATGTGGTATCGTTTTTCCCTTATTTGGAACATACAGAACTAAATTAATAACAGTTCTTACAAGACCCTGGGGGTTTGTGTAAAAGAATTTTGATCTCCTTAGGAAGGGCGCGTCAGTGCTCTCAGGAGAGATGCACTTGACTTTTGACCTCTTTTCAAAGGCACCTGTGTGAGCTTTTAAAATCCACTACCACCAATTATCCACTTTCAACCTGAAGTGTTTAAACCTAGGACCACATTAACTGAGCTTAGCACATAGCCATGTCATTGTAGACTTCCTGATGTGAGGAGATGTCTTGACATAGTTAAAAGGGAGTTTAGGGATGGGGCATGAGATTAATCAGGTCCTCCTACTGACAGCTTCAAACAAAGAAGCCTTTTAGCCACCTGGTTTGTGTCTCTCACACCTGCATTCAGATTGCTGGGACAAAGCTTTGTACCACTGCCTTGATCCCATCCTTTCCAGGTACTTGTTTGTAGCTGCGCTACATCACTTAATGACTCTTTAGAAAAGGCAGCATAGGAGATGCAAATCAACAGCTTCCTCTTTCAGGGAAGGCAGTGCTGCTAGAATTGCAGCCATTTAGAAAATCAGTTCATAATGGACTTATGAAGTCCTGTGTGTACTTTCTTCAAGACTTTTGGAAAGAAGGCTCCAGCTCACAGTATACATATATACATAATTCTTTCTTCTGCTATCATTTTCTTGGAAATTTAAACCAGGGTGAATATACATTTCTCTCTTCTTGCTTCATATTGTTGTTAGTTGGTTTCTTTGGCAGTAAATGTGGCTTTGATTTTAGTCTCTGAACTTATTAAATTTAACATTTTATTTTTTACTTTTGGCATGGAAGACTCAAGCACTGTAGCACTAAGTTATTCCAACATTCAGGAGGCCAGAGAAATTTTGTGAAAGTGAGACTCTAGTTATCTAGCACAGCCCTTTAGCCTTCACATGCTACAGAGTTTCAGCAACAGCCAGTGACTGCATTGTTCCCTGTAAGCAAGTAATGCAGAAATATTAGAGGCCTAGTTGAATTCATATTCTATGCCTGGTTTATATCACTGATGTTGTAAGATCTGGCCATGGACTAAAAAAAAAAAAATCCAAATGTTTTCTGGTTCTAGTTTTTGATTTTTTTTTCATATGAAAAGTAATACCATACAGAATTTCTTGATTGCACAATGAAGCACAGTTCCAGGGCCATGCTAATAATTTATCCCAGTTTAGCCTTAGCAGAATTATCCAATGGCTGTTTCAAATATATTCATCCAAGCCATTTGATTGTAAGGTTCAAGAGTCGTTCTGCTGAATAAAGAATGGAGTATGTGCTCTAATATGTGTTTGGCAGGTAAGGCAATCTGTTACTCTCCTATGGAGAACTGAATCTTTTTAAATTTCTGCTCCCAGTTGTTTTAATGACTCTGTTTCCCCAGTAGCTATCTGGTGCTATGTCAATGGTAACTGTGGAATTTATCATAACAATGACAACAGCAATAGCTACAATAACAACAAAGAATATGTGCCAGGTACTATACAAAGAGTTTTATGTATTTTAGCTCATGTACTTCTCCAAGCAATGAGAAAAAATTTTCTTCTAAAATACTATACCCAGTTTAATAATAAGGGAGCAGCTCATAGGAGAAAGTAATTTGCCCAGAGTCATATGCTTCTTAAGTGGGAGATCCAGAATTTGAACCCTGGCACTTTGATTCTCTAACCCATGATCTTAATAAAAGTACTATAAATAGAGTCCAACATGTGTGACAATTTTTGACAATGAGAGCAAACCTACTGACATTTTACATTTAAGAAATTTTCACACCAGAAGTTAAGTACTTGGGTTGGTCAAGGGACAAAACAACAGCAACAACAACAACAAACCGGAACCAAAGGGAAACTGCTAGAGATGTGTGTACAAGAGGAGTGAAGTATCATTACCTTCTATTCTTGATTTTAAGGAAATTATATGAAGTGAGAAAAAAAGGGATGTGGTATCCTCCTCCCACCCTACATATACTCTTGATAATGAAAAGTTTCTTTCTAATACAGTGTACTTGAATTAATGCAAGTGAAATGTTTATTTCCCTTCTATTAATTTTGGAAACATTGTTTTTTTGGTAACTTTTTATGGGAGCATAGGTGAGATTATCACAAAGGTTGCCAAAGTGATGTTTGCAGATTGATGGTCTTTGTTTATAACGTAGTTTTAACTTGGTGATCTATCATGTCTTTGCAAATAGTGTCTCGTATGTAGCAATTGTGAGATGTCTTGTCTTTGTAGATGAGAATGATTTTAGTAATCGTGAGGAGACTGCCCTGTATGTGGAAGCCTGTTGAGAAAGAAATGGGTTTGGTGCATGCATGTGAATGTCAATCTGTTTTCAATCTTCAGGGCTGAGCTTGGCTCTTTCTACTTCTGTTTCACAAGGAAAGCAGTGGGAAAGAAACGCAGTAACAAGCAGGTACCTGTGGCGCTCCCCCAAGCCCTCCCAGTCATTTAGCAGATGTGCCTTGTGACACACTCTTCACGGTGAAGTTTTTGTATAGAAATACATGAGTATCAAATGGCTGCCATAGAGGTTCCCAAGACGGGGCACACACCAACTCAGAATAAAAAAGAACCAAAATAATGCTCAAGGAAGACGGAGGAGCCGGGAGTCAATCACTATGTCAGTAAGGTGTGGAGTGAAATTGCCCTCCAATTTGTTTTCCCCACCCCTCCATTGCCTGCCACACCCACCCCCATCAGATTAATACACCACCAGGAAAGAATTTTAGAAACCAGAGGTGGAAAGACTGCCCCCTAGGTCAAGTCCTCCATTCCTCTGTCAAACCTGGATCAGCCTCCCAACACTCTGTGCCCTTTCTAGTTGTTGCTCAACTTGAAGTGTCTCAAGCGTAAATTTTCCTTTCTTACTTTTATCCCATTACTTGTAGTTACAACCCTTTTTGTTAAGCCAACGAATTCCCCTCTGCCTTTTATAGACAATTATACCGTCTTTAGTCTTTCCTTGAATTTCACTCTTTTATTTTTCCTCTCCTCATATGTCAACCTTCTGGCCATTCAGTAATTCCTTTTGACTTGCTCTGAACTCTACACACAGTGCATCTCTCTCACTGTGAGGTCCTCAAAGCCTGAATGGACTCTACTGAGTGTGGTTTCACCCTAGACTGGATAAGGAAGCCAGTATTACCTCTCTTTCTTAATATGGGCTACTTTTGCCAGAGCGTTTCAAAAGCACTATGTAAGTTTACTTTGGCTATGAGATTGCCATGGAGAGAATTCTTATTTAATTATTTATAAACTTTCACCTGTGCCTGGGAATGTACTACCCTCTAAATTAGCCCTGTTCAATAGAAATTAAATGTGAGTGACACATGTTCTTTTAAGTTTTCTAGTAGCCCCATTAAAAAAGTAAAAAGACACATGTAAAGTAATGTTAATAATATTTAATATATCCAAATTTTCAGTTCAACATGTAATCAATATTAAACATTATTAATGGTGTAGTTAAATTCTTTTTTTCTATGAAACCTTGAAAATCTGGTGTGTTTTATACTTACAGTACATCCCAGTTCAGACACTGTATATTAATCAGAAATACAGTACTTGATCTGTATTTGGATTTCATAAACTTTAATGCTGAAGTAGATTTATAGGCCAAGTTGTTCAGAACATATTTAAAAGTTGTCCAGTAAATTGGAGTGTTTGTTTTTAAATTTAAATTTTAACTAACTGAAGTGAAATTAAGTTAAAATTCAGTTCCTGAGTTACACTAGCCACATTTTAAGGGTTCAAAGGTGGCTAGTGGCTACCATTTTGTACAGTGCAACTCTAAATCTATAATAATTCTAAGTGCTTCCGTCTCACATATAATTTAGCTTCTATTTCCCCCAAATGAATCTTACCTTTTGGATTCTTGATCATATAAACTTTTCTTGTGTGTGTAGGGGGTTCATTATTTTTATTTTCCTCTTTGAATTTTGATGAGGCATCCACTTTGTTGAAGGTTTTGTAATATAAGTTCTTAGATGTTAAGATGCTACAGTGGTATGGTTTTTACCATACATACATCATCATGAAAATTCATACATTATCATGAAAAAAATCTTAGAAATCAGAAACAAAAAAGACCTATAAGATGTGTAGGCTTGAAAATAGTTGCTATGTCATGGCTTTATACTGAAATATAAATGTTCTTTTTTAACTTTTTCATAGAAATGCCAGTGAAGCTTAAAGAATAAGTATATACCCAACACCTATTCCTGATAAAACACTTAGCAAACTAGGAATAGAAGGGAACTTCCTAAACCTGATAAAGAGCATCTACAAAAAGCCCACAGTTAACATCATACTTAATGGTGAAAGGTTGCATGCTTTCACCCCTAATATCAGGAATGTGACAAGGATATCTGCTCTTGTCATTTCTGTTCAATAGTACTGGAAGATCTAGCAAAGATGATTTAAAAAGGAAATACATAAAAGGCATTTAAATGGAAAAGGGAGAAGTAAGATGATCTTTATTTGCAGAGAACATGTTCTTATGTAAAGAGCATCCTAAGGAATTAAAAAGAACAACCTAATGAAACTAATAAAAAAAACTCAACAAGGCTGCAAGGTACAAGATTACTATTTTAAAATCAATTATATTTCAGTATACTAGCAATAAACATTCTGAAAATGATATTAGAAAAAAATTTCATTTATAATGTCAGCAAAAAGAATAAAATACTTAGGTAGAAATTTAATAAAAGAAGTGCAAAACTTGTATTCTAATAACTACAAAACATTGTTGAAAGAAATCAAATATCTAAATAAATGGAAAGACATCCTATGTTCATGGATTGAAATATTTAATATTAATGTTGTGTAAGGACAGTTCAGAAGGGTCACAGCCAACATGTAACAAAAGATGGATTAAAAAGAGAAAAGCATAACTAATTTACTTACTAAACATTTTACATGACACAGGAGGCTTCAGATATGAAGAGTCAAAGACACAGGGAAAACTACTTTTATGCTTAGGTTTGATAATGAATGGACAGCCATGTAGAAATGTGATTGGACAAAAGAGTATATCTAATGGCAATAGACTGAGGGGAAACTCAGCAAGACCTGTCTGTTCAAATCCCTCATGGTTGCTCTGTGTAGTATTCCTTACTCCTGGGTATGGGACAGGACTCCTGTGAAATGAGGGTCTTCAAGGGAGAAGGGAAAGAATGACCTTTCTAGGTTTTATGGCTTGCTTTGGAGGAGAGTTCTATTTTCTGTGACTTGCCTTGGGGAAGAGGAATTCTGGTTTCTGTGAGTGGCTTCAGGGAAGAAAGAGGGGCAAGAGACAGAAGGATGGGAGAAGGTCACAGACATTTTACTTCTGAGGCTCTTCCAATATTTTTCAGTTCAAAGCACTTGGCATACCAAGGCACATACTTTGGAGTATCATGTTCTGAGCCCTGACAATAGCAATATTTGCCATATTGAAGTACAGATGAAATTAATGCCTATCAAAATTCTGGCTAGCTTTTTTTTTTTTTTTCAGAAACTGACAAGTTGATCCTAAAATTTATATAGAAATGCAAGAGACCTAGAATAGCTAAAACAAAGTTAGAGGACCCATTCTTACTGATTTACCTCCTAGAAAGCTACAGTAATCAAGGCAGTGTGGTATTGACATAAAAATAGACATCCAGGTCAATGGAATAGAATTGAGAATCTAGAACTAAACCCTTATATTTATGATTTTTGACTAGGGTGCCAAAACTATTCAACAGGATAAAGAATCATCTTTTCAACAAACAGTGTTGGGGCAACTTGATATCCACATGGAAAAGAATGAAGTTGGATCTCATCATATACAAAAATTAACTAAAATGAATCATAAATTTAGATGTAAGCACTAAACCTATAAAACTCTTAGATAAAAATATTGGAGTAAATTTTCATGAGCTTGGTTGGGTTAGGTAGATAGAGTCTTTGACTTCATCAAAATTAAAACTTTTGTGCTATAAATGACACTATCAAGAAAGTGAAAAGACAACTCTTACAACTCGATTCTTTTTAATATAAGAACTCAATTAGAATACAACTCAGTTCTAATATAAGAACTAATACAAGAATTCATAATGTGAAAACTTATATTACAAACGGAAGGAAATTCTGACACATGTATAACATAGGTGAACCTTGAAAACATTATATTAAGTGAAAGAACATAATAGATAGTGATGAAAAGATAAATCAATTTAAAAATGGGCAAAAATATGACAGCTATTCCTCCAAGAATGATATATGAATGGCCAATAAATATATAAAAAGATGCTCAATCATTAGCCATTAGGAAAACGCAAACCAAAACCACAATGAGATATCATTTTACACTTACTAGGATGGTTGTACAAAAAACACAAATAATACCATGTGTTGGTAAGAATGTAGAGACATTGGAACCCCTCATGTATTGCTGGTGGGAATGTGTATTGGTGCAGCCACTTTGGGAACCAGTTTGGCAGTACTTCAAAAGAGTAATCATGGAGCTACTATAGGACCCAGCAATTCCACTCTTATCAATGCACCCAAGATAAATGAAAACATATATCCACACAAAAACTGGCACACATGTGTTCATAGCAGTGTTATTTATAATAGCCAAAAGTATGAACAACCCAAATGTCTATCAACCGATGAATGGATAAACATGATGTCATATATATACAATGACATATTATTTGTCAATAAACAGAAAGGAAATTATGACATGTCATAACATGGGTGAACCTTGGAAATATGTTAAGTGAAAGAGGCAACTCACAAAAGACCACATACTGTATGATTCCATTTATATGAATGTCCAGGGTAGGGAAATCTACAGTGACAGAAAGTAGATGAATGGTGGTTGCCTAGGGCTGGGCTGGTTGGGGGTGGGAGAGGGCAGAAGAAGAAGTGACTGCTAATGGAGCCAAGGTCTCATTAAGGGATAATGAAAATGTTCTAAAATTGATTATGGGCTTGGCATGGTGGCTCACGCCTGTTAATTCCAGTATTTTGGGAGGCTGAGGCAAGAGGATCGCTTGAGGCCAGGAGTTTGAGATCATCCTGGACAGCACAGTGAGATCCTATCTCTGCAAAAAATTTAAAAATTAGCTAGGCATGTTGGCACATAACTGTGGTCTCAGCTACTCAGGAGGCTGAGGTGGAGGATCTCTTGAGCCCAGAAGGTAGAGGCTGCAGTCAGTCATGATCATGCCACTGCACTCCAGCCTGGTGACAGAGCAAGACCCTGTCTCAAATAAATAAATAAATAAATAAATTGATTGTGATGAATATATATACTAAAAACATTGAATTGTACATTTAAATATATGAATTGTATTGCATGTGAATTTTAATTCAACAAAGCTGTAACAAACAGATTTTGTACCTAACATGGATATATCAAGGTAGACTGTCTCAGTTTTACTGATTCAGAGAGCAATAGGCATAGCTTATAAAACCAAACATTTCTGCAGAAAAGCTAAACTTTAGGGTGGGAGGGTAGGACATTACAAAAAGGAAAATGAAAAGAAGATTCCCAAAACTCAAATAGCCAAGAAAGAGGATCACTTTTATGAGGAATTATGAATTAAGTACTTACATGGCCGAAAAGGATGAGGGAGAGAACTCTAAAATGGATGGAAATGTCTGCAATAAGCTTCCCAAGACTCCTGAGTTTGGGTCACAGGAAAGAAGAGAAATGAATCCTTTGCCTTGGAGAAAGTGCACTAAGCCCAAGGGAATGAACCTGTGAGAAGGTGTAATGGAACACTCACTGCTTTTACACTGTTGGATTTCTCCTAGGTCCACTCATTCCCCAACTTGCTTCTACATTGGTGTTGCTATCTCTGTGACCTCTTCACAAATATATGAACTACTTTGAAAGTGGGATGCTCTGAGAAAATTCCTGGGGGAGTCTCATTGACACATTGCTCACAAATGCACTTGAGAAACTGTGTTTCATCAGTAACACTTTGAGCACCAGGTACAAACTACAAATGAATGTTGTGCAAACGTTTGGCAGAAATACAGGCTTTCTTTACCGTTAGGCATATCTGTGGCTTTTTGATACTGTAAACAACTGACACAGCCATGGAGGAGTAGTGTATCTGAAATTGTTTATACAAAAGAATTCCATCTGTCAGTCTGTTTATAGTTCACATGTAAATGGGCAAAACCTTCATAATGAGAGAACCAGCAGAAATTCTGAATATGCTGCAAATAATTGTTTCAAAAGGGTGTGTTGAGAATTTTCCTCCCCCACTATAAGCAGTTTGCTTAGAAATTATGCTTCTTGGTAACTTTGCAGTAATTCCATGTCCTTTAAAGTTAAAGATGCAATGATTGGAAAGCTTAGGCTTGCTTTTGGCATTTCTGAATGCCAGGCTCTGCAGAGCTCTCTAAGGCTCGGCAAGAGAATTATACCAGGAAAATGTTTTGCCTGAGGCAAGGTCAGATGCTAGAAAGCACTGAGAGGTTGGCTGACTGGGACATCAGAGGGGAGTATCCTTTCCAAGAACATTGGAACATTTTCACCATAAAAGATATTATGAGTCCCTGGCATAAGGAAGTCCTGCTTAGTTTATCCTTTTATTCTTCTTATCGTTCCTCTTTGAGTAATGTTTTATTACGAACTTGCAGCTCTTACCCCCTGTAACTGAAGCACTTCATTTGGTTTACCCAAAAGACATGGCCAGAGGTGGAGGCACAGAGAAAACCTAAAATTGCAACAGGAGTGTTTGTGTTGTGATTCGCTAATGTCCCAGCTTTTATTTTGAAGAACCTATTCTTTTAAATGCTCTACAGTTGCTGAATGTGAAGTATCATGACTTCAAACTTCATTAGGTATTGAGTTGAGAAAAAAACTAGGGCATTCAGTGAATGAGGTATAAAGGTTTTCAATTTTTGAAATTTGTTTGAAAGGATGAATTAATAATCATCATCATAGTTCATGATATAATTCATAATTATTTGATCATAGGGAAAAAGATTATCAAAGATATAATTTTGCCTGAAAAACAAAACACAGGGGCAGGTCTTCGTTCCAATAACCTCCAGAATTATCTTATCTCTACATATTTTGTGTATCTGTGTCTTCCTTCCTTCTTTCCTTCCTTCCTTCCCTCCTTCCTTCCTTCTTTCCTTCCTTCCTTCCTTCCTTCCTTCCTTCCTTCCCTCCTCCCTTCCTCCCTCCCTTCTTTCTTTCCTCCCTTCCTCCCTTCCTTCCATCTTTCGCTTTTCTATACATTCTCTATATAAAGAGACTTGAACAGTTCCCATAGTGATGCTTTTCTCAACCTTTAGAATTTCCATCTTCAGGGCATTTTCCCTAATATGTAATCTAATACCCATGACTGCATTTTTGGCCTATACTCTTACTTTGTTTTTGTCAATGCAAAATTATTTTTTAAAGTTACTTAACTTAAATTGGTTCAAATCTTTCTTTTTCATCAAATTGTAGTTTTAGTAGGTCATCAGTGCTTAACTTCACAGCATTACTGACATAGAAGAGATTTAGGCAGATCAGCCTCATATGGGTAAAGGAAAATGTTTCCTTGAAATAGTCTTTGAAGTGATGGATTTTTAGAGTGTCAAAATATTTTCATTTTCCTCTCATCCCTCTCTTTTCTTCCTCTTGTTACCTTTCCTTCGTCCTTCTTTTATTTCCCTTCTTTTCACCTTTTCTTACCATTCTTCTTACATTTCTTCCCTTTTTATACATATTAAGTCCCTACCATGTGCTAGGTACTAGGAATTCAGAGACAAGCCAACCAAAGCTACAGTTGATAAATTCCCAGTCTGATGTATTAGACATTCAAGAACATCAGTGATTAAAACAGCATATGTGCGTCCACAAGACAGATGGGAGGGACACCTAATTTAACTAAGAAGGTCAGGTGGTGCATTTGAAGTGAGACTTGTAGGAGCAGTAGTAGTTTACCAGGTAGACCAGGTAGACAAGGGAAGAAAGTTCTTGGCAAAAAGCATAGCTCCTTCCAAAGTCTGTGGTTTCCTCAGGAAACCACCAGTAGTTGCATGAGCCAGGAGAACAGGTTGCTTTGTCGAGTGTGATAGGAGATGGGCAGGGAATACCATGCTAGAAAATTCAAACTTCACCTCTAAGGTAATGGGAAGCCACTGCTGAATTTTAAGAAGGGGAGTGATAAAATCATGCTGTGTGATGGACAAATGGAGAGGAGAAGGGGCAGGAGAACAAATATTTGTCGAATACATGTTATATGTCACATCCACTGCTACCGCTGCTTTAAGTATACAGGACTTCAAGTATACAGATTGCAGTTAATTGTCCTAGCAACTCATGAAGTGGATATTATGATTTCTGTATGACGTATGAGGAAACTGAGGTTCAGAGGTTTGTGTCACATGTTTTCATCTCTCTCTACCAAGTGTCAGATTTGGAATGTGAACCTAGATCTAGTGGATTTTGAATGTATTTTAGTACTTTGCATGAAGCCTGCCTAAGGAAAGACTAAATATTTTTAAAATTCCGTTTTAATGGAGGAAAATCTTATATTTTTAAAAGCACTTTCATATTATTCTATCATTTGGAAGAAGGAAGCTGAGGCAAAATGTTGTTATAGAATTAACCAAGGGTTCTTAGATGTTTCAATAGAAAATATGATAATTATAAATATTTTTTGGAGCGTTTTACCCCAAGAACAAACCAGATCTCATTTACAGTGCTTTTCGTCATCCTCTCAACCTTTAATTTTATCTTTCATCTTCTCTCTCTACTTTTGGGATGTAGGGGATTTTTTTTTTTCTATTTTAAAATTGAGGACATTGAGGCAGAAAAGAAAGTGACTTGCTCATAATAAAACAGAGCATAGAATGTGAAGAGCTTGATTTTATTCTTTTTCTCTCCTATGAAGTAACATTAGGTATGTATGTATGTATGTATGTATGTATGTATGTATGTATCTATCTATCTATCTATCTATCTATCTATCTATCTATCATCTATATGCTAGGGCTGCCATAACAAAATACCACAGACTAGCTGGCGTAAACAAATACTTATTTTCTCACAGTTCTGGAGGCTGCAAGTCCAAGGTTAAGGTGCCACCAGGTTTGGTTTCTCCTGAGGCCTCTCTCCTTGGTTTGCAGATGATCACCTTCTCACTGTGTCCTCACGTGACTTTTCCTCTGTGCATGCCCACCCCTGGTGTCTCTTCCTCTTCTTATAGGTACAGCAATCCTATTGGATTAGGGCCACACTCTTATGCCTCATTTAATCTTAATTACCTCTTTCAAGGCTCTATCTCCAAATACAGTCACATTGAGGGTTAGGGCTTCAACATATGAATTTTAGGGGTGCACAGTTGAATTCAGTCTGTAACACTATCTATATATCTTAAACTCCAAGGCATTATGATGCAGCCTGCTAGTTAGCATTAAATGAGGACTGATTTTAGTCAATGAAAAATTAACCATTACAGTGCCACATGAATTAGTTAAAGGCTGTCAAGGTGTGGGTTTAGAAAACTCATTGATTTTGTGGAACCAATATCTCTGTGTTGGAAGAAGCCCTAAATATGTCTAATTCACACCCCTCATTTTTCAGAAGAAAAAATGGAGACCTAGAGGTTTTAAGTGACTTGCTTAAGATTATACAGTTTGTTCATGGAAGAATTAGGACTGGAACTTGGATCTACCGAGCACTGCTAAGGCCAGGTTTACAGGTTGAGAACAGCCTTTAGTTTTATAAAATATGCCTTAACATTATCCACAGTCCAGAGCATTTCAAGGTATATCCTGAGTTTTTGTAAGTCACTAACATCGGAATAAAAGGAGAGAGAGGCTAAGTGGAACAGAAAAGAGGAAAAAGGGAGAAGGAAAGGGAACACATGCTCAATGAGGAAGACAAAAAAAAATGTAGCTTCATTGATGGGCTAAAGTGGAGCTCATTGTCTTCTCTGCCAATGATTCCATCCTCAGCACACAAAAGTGGGTGGTACCATCACTTCTGTCAGCCACAGAGTAACTGGGAGCAATCCACAACTTCTCTCTCCCTTTCTCTTGCTGAGAAAATCTTCATCACTTCATCACAAATCCTGCCAATTTTACCTCCTAAAATTGTTCCAAAATCTCTCTTCTCCAGGCTCATCCTATCATCATGTCTAAAGTCAGCCTTCATCGTCTTCCATGTGGGTCCTTCTAACAGGCCCTTAAGTGTTTGTCTCTGTCTTCTTGTTCTTAAATCCATCCTCTGTTCCTTTGTGTAAAAGCCCGTGTTGCCTGTAGCAGCATTTCTTCTCTGACTTATTTGCCCCTTCAAAAATGACATATCATCTCTTTATCCTCTTTAGAGTTTTATTTTTTATGATTTTTATTATGTGTTTGGTACATAAGAAAGACATTCTTGTAGTATCAAAAGTAGAGGGATAATAAAGGCTAATATTTTGAGTGCTTTTGCGGAATAGCTCAATTGTTGCTCACAATAATTGTGAAAGGAGGTACTATGATTATTGGCATTTTGCAAAAAGAAATTGGAGGCTCAAAGAAGTCAGGTAACTTGTCTGAAGTCACACACCTACAAAGTGATGGAGCTGTGCTTCCAGTTGGATTCTAGAGCGCACATTTTCAACCACTGTCCTTTATTGCCACTGCTGTGTCCTAAGCAGGTTCACTTGACATATACTTGGAGGCTCTTGATGAGCACAATTAATAAAATTCTTTGATTAAAAACAAAAACAAAGTCGGAAGAGAAAATCACTACCATTGGCATCCATGCACTCCTGGTACATTCCTGCTATATCTCCCCTCCAAGGCTTTGCTCATCCTGTGCCTTCTGCCTGGTATGGCCTCTTTTCCTCTCTCAGCTTTGCTAACTCTGACTAATTCTTTGCGATTTTAAGAGATAATCTCCTCTAGGAAGGCTTTCAGCTTCCTCCTTCTTAGACTCTTATCTGGGCTAGATGGCCTTTGTCCATGTTGCATAGCACCATTTTCCTTTCTATGGTGGGTTTTCTGTACTCAATTGTGCCTCTCCCTCCCCTCCTCCTGTCTAAGGCTGGGAGACATATTTCCTAGAACCAGTTCCCTTGTATAGCTCTAGATTTAATTTTGCCAATGAGAGAAATCCATGTGAGATTTGAGAGCAGAAGTGAAGTAGAGGTCACTGTTCTCAGCGAGGTGTGGGGTCAGACATGGCAGATCTCCAGATGTGAGCTCTCACTTTATGGTTTCTGGGCTTCACAAACTTCTCTGCAGGCTCCCTCTTTGTGGCCTTCCTGGAAAGTTCCAGCAAAAGCACCCACACTACGGTGCTCAGGGTGAAATCTTCATGGTCAACCTCTTGACCTTCCATAGCATCTTTCCTGATATCTGCTCTTCCAACAGGCATGTGGTCCCCTAACTTTATGTAAAATCTATTTATTTAATATTCAAAGTGCATAGAGTACACTGGTTCCTGAACAAACCCTGACTGATAGATCATCCCTAACTCATTAGAACTGAAATCATCAATGACCATGGATGTCTGTGTCTCCATCTGAACATAGGTGCTTTAAAGCCCAGATCATCTTTTTATACCAAATACCTAGCATGGTATATAGTATACCCAAAGTAAATGTTTGATTGGTGTGGATACTTAGCTTCATGAAAAACTCCATTACTTTAGGGATGACAGTTTCCATATTTGGGGGTCACCTGTGGGGTAAGTCTTGTCAATGACCTCCACTTGTAGGCATAAGAAACAAAAGGAGGGAGAGAAAATAAGAAAAGGGAAAAAATGGCACAGGAGAGTAAAGTCCGAGAGGAAGAAAATCAGAGAGGTGAAGTGATAGGGAACAGAATAGGAAGCAGAGAGCTGGGGTAGCCAAGTGCCCCCTTTATTGGCTGTCAGCTAAGCAGTTGCTTATCCTAGAGCAGGAGTATCTCACCTTGAGTGGCACTGCTGTCTTCTCCACAATCCTCTTTTAGGAAAACTTCATTTTCCACCTTCCAGATTTCTGCCGATGCCATAAGCTAGCCATAGGGCAACATCCAAACATTAAGGCTTACCAGACCCCAGAGTCTCACACTGCACCTTGTATTGTGGGGGAGCAGCCAGAGGCAGAGCCTTGCAGGTTGGAGGACACACATTCAGGTGCCCCCAAAGGCAAACTAGGATTAATTTCTAAATTTTCTTTGATCTCAGGCTAATAAATTCAAGTAGGTTTATTTTTTCACTTCATCTGTTTAGTAATAAGGAATATTTTTTATTTTAGGAGCTAGGAAGGTTAGAATGTTTTCAAAACTATGATTAATGATAATAGAGGATTTTTTAGGATGCATTTTTTTAACTGTTACTTGTCAGATTTAACATTTTTGGGACAAAATTCTTCAGCTAAAAAGATGGCTTTAGATGAACTGTATTCTTTTAAAATTTTAATCGTGTGTTCTTCTTGATACTTAACATCTTCTCCACTCATGATGAAAGAGGGCCATTTTTTTTTCTGTTTTGCACAATAAATACACACAGCTTCTATATTCCTTCAGAGTAAAAATCTGCTTTCCCATCTTTTGTTCCCTTTTCCAAGGGGAATAGAAAAAAAATCAATTACCAAACAGAGAGCAATTTGAAATCTTTGAATAGGTCAGGATACATTTAAATTCCACATAGGAAAAAGAAACAGTTTGCAGCAATATAGATTTACTTAACAATTTTCCTTAAATTTAAGGATCATGTGTGGCTTCCATTGATCCATTAGGAATAGATCATCTTTAGTAAAGGTATTTCACTAAAATTGCTTTCATGTGAAAGACAATTGCTTTAATATAATAAGTTTGTTACTATTTATATGACGTGCTCTGGAGAGTTTAAGAAATAGCATGCAAAAAGTTTTTCTATATAATTCTCATATTTTTATTTTATTTTATTTTATTATTTATTCATTCATTTTTATTTCTTTGAGAGAGGCTCTCACTCTGTCACCCAGGCTGGAGTGCAGTGGCACTATCTCTGTTCACAGCAGTCTCGACCTCCAGGGCTCAGGTGATTCTCCCACTTTAATCTCCCATGTGGCTAGGACTGCAGGTGCCACACCACCACACCTGGCTAATTAAAAACATTTTTTTTTCTAGAGACAGGGTTTCACCATGTTACTTAGGCTGGTCTTGAACTCATGGGCTCAAGCGATCCATTCACCTTGGCCCCCCAAAGTGCTGAGATTACGGGCGTGAGCCACTGTACCTGACCCACTCTCATATTTTTTAAAAAGAAACTGTAGAGTTAATTCTTTAAAATGATTCTCAGATAGCAAACAATAGGAAAAGTAAAGGCATTAGAGAGGTGAATCAGGAGTGAAGGGAATTTGTGTGTGTGTGGTGGTGGTGGAGGTAGGGGTGGATTGAATAAATGGAATGTTTACGTTTTTTATTTTGTTTAAAACGTGCTCTCTGCCCTGGTGTTTCTGACATGTTCACAAACACAAATTCAACATTAAAATAAAATGAAACAGTTAAAAAAGCCTGTCCCTTCGAGGAGGTTGGAAGAAGATCCTGGCATCTGTGTTTCAGGGCCTGGGAGTGCTTCTTCTTGGGCTGTGAACCTGGACACGGGGAGCTGGCAGGCACACGTAGGCTGGCAGGCATCATTGTCTAATGCTGCATAGGAAGGGGGATGTGGCTGCAGGAACCACTTTAAAGAAACCAGAGCTCCCTGGTGATGAGTGATGAGCTCTCAGGAATGAAGGGTCTTGAAGGAGGTGGGTGGGAGCAGGGGGTGGTTGTGGTAGCGTAAGAGGAGGAGGGACAAGGTGGACTTTCCAATACTAAGCGTGAGCCATCAGTCCCTTCCACAACAGCCATCTGTGCTCTTAGGCCTCCCGTCTCTCCCTGCTATTCCAGAAGTGCTAGGCAACAGCTTCCCTCCTCCTGGCGAGGACCCTCCCTAGCACACTCATCAGAAAAACACAGCCGTGGTGCATTACATCAGCATAGGGTGGGGCCTGGAGAACACAGCAGCCCCTCACTGCTTGGAGTGGGGATGATTCAACCCCATTCAGGAGTGGGTCAAGGGAGAAAATCCACAGTTCAAACCTAATGATTTTTGCTTCTTGTTTACAAGTTTGAAATGTGAGTGAGGTAGAGCATCAGAGCCCTTAGGATCTTTTGCTTTAAAAGTATCCCTTGTGAGGGTGCCTTTGATACTCCTTTGGATTACTTGTTGCTTTTCTACACTCATCTTTTAAAAAAAAACACACACACACTGCTTTAGTTTTTAATAGTTCTTGTCATGATGCAAGGGGCCTGACTCCAGCTGTTCTTCCCAAACCTCTGGGAGAGGCCTGGTTACATCTCGTTCTCGTAAATCTTGAATCCAGTTCTAGCAAGTCTTTAAGCCTGACCCTGACATGCCCAGGCAATGCGTGATTGGAAACAGGAGAGGTGGAAAAGTCCTGTGCCAAGTCGTGTCCACTGCAAAAATACATCATCTGGCAATGGCTGTTTCAACATGTGGAGCAAAGTGGCACATGTCTGGCTGTACGAAGCAAGGCAAGGCCAGAGATATACAATCTTACTTTTGTATTTTTATATGACTTTACCAACAAGACCAAAGTCAACACATGGCTACAGATTTGCTGACAATCTCTGGGCCTATGGAGAGAAGCCCCTGTTAGCCATAAAAGTATATTTCTTTTACCTATTGTGTTTTGTGACAGAGATATAATTTAATAAATATTAAATTATTTATCAAAATATTTATCACCATATTATATCTATATATTATATGTCTATTTTATGTCTATATTGTAATATATGTGTATTATATGTCCATATTATACTACATGTCTATATAATATAATATCAACTATTAAAATGTATTAATATTAAATTTTAATGATATTATTCAATATTTAGTAAAGTTAAAATGCAATCAGAAATTGAATGTTTGCCAAAATCCCTGGGTGGGGCTTCATGACTAGTTCTGGTCAATGCATTTTGAGTGAAATGATGTATGTCAGTTCCTGGCTGAGACAGTTAAAAGCTGTTACCTAATCCTTCAGCTCTCCCTCCCATACTCCAATTGAAGAGACCACATGTTGACATGGTGGAACCACCTGATAGAAGCACCTGAATCACCACTGGAAGAATAGCTGTTCTGGAGAGCCCTTCAAAACCTAAATTGGACTCTGCATAAGCAAGAAATCAATTTTCAAATGTAAGCCTTTGAGATTTCTAGCTTTTTGTTACTGCAGCATTAGCTAGTCTATCCTACCTAATACTTTCTGTACCAACATCTCTCAGATGAAGAAGAAAAGCTGTGCAAGAAAGAGGAATTAAGTAAAATATGCAGGTATAGAGGTCACATATTCAGATCAAATACCTGACTGAGGAGTTAGTGAAGGCAACACTGAGGAAGAGGCCATGAAGAAGAAAAGTGATGGCCGGGCGTGGTGGCTCATGCCTGTAATCCCAGCACTTTGGGAGGCTGAGGTGGATGGATCATGAGCTTAGAAGATTGAGACCATCCTGGCCAACATGGTGATACCCTGTCTCTACTAAAAATACAAAAATTAGTTGGGTGTGGTGGCGCATGCCTGTAGTCACAGCTACTCAGGAGGCTGAGGCAGGAGAATCGCTTGAACCTGGGAGGCAGAGGTTGCAGTGAGCTGAGATTGTGCCACTGCACTCCAGTCTGGAGACAGAGTGAGACTCCATCTCAAAAAACAAACAAACAAACAAACAACAACAAAAAAAGTTGGGGGGGGGGGGTGGCCACTGTTCCTAGACTTCTTCTGTGGTGAAGTGGAATATTAAAACATTTTAATATTTGGTATTTAAAATGTTGTCAGACATTTTCAAGAGACAAATTGGTACAACCTTTTTAGAAGGTGATTTAGCAACATAAATGAATAATTAAATTGTACAGATTCTTTGGCCCAGCAATTTCACTTCTAGAAACTGATCTTCTAGAAATAATGGGTAAGTGTGAAAATGTATGTGTTCAAGGATGTTTATTGCAAAATTAGTGGGAAATTATAAATATCATAAATATTCAACGACTGGAAATTATGCAAATAACAAATTATTTCATTTCTACCTTAGAATACTATACATGAAGTACATAGTATTGAAGAGTGTATAGTAATGAAGAGCTAGATTTCTGTATATTATGGACATGGTAGCCACACTAGAGGTAGGTAGCCTCTAAGATGGTCGCCGGTCATCCCTGCTTCCCAGTATTCATGCCATAGCGGCATCCCCTCTGCTTGTGTGTGGGCTAGACCTAGTGACTTGCTTTTAATGAATAGATATGGCAAAAGTAATAGAACAACACTTTGGAGATGTCATCTATCTTAACAAAAAGATGGCTTCTGTCTTGCTTGTCCTCTTTTGCTTTCTCATTTGCTTGCTCTCGGGAAAGTCAGGTGCCCATTGTGAGCTAGCCTGTGGAGAAGTCCACATGTCTATCACCATACCTGGCATATAATACACCTTCAAAAGATATTTTTGAATATTTTAATTCAGCAAATATTTGCTGAATACCTGTCTATATGTCCAGGTATTGTGCAAGCTCTGCTATAGAGTGGCATTGTGCAAGCTCTGCTATAGAGTGCTGAGCTAGTAGGCACAGTTCTTCCCCTCATAAAGGGTATAGTCTAGGGAAGGAAGTCAATATTAAGAGGGCAAAGAGAGAAGCTTGTGGGGGAGCTCTGAGGTGGGGACCACATTGGAGTGTTTGGGGAATGAGTAATGGTGGCTGAAGTAGAGTGAGGGAGAGGTAGACAGTGAGAGGTGGGGCTGGAGATGTGGGCAGAGGCCATAGGAAAATTCTCGATTTTATCCTAAGTGCCATGTGAAGTCACAGCAAAGGCTTTGAGTAGGGAAGAGATGATTTTATTTTGAAAAGTTTACCCTGACTGCTTTGTGGAGAACAGGTTGGCCACAGGCAAGAATGAAAGTAGGAAGGCTGATGATGAGGCAATGACATTGGTTCAGCTGAGAAAGGTGGCAATGGAAAGGGAGGGAAGTGGCTGGTTTGGTATACATTGTGGGGACTGTACTGACAGGGTTGTGATTGATTATTGGACATGAGGGAAGGGAAAGGTCAAGAATGACATCTATATCCCTGTCATTACAGCGCATTTACTGAGCCAGGAAACATTGGAGGAGAGGCTGCTGGGGGAGGAAAGACGAACAATTCACTTTGAAATGCCTCGAAAATATTTAAAAAGAGTTTCCAACTAAGCAGTTAGACAGTAGGTCTGGAATGCAAAAAAGAATTCTAGGCTGAAGATAGCAATTGGGAATGGTTGGTTTATAGATGGTCTCTAAATCCATGGGAGAGATTAAGGAGGGAGGATAAAGTGAGAAGTCAGGGCTTAGGGCTGGAATAATACATGGAATATACTTAGTACCATGTCTGATACAGGGAAAGCGCTCAATAAATGTAAGTTCTCATTACCATTGTTGTTGTTAATAGACGCAGAGATAAAACTAGGAAAGCATGGTGACACAGAAACCAAGATAACAGGGTGTGTGTCGAGGAGGAGGTGGCCAAATGAATGACATAGAAAGTGAAGACATGTTGCATTAGAAACATGCAACCATTCATAGAGTGGTGTGCTGGTAGAAAGGTTTATGGAGTGCCAGTTTAGTCAGTCACCCCTGTGTAGGACACCTATGGAACACCATAGGGGGCCTCTAAGGAGAAACATCTCCTTATTGCCATTGTGTCCCCAGGCCAGTGAGCATGACCTGCTCTGTGGCTTTACTTGCTGCCATTAAACCACCAATAGATCTTTGTTGTTTAAAGCAGATTTAGGAGACCACTAGGGTCCTTTCAGCCATCTGGGTGCATTCTTAGGTATAACTGAACCAACAGAGTGAGGAGTCTCTGTAGCTATGCCACAGTGAGTTTGTTCCCATTTTATTGAGGACAGAGCAGAATCTAGGCACAAATAGACTAGGGCCACTGACATGGTGTGATTTGAGGGGCTCAGAGAGGCCTCTATATCTTGCCTCTGATTCTTCTCTGATTGGGAGAGATAAGAAGGAAGGATGAAGTCATTGAGGGCCTGGAGAACAGGCTGGTGATGTTTAACTCATTCTAATAAGATCTCACTGTGGAAGGGCTGAGGTTACCAAGAAGTATGACCTAAGACACCAGAAGCTGTGTAAACATGTGTGTGTGTGTGTGTGTGTGTGTGTGTGTGTGCATGTTTCCAGATGTCTGTGTATGTGTGATGTGTGAACAAAGGCAGTACGGCATGAGAAAGCAATGGAAGGAGGAGGAGAGACTGCTCAACTTGCCTTGGAAGTTGCTCCATCTTATACAATCACCTTTGCAGGTTGGATGGCCCAAGATATCTAAGAAGTTCAGGATTGTCTCAGCTGTAAGGAAGTGGCATTATCTGACCACAGGGCCTTATCACAGGCTGCTTCCCTGATACAAGGTGAAATTCAGACTTCTTGGATGCTGTACAGGTGGCCTCATTTGAAGAAAATTCGATATACGGAAGTCTAAATTTTTGAAATAATTCACTCAATTGAAATCTGATTGAGGTCAAAGATCGTGTCTTATATTTCTTTCATATCCTTTGCCCATTAAGCCCTCCATAAATACACATTGTTTCTCTACTAAATAATTCACCTCAGGGTTCTTGGAAATAATGAGCTCCCTTAGCACTCTAAAGATACGTTTCTATTTTCAAAGATTTCCTGGCAGCTCTTAAGGGGTGTATCTATTCTATAGTCAGAAATACATCTGTAGACAATTTTAGTTCAAGTGCACATACAACCAAACAAAATCAAATTCATGCGTTCATAATGGCTTATCATGATGTTGCTTAGTTTGGCAGTTTTATTTTAATAGGCAAATGTGTACTTTATAATCAAGAATAATTCTATTCCTAGGTGCATAGGAGGCAAAGAAGGAGCAGAGGAAGATGAGTACTTCCAATTTGAGTCAATGTCCAGGCAGATAGTTATAATCATTTTAGAGATCTCTTGGCTTCTAGAAGAACAAGTTTCTGGGGCCTCAGGACCACTCAGAAAAGAAAACAGATCTCCTGAATGTCAAGAACTTGCATTTATTCCAGGTGACAAAATTCCCCTCTGTTCTCCCCTGTTCCACTAGAACAGAGGTGACACATTTGGTGACAATGATCCTCAGTCTCTGGGGTGGCCTGAGGCTCGCTCTGGGCTGCACCAGCTCACTCTCTACCAGGCTTGGGTCCTGATGCATACACACCACTCAAGCAACCCTGCATGGCCAACAAGAGCCTTCCTTCTCCAATTCCAAAAAGGATGGCACCTTTTTCCTCTAAAGGAGTTTCTATTTTGTGTAATTAATAAAAATTAGGAGGCCTTTTCTCAAAATAATTCTGTATATATATATATACATATAAATATATAATTCCTTTTGAAAGTGTAGATTTTATTAATAACTTCTGCTACTGTTGGGCTTACCACTGGATTCATGAACACAACCTCCCTTTGGCATTGCTGTTGAATTCCAAGGAGCTAAGATGTTTTGGTAGAGAGTGGAGAGGAAAGGGAGCTAAAGGATCCTTTCCTATGAGAAGCTGGACTTATTTTTCTCTTTGGTGTTCTAATTTCTCTTAGTGTGTGTCTCCTTGTACCATTGCTGTAGTACATCACGACCACAAATATGCCTCGCTCTGGTGGAGGGCTGTTAGTGTGTTCCCAGAGAGACAAGTTGTTTGAAGTGAATATGTTCACTCCTTGAGCCATGCTAAGAACAGACTTTTATACACTTATTCCTGTGTGGCCACCCAGACTGTAAGTGTCTTGGAACTTTGGGGCTCATAATTCAAGGAAACCACTTTTATGCACAAATGAGAAATACATCCCCAGTTCGTGCATCACTGAGGGCTGGGCCGTGAGGAAACGGCAGCCACAGCTCACAGAAGGAACAAGAAAACCACAGCTTTGCTTACAAAATTGGCTGCTTGAAGCAAGTGTGCTAGCACTTTGGACAGATTATATATGCTCAACTTTGCTAAATCATTTACAGAAATCTCTTAAAAACAGAGCTCTTTCCTTAAGCTTCTGTGTTCCGAATTAGACACATCTTTATTTAAACTCGATTAATCTGTACTATTATGGTGATGTGCAGGTGCAAGTGTGGAAAAGCAAACATTTGAGAAAAGCCATGGCCTTTCTTTACAGAGCAGCAAGTCTCAATTTGCAATTTGCAATGATCTGATACTTTCCCATGGGTGAGCAAAGAGCTTGAGAATTGCATTCTCTTCAGGACAATGAGACTGTGCAATAGTCCGCTATTTTGGTTTGTTCAAACAAGTAATGGGAAACGATTTCACCAATTCTTTTTAGGCATAAGGGTGTCACAGAAGTTTTTTTCTAATGGACTGTCGCTGACCTGGCCACAAGTGGCCAGGAAGAAGGTCTTAAAATTCAGCTACACATGAAGAATGGATGGATTCCCCAGGTCTGGACAGGTGAGGAGTTAAGTCTAGAGGAGGCTACTTAGGCAGAAAGGAGCATGTAGGTAATAATAAGTCAGAGTGCACATGTTAGAAAGTCGAATAATCATCCTTGGGTGGAGATCAATTTTTCCTTGCTTGCTTTTCTGCTTCCTGCTGGGTGTGGATGGACCAGAGTTTGTAGGAGCCAGTTCCTGGCCTAAAGAAGATGAGAGATCTGCGGATGATGGCAACAATCATGATAGTAAGTGCTTAGCTTATGACTACTACACTTACTATGCTAAGCATTTTACATATTTTAACTCATTAGTCCTCACAGTGACTCTATGACGTAGATGCTAGTATTGTTTTCATTTTGCAGATGTAGAGAATGAAAGAGAGAAAGTAAGAGTTTATATAACAGCTAAGCACAATAAATGGTGGTGCCAGGATTTGAACACAGGCAGTCTGTCCCCAGAGTCCATGCTCATAATTCTATTGCTTGGCATATATTGTCCAACATAATTTGGCTTTCCTAGTAAAATGTTTTTCTGATGAACCCACAGTGTGAGTCAACTTGGAAGTATAAGGCTTCAAAATACCAATGCTCTTTCAGCAAGTATCTCTGGCAGCTGGGAAAATATGAAAATAGTCAGCCTCTATGATTTGATGTATAAATTGCTTCCATTCTTATTTGCCTCAAGGATGGTCTTCAAGCACTTCTGCGCTCGCCTTAAGCATACACTTAAGGCCGAGTGGGGAAAAGAGATCTCTGGGCATCTCTTCAGACACTTGATTCTAATGTGGTTAGTTCTTAAGAGGTGATGACAGGTGACCATTACAATAGATCAATCACTTACTGAGCACTGACTATGTAATAGGCACTGTACGAGCATTTTACTTGCATCTTCTCCCTAATCTTTGATCTTGTCAATAAAACAGGTATTATAGTCCCAGTTTTAGAGATGAAGAAACTGAGGCACAGAGAGTCAAATAATTTGCTTGCTTGATGTTCCAAACAAAAAAGTGGTAAACATTGGATTCAAATTTGGGTCAGGGAGACTCCAAAGTTCTTGCTTTTAACCATTGCCATAGATACATACCAGTACTTTAGCACTTAGTGACATTTGTACTGTAGCAGTCAGTGACACATTATTTAGCAAAGTGAAAATTACTATGTCAATTTCTCAATCCTAATCAAGGGTTTTGTGATGGTTTTGTAGTGTATCAACTTGGCTAGGCAGAACTGCATTTCCC
Organism: Homo sapiens; assembly: GCF_000001405.40. NCBI lineage: Eukaryota > Metazoa > Chordata > Mammalia > Primates > Hominidae > Homo > Homo sapiens. The sequence goes on from NC_000014.9 coordinate 53,517,367, forward strand.
AGAATTCACTTTTTTATATGTTTCTGGTAATAGAAGAACCACAAAGAAAATTCTTGGGAGATTTATAGGACAGAAGGGAAGCAGGGGCCATCTTGTAACTCATATGCTGTTGCTGGTCTGCTGAGTCAACTTGTGGTTGGTGTGAAGAAGCATTTATAAACTCTGCTCTGTTTCTCCACCTCCTGTGCAAGGTGTGTGTTTAGTTCCATGGCAAAGGGCCTTGACTTCTATGTATCACCAAGATCAGTCTACCTGTGCCTATGGCTTCCAGCCTGCCTGGGATATTTTTTGCATCTATCTTCTCTTTCTGATTGCTTGTCCTATGGACATCCAGCTCCAGACTCAGACATGGAGACAACAGCCTCACAGAGACTGCTTATTCAGCTCCCACGAGGACAATTCCCTGGAGCAAATCTCTACAGTTTCTGTTTCTCTGGTTGAACTCTGACCGATATAGTTGGTCATCTGAAAGTCATCTCTACCATCTCTACATGGTCCATGCCCCAGCATCAAGACTGGGGCAGTCCTTCCTTCCCAGGGGGCAGGGAAAGAAGTGCAGGCTCTCTTTACCACTACTTGTGGTACCATGCTCTATTTTCTATCATGCTCTCTCACATGATTATCACCTGTGACATAAATAGGGTAGAAACTCTTCTCCCATTTCACAGAAGAGGAAACTAAGGCCTGTGAGGTTTGATTACTTGTTAGCAGCTTTCTCAGGATTAGGATCTAGGCCACTGGACTTCAATTAGGTGTCCTACACTTATTCTGAGATTCAATATTATGATTTTTCAAACCCAAGCATATGTAAGTGAGTGTTGAATTTCTTTGCCGGAGACAAGCCTTCTCTGTGGATAGTTTAAGCTGTGATTTCTCGATGAGAATGAAACTATAATGGAGCTCAACTTGACATTTTCTTCTCTTTGAGTTTGAAAATAACTTGCTGATGAATTTTTTTAGTATCTGCTTCAAGATTCACTCATGCTGTTCACATTTCCTTGTCTTCTATAGTCAAATGTGTTACTGTTTGAGGTAAGGGAGCTTCATAGTGTGTACTTTCCTTCTGATGAGGCAGAAGCAGACCAATATGAGGAAAATTAATATAAAATATTAAGTGGCTCATAAAACAGAGGTGATATATTTACATAGAAATGACATGATCAGGATATAGATCTAAAGGACATTAACATGTTAGTTTCTTGCCTGTGGACAGATAAAATTGTGGGTTTTTTTTCTCTCTTTAAGACTGATTCTTTTTTCAAACTTTTTTGAAATGGTTCATGGCACAGATGAACCACATATAGTGCCCAACCCACTAGAATGTAAGCCGCGTGAGACCAGAGACCACGTCTGTCTTGCTTATGATAGTCCCTAGCATCTAGTACATAAACAGTGCTTACCACATTGTAACTTACTAGGTGAACTTAATCGTCACAAAAAAATAAGCAAGAAATATTGTTATCCCAAATGAAGAAACTGAGTCACAGAGAGTTTAACTAACTTACCTAAGGTCACCCAGTAAGTTAGTAGTGAAGCAAGGTATGAATCCAGGCAGTCTGGGTCTAAAGACCTACTCTTCACCCCTACATTGTATTGCTATCCTGTGATTATTGTTAGTAATTGGCCTGGATTATACTGGATTATTATATCACTTATAGCGATATAATGAGTGATAAATATGTTAATAGCTATCACAAATTTGTGGCTATTTCATCCCGATTCTCTTTTAGAACATATGTATTAGACATGTCTATAAATGCATACACATAGGCATGTATATATACATACACATGTTTACTCCAATGACAAATCTCTTTCCCAAACACTGGGTAATAATAACAGGCATTAGCCATAAAAAAGGTGAATGTCTCTAAGTCCAGGAGCCTCCCTCTCCTGTGGCTGCAACTACTATCCTTACTATTGACTGGATGCCCAACTGCTTTGTGGATGAAGGCGAGAAATGTTGTCTTAGTCCTTCTAGGGTTACTACAAAAGAATGCCTGAGGCTGAGTAATTTATAAATTATTTGACTCACAGTTCTGCAGGCTGTACAAGAAGCATGGCACCAGCTTCTGCTTCTGGTGAGGGCTTTAGGCAGCTTCCAACTATGGTGGAAGGGGAGGGAAGCTGGTATATGCAAATATCACATGGTAAGAGAGGAAGCAAGAAGGGGGCATGGAGGAAAGCGCAGGCTCTCTTTAACAACCAGCTCTCACAGGAAATAATAGAGCAAGAACTTACTCATTACTGTGAGGACCTCACTCATTACTGCAAGGATGGCACCAAGTTATTCATGTAGGATCCACCTCCATGACCCAAACACTTCGTAGTAGGCCCCACCTCCAACAATGGGTATCAGATTTCATCATGACATTTGGATGGGTCAAGGAAACCAAACTATAGCAAATGCGAACAGGAAAAGAGTGAGTGGAGCCACATTGAGGCTTGGTGAAACAAGGGTGGGAAGAACGAGAAGAAAGAGAGGGGTATTTTGAATGGCTCCCAAGCCTAAACCATTCAATAGGCATTAAATACTAACAGTCCTCCTCAAAGTTTTCACAATGGAAATGACAGTGACCAAATTTTCAACATGGAGGTCAGGACCACTCTGGATGTGATCTGCCTGAGCGCAAAGCCTTCAGGAATGACTTAAGTCCCCTAAGTTAGCTGTCAACTTCATTTTATTTATTTATTTTGAGACAGAGTCTCACTCTGTCACCCAGGCTGTGAGTGAGTTAGCTGTCAACTTTAAATAAATTGAAAAAACATAGTAAAGGAATAATTTTGAAGATTTAGGAGCCAGCTAATCTCTTTATCTCATTGGGTCAATTTTCCCCACCCTCTCTGTCCCTCGTTGATTTCAGCTGCTCTACTTGCTCAGCTCTCTGCGTGATTGGGTTCCGCCACATTGCCTGGTCATCATGCACACTGACCAGGAGCCAGAGTTCAACTCACACAGCCCAGTGGTTTTCATTTGTTAGAAATGACAGGGTTTTCTTGTGCTGTTATAAAGCTTATCTGCTCATGTTATTTCTCAATATCAAATCACAGTAGAAAAACAGAAATGCCCCTGCTTAACACAGGTAGGATTACACTTGGGAGTGTTGATGACTTAAGCAAAGATTTTCCACCTACGGCCAAGTGATTGATGGCTTATCCATCTGCACGTAATACCAGTGTTTAAATCCTGGCTTGAATGGTCATGTCACCTGTAGTTTCTAAACAACTGAATATTTTCTCCCAAAGTAAGAATACAAGAAATAAGAATGAACACTTGTAAGTTAGCTTTTTATTTCTCTCCTGTTTGATAAGCCTGGAGGAGTCTCTCACGTGTGATGGTAATTGTTATTTGTGGCTCTGTGGCAGGCCACAGGAAGGTCACCAGACTTAGGCTGTGGCTTATTCCCCTTTTGTCTTCTCACGTCAGCAGGTGTCATAAATATCAATTTCATTATAATTTAAATATAACTACATAACTGGACATAATGGGCTTTTGACTTTCCTTTGGAAAACTGGTTGAGGCAGTTTTGGGGACAAATAAAATGAAAACTTGCCTGTTTTCTTTTTTTTAATTGAATTCTCCTTCAATTTGATCCATACTAGGGTATCAAATATTGCTTTCTAGTTAACTCCTGTTCTCAGCTTTAAAAATACTGTGTGTACACTGTTCAAGGTGTACAAGCACATACACATATACATATAGATGTAGACACATGTACATACACTGTTCAATAATTTATACTTTGAACAGCATTCCGATTGGCGGTGCATCTAAATGTTTAAAAAATAGTCAGCATGCCATGTGAATTGTGCAACATCCTGAGCCCTTGGTCATTCTCACCTAGACCACTGTGACAGATTCCTAACCAGCCCTCCTGCTTCGCTTCTCCCCTTAACTCCTGACGGCCATGTTCTACACAATAGCCAGAGTGGCTCTAAAAAGTAAATCTGACCACACCACTCCCTTGCTATCACTGTCTGGTGGCTTTCCACTGCAATGGGAGTGTAATACAAATGTCTCACAAGGGTCTACTGTGTCCTACATGACCTGTATTTTGCCTTTCTCTTGGACTCCATCTCATTCTACTTCTGGGTTAAGATCCTGTCTGCCTCAGGAGTCTTTCCACTTGCCCTTTCCCCTGGCTGAACCTCTCTTCCCTTAGATCTTGACATAGCCAACTTTTTCTATTCATTCAGGTCTTAAGCTCAAATGGTATTTCTACTCTTAAGTGGACCTCCCTGCAGGCCCTGGCTGAAGCAGCTTCCCCCTCCACTCTCTATCCTATTCCTCTTTTATTCATAGAATATATCACTGAATTTAACTCATGTATGTTTGTAAAAACATTTATTGTGTGGTACCCCGCGGGAATGCAGGTGCCATGAGAGTGTCCTCATCTGTCTTTTCCATCACTGTACCACAGCACCTAAAAACACATAGGTATGTTCCAGAGACTCAAAGAATTATTCAATAAGTGGATGAGTAGGTGAACAATGAACAATTTTACTTAAAGGCAATTTGGGGTACATTTAATTATTTGCTTCCAACTTTTTTATTTTGAAAAAATTAATCATAACTGTCGGTGCTGATTGCTACTTAGAGAATCATAGAAGCTTTTAGTTGGAAAGATTGTTCAATGATCAGTCCAAGCAGACATTCCCTTAGCCAACAGTCCTGACAAGGACTCATTTAGTCTTTATTAAAATATTCCCAATGTTGAAAAGCTCGCTCCTTACTTATCCAATATATTCTAATGTTAGACAACTCTGTTGTTTAATAAACCAAAGTCTCTTTGCATTATGCCAAATCTTAGGCATAGTTCTGTCTTGAAGGGTTACACAGATAAGCCTTCTTTCTTTTTCACACAGAAATACTATCATGATTTCTTTTCAGATGGTTTTCTGTTTACTAAATGTCTTCTGTAAGCTCAGTGATTCCTTACATGACCCTCTTACCAGATCTTTCGTTCTTGTAATATTTTTTAAAAGGTGTTTGCTTCCTTCTCCTTCCTGAATACATTTTTCTTTGACAATATTCTCATTAAATCTTGTCATCTGCAGTGGAAAACAGTATAAAGCCATGTGAGTATAGAAAAAAGTCAGAAGTCAGAAAAACCATAAAGAACTTGAGAATTGTGGGAGTTCCCTAGGAAAGCATGATCATTACTATCAATAAGACTTCTTTTGCTGGGCATTTGGGTTGGTTCCAAGTGGAATACTATGCAGCCATAAAAAAGGATGAGTTCATGTCCTTTGCAGGAACATGGATGAAGCTGGAAACTATCATCCTCAGCCAACTAATACAGGAACAGAAAACCAAACACTATGTTCTCACTCATAAGTGGGAGTTGAACAATGAGAACACGGGGACACAGGGAGGAAAACATCACACACCAGGGCCTATCAGGGGGTAGGGGACAAGAGGAGGGAGAGCAGTAGGACAAATACCTAATGCATGCAGGGCTTAAAACCTGGATGACGGGCTGATAGGTGCAGCAGACCACCATGGCACACGTATACCTATGTAACAAACCTGCATGTTCGGCACATGTATCCCAGAACTTAAAGAAAAAAAAATACTTCTTTTTTCACTGTGTTGTTTCTTTTAACTATATTGGTGTGTCCTTACATATAGACTTGAGAAAAAGAAATCATAAGAAGGTCACCAGATTTCTCCCTTCATACTACCGATGGAGATAGATGGGCTTTGCAGGTGTGACTTTCCCCTTGGACTCTCAGTCAAATAGAATTCTTTTTGAGAGAATAGGCTTCCTCGACTCTTTGTACGATTTTGTTGCATCTTCAGCCTGAAATCTCAACAAATACAGATTATTTTTCCAACACTGAATATTGCCAAAAAAAAAGGCCACCGTTCTTTTCTTCCTGGTTTCCTCTCAACTTCAGTAACCACCAGAATACAAAGGCTGGACTCACAGTAGGAACACAGTGGTGACTCTCATTCAAGCAGAAAGTTGACCAAATGGATAATCTTCCCTCTTTGGACTTCTCTGAAAGTATTTTTGTCTGTGCACTTTGGATGGCATGTGAATCACTTGGCCTGTTGAAATGCCTTACATGGGTGCCAATAAGCCATTGCAGTCAAAGTAAGCAGAACAAAACAAAGTAAACCGAACACTTAAAACACAATTAAAAAGGAGGCCAAAGTTTGCGGTTTTTTAAAAACTAAACTAAAATCCATCTGATTCTATCATTTTGAGTTGTAGTGATTATTTTTTGAGAAGATGGAGGTTTTCAATGAACAAGTGGTCTTTTGCAAGCAGTATTGTCCCAATTGATCTTATGATTGATGTTTTATGTGGACATGGCGATTGATCTTATGAAGGCCCTTGGTCTGGGGACTCCTCCGGTGTTGGCAGTTGGGTAAGGAAAAAGAGAGTGTTGTCACAAGTCTAAAAAGGCCACCATGCCCAAGGAGGTATATTGTAGTCATTGAAATACCCACTGTCAACCTCGTAATTAAGGCATAGAGTTGGACAGTGCTCTCTATTTCCACACATGTGTCCTGGCCAGCCTCATGGACTTGGAGAAGTAATTTCTTTTCCTATTCAAAGCTGCCCTTAATCTCTGTTTCAATCATGTAAAATTCTACTGCAATAAGGATGGCAGATAGAAGCTGCATGTGTGTGTGTATGTGTGTGTTTGTGTGTGTGTGAGAGAGAAAGAGAGAGAGACAGAGACACTGAATATTGCTAAATATTCAGAGACAGAGCGAGAGATATACCCATGTGATGATTCTGAACATGTTATTTAACTGGTTTTACTAATAGGCCACATGAAGCTCTCCTGGTGCTTCCTTGAAGATCTGATGGTGGGTTGGAATCCAGCCATCACTAGCTAGAAATTCCAAATGTATTCAGCTCAATACTTTTTTTTAATCTTTTAAAAATTTTTTTACCTTTATCGTTATTCACTGGGACACATTTGCAGTAAAAGAAAGATTTTAATACCAGGCTTATACTTGATTTTTAGACATTTCTGGAATCCTGTTAAGGGTTCCAGAAGGATAGCTTCAATATTTTTAGTTTTCTCTGATAGCCATGGTGTTTTTAGGTTGATAAGGAAACTCGTCTGTGATCTTTACTCATGAATTGTCCTTGATCAAATGAAGGAAATGGGGAGGGGTGTATGTAAGAGGATAAATGAGATAACAGTGATGTTGCTTGAAGCCAGACATGTTGTAGAGACTGAAATGAGAGTTCAAGGAGATGAGCTAGGAGGATTATTAGAATCCAAGGGAATTATTTTGTCATCGAGTTAATAGTACTACAGGGAGAAGATGCATAACTCGTTAGAAGAGAAACCAGAGAAGATTTATTTGGTAATATGTGACCCGCCTTCCTTACAACTGGAGAAAGTTATCTCTAGATCTATGAGGTAGAGCTGACAAATACATGCTGGAGATCTTTTTTTCTTTACTGAGATGTCAGTGTGCAATGTGAAAACCAAAAGCTCCTAAAGATAGTACAAGAAATCACACATCTTATAAATTACATCTCTTTGCTAAAGATGATGGACTTTTCCAGGAAACGATGCTATTGTTATTTCCCAAGTAGAGTTTTTTTTTTAACTTAAATGTTCTTGAAGAATTGAAGAATTGATATATAGAGAGAAGACAACGAGGGTAATAAAAAAATGCAAGAATTGTGGTAATTGGTGTTCTGTGTCAAGATCCTTAAATCTCAGCCTTTCTCTTAATATCATAAAGATAGAGTAAAAAGTCTTTTGTGAAGTAAGTAGCCAATAATGTTTTGTGCCCATTTTAGAGATAGTGCACTTGAAGGCACCTAAAACAGAGTGAAAATTACAGAGAAACAAACTTACTGTTATCACTAGGCAATTCCCTCTCCTGGGATAATCCCACAAAACAAACAAAACAAAGTAAACACAATAAACTCATCTGCTGCCCACACTTTTTTGATAATTGCAAGACAGCTTGCGATGGAAGAGGGAAGGCAGATCTGGTAGCTTTGATTTTCCTCTGGATGTAGACAGCCAAAATTGCAGAGCATGGTGCTTGTCCCTGTATTTGTTTACCTCATTTCTTCTTCCAGAGGTCAGACAGGCCTGTCCTAGTTTTTTCATTAGAGTCACTACCCTTTCCTTTGTCTATATGGCTCCCTGGGGTCTCTGTTCAACTGTATATCATCGTTGAATAGGCTTGGCTTCAAATCCCAGCTTTGTCTCTTTCAAATTGTGTAGCATTGGGGACATCACTTACCATAACCCACTGTCACCTTAGAAATAAAGCCTGAGGCAAAACTGTATATGTTATCACTTTCATGGGAAGTGTCATTCTAGAGAAACAATAGTGAAGAAAAAAGAGAGGGAGGCAGCACAGGAGATAGGAGGAAGAGCAGCTACGAAGGAGCACATTCCCAAGCTGGCCACTGCTTTGTAACAGTACTATTGATTGCTCAATCTTTTAGGTCATCTTTAGGAGCTGGCATGAATTGCTGTGTTTCAGAACAGTCCACGCAGAGGAATGAGGAGAAGAGGATTCATCCATTAGCTTCCATCTCCCATTGGTGAAAGCTTGCCCTGCAACTCCTCCACACTTCTGGGTTGTATGACCTGTCCTGCTACAGCCACTATGGAAATCTGAACCCATGTTAGTAGCCACCTCCTCAGCATGACCTGCAGCTTATGGGGCATGCAGTAAGTAGGAGCAAGCCAAGCGCCCTGCGGGCTAGACCTCTGGCACACTGCAGAACCAGCATGAACCAGGGCAGGTAGTGAACACCGAGAGGGTCCCATGGTACTGCCCACCATAGAGACTAAAACAGAGCCTTTGGCAAGAGGCAGGAGGCTCTAGGCATGAGGTGTTTTCGGTCATAGCCACACATTACCTCAGATTCCAGGAGCAGCTGCTGCAGCAGACCCAGCTAGCCCAGCCTGCAGATTGTCACCATGAAGACAGAGATGATCCTTCCTCCAGTGAAGAGCAAAACTTCTTTGTGGCCTATATGACTGCTTGGTGCTGGGCAAGCTTCCTGAAGAGTCATCAGCAGCTGGAGACCATGGCTGAGTAAATCCAGGGTGGGGGCAGGGCATAAGCTGGGTCCAGTGCATTATCCATCCTTTCTAGATCTTGGCTTCTTTTTGAATAATGAGCAGTAGCAATTGCTATTTCCTCTTCTTCGCCATTCCAAGCTTCCCTCTACAACATCCTCTCTTTCCAGCTGTGTAGCAGGCGCAGCTCTAAGCCCATGTGCTTGGGGTCTCTTACCCTTGGAATTGCCTCCTTTGCCGGGCTTTCTAAGTTGTCTTACTGCTAGTTTTCAAGGATCTTAAAAATCCATCCTCTTGTATGAAGGCTTCTCTGGCTGAATGGGCATTATTCTGGCGTATTCCTCACCTTCCAAATAAAATCTATGAGCATGTTATTTAGGTTCTAACAGCTTTATCTGTTTTTGGTCCTGGCAATGACTGTATTTGGAATGCTCTTTTTAAATACTGTGGCTACTGAGATCTCATTGAGGGCAAAGAATGGTTAAAATATCACTTATAAAAGGCAGTCAACTTCTCTACATAGGAGATACCACAACTTTTGGCTGTAGACAGTGAGGAGGTAGGAATACTGCTGGTTGCTACTATTTTTCTTCTTTCTTTTTGCTATTGTTCATTAACATCCCCTTATTTCCTCTGATTGTCTCACAAAGAGGGTAGTCTTTCTGCTTAATCCTATGGCTTGAGTCTCCTTAATAAGGCAACAAGCTGCCCTGCAACAGAGAAATGAAATGCCTCACTCTTCCCCACCTCAATTCCATGGGGACTGGGACTCGATAGGTCAGGGTTGAAGTTTGGGTCTTGGGGACCAGAGCTGGGTAGGGAGGGGAGGAAGTTACCATATGAGTGTCCCAGCATGGAAAAAGTCAAAGGATTATTCTGATCCACTGTCTTTAGGGAACATGGAGGCTTAAAACCAGCATATGAAAATACTGCCATTAAACTGAAGGGGCCACCTTCAGGTTGGCTGATGAGAGGCAAAGTCAAGAGTTAGGAGCTGGGTGAAACCAGAAGGACGTGAGATCAGGAGCAATAGGAGAATGTTTTGGACAACTGCAAGAATGAAGCTGGAGCTTGGGACCTGCCTTTAATGGCCATCAGCCAGGCGTAGTGAAATAGATGAAAAGCACAGCATTGGGGTAGATCAGATGTATGACCAGGACTGCACATGTGGAAAGAGACTTTTAACAAGGGACACACCCATCTTTGTATCTCTAGCTGCTCGCAAGCACTGAAATACACATCGATGGGAAATAAACATATGTAGATAACCAATTTGATCAATGAAATCAGTCAGCAGCAGGTAGAATTTGCCCTCACACCTGGGCTTTGTCTCTGCTGGCTGATGCATGTGTTTCACAATTAGTAAATGCAAAGCAGCATTTCCCACTCCACACACACATACACCTTAGCCTGTTCTTGCCATAAGCAAAAGGCCAACGCGTCCTTATTTCACACTCAGTTTTGGAGTAGTTTGTGTTCCCTTGGGTAGGAAACTCCCTCTTCTTGTTTTCAATATGGTGACTTTTCAGCTTATAGCCTGGGTAGGGATGTGATATTTGGTTAATGCCAAATTTGCTCTGAATGTTGCTGGCTTTAATATTTATGTCCTGGAAAATGCAGTTCTCCCCATGGTTTGGATATTTTACATCTACACGTTATATTGAGAAAGCCAGAGTTGAGGCTCGTGGAAAAAAATAGCTAAATTGATGACTAATTTTACATCAGAAGCTTTTTCAACCAGAGAAACAGTATGCTACAAGAGTAAGCAGGGCCACCCCACCCCTGATCCCCTGCCCTCTGCCTGGAGAGAGGAGATTCTCAAGTGTCTCTTTGAGAGAGGGTGGAGGAACCACTGAGCAGAGCCCAGCTGTGTGGACCCACACAGCAGATGGTTCAGTTGAAACACAGGAGGCTGGAAGTTACTGTTCACTGGGCACTACTGACCAAGGCCCTTGCGTAATGCAGCCACTTGTTATGCTGAAGAGGATTGTTTAGAAGGAAAATGGGCTGGTTTTTCTTGCTTCACATATCCTTACTGGAAGGTCATGACCGATCTTTCTTACTGCCCACATTTTTATTTATACACCATAAGGAATAATTTCCATCTCACTCTCCCCACTCCTTTGCCAGAACATATAGAAATGTCTGTGTTCAAAAGGCTCTTGTTTTCTTGGCTGAATATCAAGATTTTTTCCAGATTGTCAACTCCTTAAGAGGGGAGAAGCATAAAATCCAGCTGTAGAAACCAAGAAGTGACCTAACATGATCCAGGTGTTTCCAGTTTTCTTAGGAAAGAAGGCGAGTATGTATGTCATGTCTGATGGGCCATGTCTAGAGGATACTGCCCGATCACATTAGGTTGCTGATCACAGTTGTGATGGTGGGTTGTGGGTGAGTCCACTGTGTGTAACAGCTATATCTGATTTATCAAAATTGGTTTTGTAGTGGTATTCTGAAAGTTCGTGACCTTATTCAATGCACATAAAAAAGGATTTAAAAGCAGTAAAATTGTAAAGACAACATGGTGGTATGTAAATGCAGGGAAAAGGCAGAGGAGAAACGGGCTTTAACTTTAGTTCTGCCACTTGCCAGCCATGTTTCTGTGGATAAGTCTTCAATCTCTTTGATTCTCATGTTAAAAATCCATAAAATGGATAAAATGTCTGCCCTTAATGCCCCATTATAAAATTAAAGTATTGTATTGGGGACAGATTTATTTATACAAATAACTTGGACAAAGCTATGTAGATAAATGTACATTTAGTGGTCTGCCAGCTTACCTGTTAAGTCAGTAGTAACATTCCAAGCCACCATCCATCAACTGGATATGGTCTACTATATTTTTAGATTCCATTTTTTAATGAATTAAAATTGAACAAGTCTGGCAGAATAAACTAATTTCCCAGAATGAATACCATGCCACCTGCCAAAATCTTCCTCATCCACCCTGTCACCTACTTCTCAAAGCATTCTTAGGTCTTCTAATCTGTAATGACTCCATTAACTCCTGTGCCTTCCTAGCATGGGTCATGTCTGTGTCAGCTCTTACGGGAGGTTAGCGACTATGGATGATGGTCATCCGGGAGCATGTCTGTCTTCCCCTGCAGAGAGGAGCCTAGTCTTAGTTGGCTTTGGGCCTGCCCACCTTACCTTGTAGAGTGCCATGCATGTAGGTACACAGAAATGCTTTTTAAATTGAATTACTATTTTTCTTCAGTAGACTATACACGGGAGGGAAAAAAAATGGTGGTGGCTTCTGAAGGGCATCTGGTGTTAATAAATGATGTCACAGAAAAAAATCAGAGCAAAGATCAGAGAGCTGGACGGCCGTACATGCTTTGCCACTGCATGGCTCTATGTGCCTTGGATGAGTCACTAAACTCTCCAAGCCTTTGTTCCCTTCTCTTTGTAATGAGAGAATGGGATGAGTTTGACATTATGCTTCTTTACAGCACTAAGATTCTAACATCTAAGGTAAGGTGCTGAGAACAACTTCAGGTAAATCAAGGAATGTGTTAAATTTTTAAAAAATTTTTATTTCTTTATTATAGAGGTAAAATGTACATATAAAATTTACCATCTTTACCATTTTTAAGTGTACAATTCAGTAGTAAAAATACATTTATATTCTTTTGTTTTTTTCTTTTCAGCCCCCCAACCCCCTTTCTGGCCTCTAGATGTTTTAAAATGGGAACCACATAAGTGGGTGATTCCAGGGCAAAAGAAGTCTATTCTATTTTGAGTGGTAAGGATTATTTTACATAACTATGGGATTCAGAATAAGGTATTTATCAAGTGTGTCTGTGGATGGTGTTTCAAATATGATTTAAATTGGCCAGGTGCAGTGGCTCACACCTGTAATCCCAGCACTTTGGGAGGCTGAGGCAGGCAGGTCACTTGACCCCAGGAGTTTGAGACCAGCCTTGCCAACATGGAGAAACCCCATCTCTACAAAAATACAAAAATTAGCTGTGTGTGGTGGCATGCTCCTGTAGTCCTGGCTACTCCGGGGGCTGAGGCAGGAGGATCCCTTGAATCCAGTAGGTGGAGGTTGGAGTGAGCCAAGACCATACCACTGTACTCCAGCCTGGGCGACAGAGTGAGACTCTGTCTCAAAAGAAAAAAAGGGTTAAGTTAAAAAAAACCTAGCATAAAAGGAGTAGTCCAAGATTATCTTCGCTTGGCCCATTGTACAGCTTACAAAATATGTCATATTAAAAATAAATACAACTTAGAGTTTTAATCAAGTCTGAATTTTGGTGGTAATTATTTTTGAAATCTCATCACACTTTTTTTATAAGACATTTTCATTTAAGAACAGTTTGGAGTTATCCCAGAAACTTGAATTATCCTTTAAAAGAGTATTACGTGAAATGTATTTTTATTAGTGGAGAAGAATAGAACTCTTTCACACGCGTTGGGTTAGTTTCATTTCCAAACTACAGACCCTTACCTTGTGGAGTCAAAGCAGAGATGGTAGGTACTTAATTGTACTCTTTGAATAGTGCGCACTGTACCAAATTATTTTATTGCTGGGTCCATTCTAATTTATTGAGACCACTGTAACATGATCTTGTTGGGTCATACATAAACTGTTCACTTCTCTCTATACTGATTTTACCAAATCTGCTATATACATCTAGCAATCCAGTCAATTTTGCAAACTATTTTATCAGGATTGACTTTCCATCTATCTTCTTGGGGACCAAGAAAGAAACTCAATAAATCTTTACCAGATGAAATCAACCCTTAAATGGGTGAACTATTTCCATTGTCCAGTTGTCCCAGTAAGTTTAAAGCAGAGAGTGTTTTTGACAGCTTTGTTAATTTAGCTCTTTTTTTTCTTGCTGGCAATTCAAGTATAATTGAATTCTAGTGTTGAGCTTTAAATATGTACTTGAGACTTGAAAAGGAAGCTTGATGAGGCGTGTGCTGCAGCATAACCTCTCAATTATTCACACATTTATGGGACTGTAATCACCAAGGCCTCTCATTGTAAACATTATGAACACTTTTATAACCAGACATTGATATGAGCTAATAGGCAGTGAATTACAACTCAAATGATGAAATTACAAACAGTAATCAGATGGTCAGGGTCATCAATCCTAATTAACACCATCATTTTTCAGTTCTAAAATCTCTGATTCTGTATCAAGTCACTTTTTAGTGTTACCTGAGTAATTTCCAAAACTTCAACTGGTAAAGGCTGACATGTTTGAGAATGATTCTAGAGCCTCAGAACTACTCACTGCCTACAATGAGGACAAGAAGTACTGCCATTTTTGTGTCTTGCTTTTAGATTGAAATAACTTATAAGTTATCTGTCTGTCATTTAGCATGATATAATAGCTGTGTTTAGTAAAGCATCCCAGATTGGCTTCTGCTAGTATAATACTTAACAGGATTGGAAGAAAATCCTGCATAAATGTGATTAGTGACCCTTACCTCCCTTTGTCCTTTTCTCCATTCCTGCCTACTATCAATAATTAATTGAGTCATTCAAAAAATATTGATTGCATCATAACCTTGTGTCAAACACTGTACTAGGCCCTGGGGAAATAATCCAGGCATGCTATCTCACCACCATTGTAAAGCTTTAGAATTGTAGTTCCAATGCTATCAAGGAAGATTTCAGACGTTATTGAATGAATTTATACTGAACACAATCTTTAAAGTCATGAAAAAAACAGCCACAATGGATTGACATATATTCTGTTAGAGTCAGTTGGGTAACCCACTTTCTTCTTGTTCTATGGTGGTTTGGGAGCAGAATTGGGAACAACAAGATTTCTGGTCATTTTTGTTCCTTTGTTTGAGATGTGTGGGGAGATGGGTGAGAAGATAATAGGGACTAGGAATTGCTTAAAACAACATTTTGAAAGAAAACTATGAACGGACTTGCTGTGCAGTTTCCCTATTTGCTCAAAGCTCTTCAGATAAGCAGTCACAAAAGTATCTATTTTCAGATTAAATGAACAAGAGAGATGTGCATGTAAGTTCTGCTATGGGTTGAAAATTGTGCATAGTTTATTATACATCTAGTTAATGTATGCATAATCATGGGTAACAAATGATCAGCAAGAACACAGCTGGGTTTAAACTTTCTTTTCTAAATCCCTTCTCACTAAGGGTTGTTGAAAACCCCAGAGTAGCTAATAAAATACATTAAAACTGATACTGAAAATGGTGACAGATACTAACAGCAGCATCTTCTTGAAATTAAATTTCTTCTTTTAGGTCCTTTAGCGGCTATTGCTTCTCTTCTGAGTGAACTTATTCTTTCATGAACTATTCTGGCATTGTCATTTCCACATATCAGGGCCCTGAGAGCATTTGCTCCAAGTTTATTTGAGGTGTGGTTTTGTTGTCATTGTTGCTGTTTAGTTTTAACCAATTTTATTTCCAACAATACCTTGCTTTATCTATTCAGTCTGAAAAATGCTTCCTGTAGCTACTTATTAGCAGGGAGCGACTTCTCTCTTTTTTTTCTGTGCACTCTCATAGTGTGAGATTTTTTTCTTGTAATAAAAAATATATAGAGAAGAGAAGACTTTTCCCTCTGAATTGTTTCCAGATTGAAGTGAAAATGGAGTCTCCCATTGTTGGAAGCACAGCTGCTGCCACATGTTCTGTGTCTGCTCCTGTGTCCTCACTGATGGGAGGGGCTTACTGGTATCATGTTTAGCCATTTTCATGCCGTGTTGTGAGCTGGCTTGGTTCTCTCCCCTCACGGCCCCTACAAAATCAGTCACTCCATGGCCTGGTGAGACCTGGGTGGATTGATGGGACACGTGTGATTCGAGGATAGCCTAGGCTTGCTGATGGCCACCAGCAGTGGCGTCTGGGTGGGAAAGATGAGACACACACACTCTCTCTCTCTGTCTCTTAGCTCTCCTGTTGAAATTTAGAATTGGGGAAATTCAGAGACTGGGCAGGTTAGCTTTGGAAACTGATTTGAAAGGCCACAAAGTAGACTTGGAACTAGGACAGCAATGACAGGCTGAAATTATGAGGATGAAGATCAAGAGAATAGGGAGAACAAAGCAGTGATGCACTGAGAAGGTGTGAGTAGTGCTCCATGCAGTTCGTGAGAAAAAGGAAGAAAGACAGACAGACACACACACACGCATACAAGTTTATACACAGACTCACACAAAAGCCACCTCAGTTCCTGACTGCTTTCGCTTCCAATTTCGGTTTACCCATGTCTCTTATCTTGGGGCACCTTGAATGAACTGCCTCTGCCCCTTATGGCCAAATGAGCCTTGACAACATCAGTGAAGCCTGATGAACTTATGTTGAATATTGTGACACTATGGATAATAGTATTACAGAAACCAAGATAAGTTAACTGGAGGATATCCAATGTAATTGTTACCCTCCCACTACCATTTCCCAATCATAAAAATGTCTTGTGAATGCCTTGACTACATGTCTGTAGTTGAAAAACTGAATGTCTGTAGTTGAAAAACCACTGGAAATTGTTTTCTTCCTTGTTACCAATGTCCATAAAAAAATCAGATGCCACTAATATCAGAACTCAGAAGTCCTTATTATATAGTCCTTTATTATTAATTCATTTTAATGAATACGGAACTAAAAAGTTGTTATGTGTGATATAAAAATAAGCTATAATGAAGTTTTGTGCTGAATATATGATCTGGAAACCACTAGACATTTGTGTTTCATTCGCATAGCGTGCTGGTTGCCATTAAATTACTCTTGGTAGGGAATGCCATGTTCTGATGGCAGCTGAATGTAGAACTCTATCTTCTTTATGGTAAAGGGGAAGAAGTGTGTTTGAGAGCATTTACATGTATATCTTACTCTTCATTTGTGTGGTTGCTTCTCTTGGTAGAATATGGTTTGGCAAGGGGCTATCATAAAACTTTTATTTTGGCAAGTGTAAGATATCACTCATAAGTAAGGCAGATCTTCCCAAACAAGTTGCTATATAAAATTTAAAGCATCAGTGTTCATTCACATATTTCTCCTATGCAGTATGTTTATCCTCTTTTGTTAGCTTTCCATGCTTTTGTCATCATTTTTCTTTCCTTCTTCTGTCTTCTCTTCAGCTGTTCTAGAAGTAGTGGATGACTTAGATCAGGGTGCAACATAATGTCATCTGTAAATATATGAAGGTAAATATCTCCTGGGGATACACTTCATGTGGTCCAGTGGATAACAGACATTCATGTGTGTTATTAATATCCATGTATTTGGCCATCTTTAGTCTATAGTCTCTACTCAGCCCCTCTAACACACACACACACACACGCACCAACCTAGTTTTAATTGAGCTAGAAACTGCATTGTTTGTTCAGGCAATGAAAAGGAAAAAGTTCTTAGGGTAGGGTAATTCTAATGGTAAATTTTTTTCCTTTAGAATTTTTAACTGCACTAGGCACACTGAATTCAGTGCTAGAGGCAGCCATTGTACTGTGAGGAGATATTATTTGTCTCATTAGCACTATGGGAATGCCATGAAAGGGTCCATGACCCAGAACCCATCTTGCTTTAATAATGGCTTCACACTCATAAAAGATTTTTAATGGCTACATGAGACATATATAAATATTAAATGCCATTCCTCTTTGTTGATTCACAAGCCCCAATGAATAGGACTCCTTCGTGGCTTCCAAAGTTGAAGAAATGTGCCTGGCTTCTCACGCCAATGAGTGAAGCAAACAAACCCACAAACGGAAACACCTCAACTGTGCCCTGCTAACCCATTTGTAAACCTGAGAACACTGCGAGTCTTTAGCTCTTGTTGGCTGCCTTGCGTTCTCTGACTCGGAAACAAAATTTCTGTCTGTTGTATACCTGTTCCAAATCCTGCTCTAGGAGAATTAGGAAAACATGGTCACATATGTGTAACGAGACATTTTTCCCAAATGTAACTTTATGGTTTTCATCAAAACTTAGTTCATTTGCTTTGGTCCCCCGGCCACAGCATTGCAACTCCAGAGATGGACTATACCCCTATGCAAAAGAGCATTTTGTGCGTATATTTAAATTTGGATAGACCAGCGCTCACAGTTCATCTGTATACTTAGATTTCGGTAAGAACTCAGGATCCTGGTGATGCCATTGCTCTTTTCCCAAGGCCTTGTGCTGGAGTGTAACATTACATGAAAATCGGTGCTGTTTGTTTAATCAGAGTCCCCCCAAGGTTAGCACCTGCCATCCTACTGCCTAATTGTATGATGATCCTGTGTGGATGACAAGACCCCAAAGAACTGTATTTGCCATATTTTTCTTGCCTTCCGATGTGGATGTCAGGTCTATACCATTTAAAGATGCCTTTATTTACGAAAGGGAAATTGAGTTACAGACTTCCTGTTGTGAGTAGAGCTGCCTGGGGAAAATGATGGTAGAAAGGTGTTCTCAAGGAGAGAGCCAGAATATGTGAGCCCAGAAGCACTTGGGGTTTGGCAAACTTTATATTCTTTTTTTTAATATTTGGGGTTCAGCAGAGCCAAAAATGTATTTTGCTCAAAGTACCATTTTCCTTTCATTTTCCAAAACCGTGTATATTCTAGGGAAATTTAATCCGTGTATTTTGGAATCATTTAACTCTCATTCATCAAAATATTGCATGGTAAACACTAGATCTGGGTTCAAGAAATCTCTTGAGCTCTTTGATAAGCAATTTTTTTTCTTTGAACCTGGAAGTAAAAATTCTCTTTGAATGAACCCAGAGAAGTACAGAGCATACTTCTCAGATTATCTCCCAGACAGAGTGGGGAGCTTTCCATGTGTCTACTATAAAGCAATGATGGGAACAAGGCTTTCTGGGGGCAAGGCCTTCAGAAACAGACCTTGGACATATATGGGCTTTTCCATTGAGGACTTCTAGCACCCCATTTAGCTCAGTCAGACTTAGATCTTTTCTGTTGCAACAACAGCCCCAAGTTAGTTCCAGCCCGTGTCTTCTGAAGTGCTTCTGAACCCTACAATCTTGTCTTTATTTAAAATTATATTTTGCTCAACCTGGGGTTTTATACATTAAATTTTCCTTTGAAGTACGGTATTGAAATATTATTTGATTACTGAGTTTTTTGGTGCCCTCTTAAGTTTTGTGCCTGAAGTCCATGCCTCATTGGCTTTGCACCTGGGCAGCCCCCTCTTCTTCCTGCTGTGGCTCACTCCATCTGAGGCATACCAGTGTGCAGAATGGGAGGAGCATGGCAGTTGAGAAACTCTGCTCAAGCCTACTTCTGAGTTTGGTTCAACCAGGCTTTCTCTGCTTGGGGACCAGATGGCCTGTACCCAGTGTGTCTACTCACGTGCCCCTTCTCCCATATGTCTCAGTTAGTGCTGAGGCCATGGAGTTTGCAATTTTTCTTTGGTCAGGAGGTTGTCTGTACAGTGCAGAATAAGAATAGAATAAAGGCACCTGTTTCTGGGGCATAGCCTTTTCCCATCGAAATGATTACTTTAATCTCATACAGATTGGAAACAAGGAACATTTCATCCACTCTATTATTCATCCCAATGAACCAAAGGAATGGGAAAAAAATTGTTCTAGGTCACACAGAGTCTTGTCAAGATTGGCTTTAAATTCGAGGACTTTCTAGTCACAGTTGATGGCTTAATTGTAAAAGACACTGCCAGCAATGACTGAAGAGTGCCAGATCCTAGGTTCTGTGTCTTCTTAGGTGCACTGTGTCATTTAATCCTTACAACAATCTGAGGTCAGAACTATTATTATCCCTATTTTACAGATTAGAAAACTGGAGTTTACAGAATTTAAATAACTTCCCCAACATTACCCACCTAGGTAATAGTGGAATCCAGAACTTTCTCACTCAAAGCTCTGGTTCTTATTCATTGTTCTGCCCACCTCCTGTCATGTAATCCAAACATTGGGAAAAAAGGCAGTTTCCCCTCTTTTGTGGGGAATGCTGGTCACAGTGTTTTCCATATTAAGACACTGAATAAATTCTATAATTCTTTCATTAAAGTTTTGATTTCTACGGTTTTTTCCCCAGATTTTAAAGAAAAAATCCTCAGTGTCTAAATTAAAGCAAAGCCAAGTTCTTTTCCTTTCCCATGTCCCAGCTTTCACAATGCTTTTCTTCTAGAGTTCAGAAGCCAAGGGTCATCTAAGCAGCTGCCCCTATCTGGTTTCTGCAAGTCTAGATGGAATAAGACAGATAGCAATTTATTGTACATTTTTTGGGATGGGTGGAGAGATAGGAAGCTCTAAAGAATTCACATTCATCTGGCAACAACAAGAATGCTTGTCTGCTATCCTTAAGATCCAGGGTTTAGACCTACAAAGCATTCTTTGATAGCTCCTGCTCTGAATGCAGTGTGGACCCTGCGAGGAATTCCTAGCAGCTCTGCTCTGGTCATTTCCTTCTGGGAAGGCTTTTCACCTGGCCTCCAAAGCTCCACTGAGACCTGTCCCTAGATTATCTCTCCAATTAAGGCCCAAGTTAATAGACTTCCCTTATTTCTTAGACATCTGGTTTAGAGCTTGGTGCCTTGGGAATCGCCAAGTTCTGCCCTCATGTGGACATCCCAACCTTGTGAAATTCAAATGTGGAGGAGTTCTTTCACTAACAAGGCAGCTTAATGGGCCTGGGATTAAAAGCACAGCGGCCTGTGTCCAGGACTAGTTATATAAGAGAACCTCCAAGAGAGGACATGTTTTCTCCAAATAAATAAGGCAAAGAGGCTACACTCACTAGTGCCACAGCTGGGGAGCAACTGTGAGCAATGAATTTCTCATGCTAACAAATCCAAGCTCTTTGGAAAACAGATGCTGAGCGCTGGGACTGGCACTGGATCTCCCCTGGCAGGAACTGCAAAGATTCAGAGATGGAAGGGTATCTAGAAATCATTTGTTCATAAACACAGCTGAGGGACCGCAACCTGCTTTTATGCCCTGCCTGGGCTGCCCTGGTGGATCTCTTCCATGCAGTGTTTCTATGAGGAAGAAGGCAGACATGCAAGCTTTCTGCAGCCCACGCTGTACAGAAATAATTAAACAGTTTTTCTTAACCTCTTGAACTTTTCATTTATTATTGCCATCCATTATGTCTACCTTCTCAAATCGCAGAATCCCAAAACTGAGCTCTGGGGTCAAGGGTTTATTGTTTAATGGAGATAGAACATTTTGTAAATTGCACAAAGTCACAATGTTTATAATAGAAGCTTCTGGTGTACTGAATCTTTTCCATTTAACAAACAGTGAGCTTTGACATGTGTTCTTCCTACATAGCAAGAAATCTGGGGTAAGTGCAGTACTGGCATGAATGCATTACCAAATCCTTCCTGTAAACCAAGTGACATCTGCAGTCAAATAAAAACATTCCTTCCACCAAATACCAGGAAATTCTAAAAGTATCACTATTCTTCTAAGGTCATGCTAAAATGAAGTTTTGGCTTTTAGAACACAGAGTAAGGATGAAGAAGGCCAACATTTTTGTCCAATACACATTTGTTGCTACAAGTCCTTGGGGACAACCTCCTGTTTCAAATATGAACATGTGTATGGAGAATTATTCCTAGGATTTAACCTTCAAATGAAAAGTGTAAATATTTTAAGAAAATGTATTAATGTTAAAAAATATTTCTGTTGTCTTTGTTTTTGCTAGAATTTGTACTTTCCAGTCAGGAACGGATTTGCTTGAAACAAAGCAAACATCCTCAAAAATGTACCCAGCCAAAATAACCAATGTATAAATACTTAGGATTAACAAAATATGAATATTCTTCAGTAAAGAAACTTGACCAAGAATTGGAAGTCCTTGGGAAATAACAGAAAAAAAAGTCTTAAACCTAAATTTT
Source organism: Homo sapiens (assembly GCF_000001405.40). Classification (NCBI taxonomy): domain Eukaryota; kingdom Metazoa; phylum Chordata; class Mammalia; order Primates; family Hominidae; genus Homo; species Homo sapiens. The sequence continues at coordinate 53,539,198 of NC_000014.9, forward strand.
TAACCCTTTGTGTTGGAGCTCTAATCAATATATTTAAAGGAAATAAATGTTTGTGCAACATATTCTCCTGCGTTTTTTGGGGGGGACTTAATATAAATTAATGCTAATATAAAACCTTTTGGACTATAAGTGTAGTTACTGAAAACCAATGTAAAAAGTGACATTCCATGAGTGATTACCATAACTATTTTCTTAAGTCTTCACAATTGTCTCACAGCACCGGATATATTTTTGGCTATTTTTTATGAGGTAAAAACACCTATAATACATACATTTTACATTTGTAATGGTTCAGGCAGCTTTCTCTGCAAAATTCTCCATTCCTGAACTTCCCTGGCAATGCTCACTTAATTTTTTTCTCACTGTCTAAGTTTCTAAAAGAATTGTGTAGTATTTAGTGTTTGCCTCAATGGACTCTTGCTTACTGTGGGCCAAGCAAGACCTCGCAGGATTCAGGCTCACCATTGCAAATTGGCCAGCAGGTGTCACTGTGGGTTTGGGTGGTAACCCAACTGACTACAGAAAAGAATGACTGATGAAGGGGAGTAATAAGAAAAGGAGAGAAAGGGAAATACAAAAGCAGGTTCTTAGAGGAAGAGAAAAGTGAATTAAAGATCGCTGATGTTTCCATAGACCTTTTCTCTAGGATTTCAGTGTTCTTTTGTACCACCTCCCTGGTTCTTGTTAGCCCAGATAGGAATTCACTTGCATAAGATCTGTTGATTCTGAGTTAGTCACTAAGGATAACTTCACTAAATAAAATAGCAACAGAGATGAGCAAAGTTGGGAAGAGCTGGATTCCTGCAGCCTGTTCCCGACTACTCAGGCCTTGCCTCTGGGCTTCGTTGCTGTACGTTTTTTTGAACCATAGGCCCCTTTGTTTAACCTCAGAAATGTACAAAGTCTCTCAGCTTTTAAATAGGTCATAGACTTGTGGCCCAGAATAAGATTTTGGCTATCCCTAACCGTTCAGTAGTAAAATAAATCCTACTGTTTCATTACTTAAAGGGGCATCTTGGCCTGGAAAGTTGGTCCTTGTATCTCTCAAAGATTTGGATTGCTCATTTTCAACAAAGCTAGCCTGTTCAAGTCACATCTCTTTCTGAGTGCATGGAATTTCTTAATAAATAAAATTTCAATTTGTAAAATTAACACATATTTCTTGAACACCTGTCAACTTTTAAGAATAGCTGGCCATAAAAACTCTCTGTACAACGAGGAATTCACAGATGGCCTAATTTGAATAACAGGCTATAAATTGATTTCTTTTTTGGCTTGATATGTGAAAACAGCATCCATATTGTTGGTGCAGAGAGCAGGCAGTTTGTTAAAAAAAAAAAAAAAAGGATGCATGACTTGACTTCTCCAAATAAGGCATAACGTGTGTGAAATATCTTAATTGTAGTCAAGTTCTGAAGAAAACAAAGCAGAAAAAGGCTTTAAAGAAAAACAGTAAGTTTTCTACCTTCTGGAGAACCTTTGTGCCACTGTAACAATTTTATTTTTTATTTTTATTTTATTTTATTTTTGAGATGGAGTCTTGCTCTGTCACCCAGGCTGGAGTGCAGTGGCACCATCTCAGTTCACTTCAGCCTCCGCTTCCCCGGCTCAAGTGATTCTCCTGCCTCAGTCTCCTGAGTAGCTGGGATTACAGGCGTGCACCACCATGCCTAGCTAATTTTTGTATTTTTAGTAGAGATGGGGTTTCACCATGTTGGCCAGGATGCACTGTAACACCTTAATGTCTTCTCTGTTCCATCTCACATCATGGACTACCATCACATGATGATGTCATGATACCTCATGGCTGGAGACTGGACCCAGGAGGGTTAGAAACAAAAGCAATTCCTCTGTTATGAACATCCTGCAGTTTATATCTGATTTTAATTTCCTTACCTTTAAGTGTACATACATTAAGTTTCTTAATGATCCTTCTTCTAGTGCTGATTCTAAAGATTAAAACTATAATGTTAAGAAAAAAGAAAAGAGGATAAATTTGCAGGTTCAAAAACATTTAGAAAACTTAACTACAAAGTATGAACACTTAGTTGCCATCTAGCTTAGTCATCTATTCACAGAGATTAATAATTCTGGAGGAGGCTGGTTTGGTTCCACAGAAGATGATACAAGAGATGGCTTATAACTCTTCGTGAAAGTTCTTCAGGAAATCCATGCATTCATATATATGCCCCCTTCCCAATTCTCATTTGTGTATAAGGATAGGTCATTAATGTAACATTGTTTTCTCTGGTGCTCAAAGATTAAGGTTCACTTTTGCTTAGGATTTCTGGCAGAACATGTAGGAATCATAGCAACAGGCACTACAAGCACAAGCAGCTGATGGGTGTGGAGTGGGAGAAGAGAAAGAGGGAAGAGGGGTGTTAAGGTATAAAAATATTTATCCAGGGTAACAGAGTATCAACAGAATTCCTTTCAATTAGATGTATACATCTGTGAGGAGTGGACTCCTTGGCCATTGGTTTATCCTTTGGAATAATGCCCCACCATTTCCATGACAACTTATTAGACAGTTAAAAAATAATAGTGAGCACAATTCTTTCTGAGCCACTATGCCCTTTGTCTACTATGACTGTTATTGCATCTGTAATCACATAATATGACTGGGTATCTTGTGTAGGTGTAAGTTATCTTGTGCACACATACTTCTGTGTCTGCTAAACTCCCCTCTCAACACACAAAAAGCCTAGTTTCTCTAGGATAGGAGTTGCATGTTATACATCTCAAATCCCTGAAAACTTCTGCCTTGGTGCAAAGCATTTGGTGGGAATTCAATGAATCTTTGTTGAATGAATGAAAATTATAAAGGATACTTTTGTTTGGCAAATGTTGGTATTGCTAGATTACTTTTATGTAGTCCATATAAATAATTCACTTCTTGTGGTTCCATATCCTGATGTGAAAATTATGCATTTACTGTGCTTTCATAGATATTAATGGGGGCTATTAAAATCTAGAGATTATTTCTTGGTTGGTGGTCTTAGGCCTGGCATTGAATGAAAAAGACTTGAAATAAATTTTAATTTGTAAAAAGAATAAGTCTCTATGTATTGCTTTGTTAAAGTTTAGCAGTTTGCGCACATGATTTTTTGTATTTATTTCACAAAGAACAACAAAAAGACACTAATTTTCCTTAATGTTAGTATTTAATATAAAAAAGAAAATAGAGTGGAGTATAAAGGGATAGAAACAACCCATCTGTCCTTGTGATATTTCCCCTTTAACATCAAATGTTTTGTTTAAAAAGTATAGTTTAAAAATGGAACTGTAAATGTAATGATCTAATTTAAAAATTTAAAGAAGGATTATATTTATGTGCCAGTACATCAGGTTTAGTTATTATGTACCAAATGCTATTATATTTCTGTTGGGAAAACATTTTTTAAAGTTATTTAAAGCATTATAGAATGTAGCAAATCAAGCCATTACTTACACTTTTTGGTGGAGGGGGCAGTGTAAGGAAAATGTGTGGAAAAGACTAATGTTTATGTATAATGATTTCATTATCATATTTCTACTCTCTTTGTCATCCAGGGTAAACTCAAAGGACATGTCATGAATTCCTGAACCACAATAAATCTGTGAATGTCAGACACCGTGTGTGGGTAAAATGGATAATTTTCTGACCTTTAGTAAGCTTTCACTAGAGCAAAGGAAGTCCCTCAACATAATGTTTCCCCACTACAAAATACTGGCAGGAAGCCAAAGTATGCCCTTTGGCAAATCTCCAGTCTGGATAGTTTTCCTGTAGCGAGAAGACATTCATGAATCTGGCTGATGCTGTGAATTTTTTTTTTAAGAGAGCCTTCTGGAAAGACCTTTCCAATGTGTAACCTGCTGAGGGAGACGCAAGAACACATTAATCATGGATTTCTTCAAAAGAAATGTGGGGCTATCCTGCTCTAATTCAACAGGCCCATCTTCCTGCTCAGTGTGAGCCTCAATACTATCACAAAAATGCTGGTAGATAACTTAGGCATGGATCTAGCTGAAAACTAAGGCTATGGTAAAAACAAAAGTACAATTTCTCATCCTCAGAGATAGGGTTTGGCCATGGTTGGCTTCCTTCTGAAGGACAAAACTGATAGTTATGGAAATATGGGAGTAAATATATTGTTTATTATTATTTTCCTAAGTTTATCCAAAATCTCAAATTATTTCTGTCACTGTTTATAATTAGACCCATTGTCTTTTAAAATTATCTCAAAATAGAACGATCTTAGAGAAGTAACGCATGGTTAATTTAGTCCTGATCAACCTTAGAAGTGAAATATGTTTCCCTTTCACCTTTATTTCATCACTTTCCCTACTGTCAATTGGTTTGACACTTTTAAAGAGTAGTAGAAGTTTAATTATTAGCTGTCCAAAAAACTTTTCTGAATATTTTCCTTTTCTCAGGTGGGTATTCAGAACATGATCTCTCCCCTGTCAACACAAAAAGAAACAAAATTAAGGACCTCTCACAAGTGCTTAGGTAATCTTTAAGCCTTTTGGTAGGTTTAGGACATTTCAGAATCACCTTGGTCTTATCAACCAATACAATTGCTGAGATGATTTTCACATGTGCTCATGAATAATCTCCTATCTTTTGAAAATGTCAGAATCAAATAAAAAACACTGAGATCCACAAATGAATTACTGTCCTAGCATAGGCCCACTTCTGGAGAGAATCAGATAAAGTTAAGAATTGCAGTAAAGAATACTAAAGTGTTTTTCTTTTAGGGCTCAGGTGTCTGGGCTGCTGAGACTTGCTAGGACATTTCCAGAAGCTGACCCAAAACCTGTATTTTGGTGTTACCTCCTGCCATTCCGCAAATTTACTCCATCATCCAGACAATTCACACAGCTTGCTCTTCCTTTGTTCAGCGTCATTCCCTCAGCTTTGAGCATGCTCATTAACTTTATCCGAGCCAACTCAACCTTTGGAGACTAGATAAAATGTACCACCTCCCCAAAGCCTTCTGCCCCATCCCAGGTCTAAGAAAGACTCAAGCCTCCCAACTCCTGGGGCACTTTGGATGATTCCAATGGTAGTGACACAATCTGCTTTGCATAGGAATTACTTGTTTGTCTGACTTATAACCACAAGGCAAGTTTCTTGACACTGAGGACCATTTCTCATTTGTGTTTGTATCTCTACAAAATTGAGTACAGATTTCTCAGCCAACATTTGTTGAGAGATTAAAATTTGAAATTATTTTATTTTATTGGTTTCTTTTTAGATTGTTCACTCAGCATATAGAAATGGTACTGATTTTAGTACATTGGTTTTGAATGCTGCAACTTTACTAACATTATCAGTTCTAACAGCTTTTTGGTGGAGTCTTTAGGTTTCTCTTAATGTAAATGTTGGGAATAAAATGATCAGATTTATTCCTTAAACATAAGGAGTCCTGTAGAGAACATGAACTGTTGTCTTGTTTTGCTCCCTTTAATCACTGACTCTTCATTTGTTTACTCATGCTTTTAACAAGCATTCGATTGACTTTTAAGGACGGCACTTAGGGGCTAAAGGGCTTGACAATAAGTGGGAAAATACTGCAATTAAAATTAAGATGATAAAACACACTCTAAATAACATGAATATCGTTCATAATATATTAACAAAGAAGTGAAGCAGGTCCCATGCTGTACCATGCTGTGGCTTTTGCTAATTGCTTCTAGCGTTACTCTGTACCTTGGTGGCTGTTGGAACTCCTTTCTCTTGCATGCCCACTGTGGTGGATGCTGTGCTGTACTGCTCAGGTCTCCCTTCAGGAGTAAAGGACTTATCATCCTGGATGCTGAGAGTGTCTTAAGCAGGCACCCTCAGTTGTGAGTCCTCTTAAGCTATTGTATCTCTTCCCAGAATGACCCCCATCTGATGATTGATGCTGGAATATAAAGGCCTCATTTCTCTTACCACAATTCAGGACAAATCTTAAGCATTAACTCATCTTCAGAACTCCCTGTAGGGTTCTAAGGCTTCCATTGGGACTGCATTGCAGCTCAACTTCTCCTTCTACTCAATCTTGCTTCCTTCCCTCCTCTTCTCTTCTGCAGTTGTTTACTCTCAATAGTACTCCTTAATAATCTCTTGCATGCTACTCTGTGTCTCAGAGTCCACTTCCCCCAGCTACCACCTTGGCTCCCTGCTCCACCCCATGTTACTGTTGCTTTCAATATGAATAGTCATTCTACCAGATTCAGGCCTGCTGAATTCCCTCTAGCCAGCCAAGATGTAACCTTCCCCTAAACTACAGATGGGGGCCTGCCAGATGTTCTAGGTTAGGGAGGCATGAAATGAGCAACCAAGCAGGAATCAGAAACTCAGACCAGCAGCAGACAAGGAAAATACCAGGTGATATCACTTATAAAGGGGAACCCTTGGGATCAAGTAAGGAGTGAAGATTAGGAAAAGGAGGTGGGGAGCCAGATTGTTACTAAAAACATGTGAAGGAAAATACAGCAACAATATTGGTAAGCAATGAGCTTTTATAGGTATGAGGGACCTAATAAGAAGATGATTTCTAAGGTGGTGGTTGTATCCCTTTGCCATGATGGAACAGAACTTGCAATATTAATCAGGATGAATTAATGACAGAAGAAATGATTGGCAAGAGCGGTGATGACCTCTGGGGTGAAGATGTTAAATCAGCAGCCCCTTGTGATTTTTGCTTAGAAGCCAGAAAAGTGTTTCCCCTTCAGGGCATCTAAACTCTTATGGTAAAGAGTAACTGTTGTATGAATGGCCTATAGGTCTTAGGCTGAATCGTGTGAAATTGCCAATATTCAACTGTATTTGACCTCCAAAAATGATAACTTCACGTCATTCCATTTAATAATTTTTATTTATTTATTGTCTGTCTTCCCCAACTAGAATGCAGATATGATTTTGTTCAAAGCTGTGTCACAGTATCCATTACAGTGTCTAGCAAAGTGGGTACTCACAAATTTTCGATGAATTAAATAAATAAATTATGTAGTTCCTAAATATTTCTTGGCCATAATTTACTGTAATCCTTGGGACTTCTTCAATTATAAGTAGTATGACTTCAATTTATATTAGTTAAGCAAAGAAGATAATGTTTTGGCATACACAACTAGAAATTCTAAGGGTACTGGCTTCGGGCACAGCTAGATCCAGGGGCTTGAATAATGTCATAATGATTTGGTGTCTTGCCATTGTTTGACTGATTTTTTTTTTTCTGAGTTAACAGTATCCTCAGGCAGGTTCTCTCAATTTGCCAAGTGTCTCCAGGCTTACAGTCATTAGCTCAGCAAACCCCAGAGAAAATAAAAGTGGCTCTTTCCCAGTAGTTCAAATAGAAACTCCTAACTTTGACTCTCACAGAATCTACTTTGGCAATGTCTGAGGAGCCAAGGCGGGAGGTCAGATTCACCTCAGTCAATTGGACTGAGACTGGGAGAGATGGTGATTCTCTGAAAGAGAATCTTAGTGCTGTTCCCAAAATAATAATTACAATAATAGCTGACAATTAAACACTTATTTCCCAGACACTATTCAAAAGGCAATACCCTCAGAAACCCTTTAAGGGAAGCACTATTATTATGTTTATTTTATACATGAGTACACTGAAGTATACAGAGGCTAAGTAATTTGCTAAAATTCACATAGCTGGGAAGATAGAGCTAGAATGGAAACATTCACAGTCCCACTGCCCGCCCATTCCCTTAACCACTACACTCTGCTACCTGAAAAGGAGTTTGGGGGTAAAGAAAAACATGGATGTTCACTGTACTTAGCTCATTTATTTACAGAGCCAATGGTCTGGTAGCATCTAACTCATGATGGCAAATGGAGAGTTACTGGTTCATCTGTGGTCTGGGCATTGCCAGGGTGGGTTTTCTCTGGCAACCCAGAAGTTGCTTCCTGGCTGGTGAGAAAGTGATTTCTCACAATCATAGCTTCTTGTTTTATGGTTTCCTCCCACATCTCTCTCACATGATGACTTCTATCAAGTCAATTTGTTCTATTAAAAAATAATTTTTAGAGCATCTTCAGCATACTCAAAGGAGAACACTCGGTGGATGTTTAAAAATGTTGTGAAATCATAATCTGAGTTATTATATTTAGGTAGCTTCTAGCTTTGACATTCCAACAGTTTGGGGATATATTTGTGTATTGGATGCATGAGTTGATTCCCTGATAAATGCCACATCTGTCTTTTCTCCCTCCAGTTCCTTACCCATCTCCTTGAGGATAATTTATCAAAGTTTACTTCTAACAGGTATGGAGTGGTGACGGCTCAGGTGTTCTATTTTCCCTTCACAATGGTGGATGGTGCTTTGTTGAAGAACGCTCTGGGGAGCTAGAGAAAACAGGCCTGAAAATCCGTCCCCTTGCCTGGGGTAGATGAGGCTTGTCTTTGGGATAGAATGTCTCATCAGGTTTATTTCCTGTAAAATGGGAGTGAAATCAGATGAAGGATTTTGGTAAGGATTCTTCCCAGTAGGGCTCCTGCTTGGCTGATTGACGTACTCACAGTTGTTGGAGTGGTTGTAATCTCTGCTTCTCTCTGCACATTTGCTCTTGTCTCCTCTCTGCAGGCTAAGATCCTCTGCAGCTTCTTAGTTTCTGTTTTCTTATGACTTCAGCTCTGTCTTGCCCTGGGCTGCCTCTAGGCCAGGCTTTCCATGACCTGATGGCTCAGGTGCTTATCATGACCAAGTGATTCATTTTATTTAATTCAAAGTCACTAAGTCTGTTACTGGTCCATTTCAGGTTATAGATGAGTTCAATGTTAGATCAATGAACTTCCCTCATCCTGCAAGCTGTGACCAGAGGGCAGAATCATGTGGTCCTAACATGAACCTAGGATCACTCCTTCAGCAGAGGCTTTGTGGGGAGAGCAATTTCAAGGAAAGAGCATGGAAATAATAAATATATTGGCTACCTTATCCAAAATAGTCCCATGTTATAAAGCAAAGTGATTTCTTAACTGGTATATCCACAGGGAAAATTCAATGAGTGCCAGTTTTCTTGTTTGTTTGTAGGTCACACTTAACACAGAAGTGATTTCTGAATTCTCATAAACTATAGTCATAGGAGTTTTTATAATGAAAGCTGGTTTGTTTTCTGCTTCTTCAAAAATGATAACCTGGGTATGCCATACAGATAGCTTTCTACTAATCAGAACACTGAATTATTCCTCAGTACCTATTCAAACTGCAAACGAGATTTTCCTGCATTTGGTCATTGCATATAACTTCACAAAATAGAAAAACAGAACATAAGAATAATAATTTTAATTGCTAAGTCAATTAAAGAGGAGGGAACCCCGCTTGGCAACAATTAAAAAGTCACATAATACCAAGTACTAGTGAGGATGTGAGAATTCTCCTGGACTGCAAGGTGGGCAGGAGGGGCTAGTTCAGACATTCTAGAGAACAAAATGTGAATATGTATTGAAAAATAAGTATGTGAATATGTAGTAAAATAAGTATTCCTGGGTCTTCCCCATGACCCACTAGTCTAACTCTCAGAATTAGACCCAAGAGAAATTCTTCCATTGACTAATGAATTTATATATGAAAATGTTCAGTGCAATGTGACTTCTGGTAGCTGGGACTGGTGATGGCTAGATGTCCATCACTGGAAGTAATAGATAAGAAAAATATTGTGATGCATTCTGCTACATAATCAGAGGCAGTAGCTTAAAGTAATAAACTGGATTCATATAAAGAAGCATGGCTAGATCTTACTAAGACTATTGAGGGAAAAAGTAACAGAAGGAGAGCTTAGTGCAATATTACTTATGTAAATTAGAAACAGGTACTGCACAAAACAACACACTAAATACTTCAAGGATACATGGATATTCAAGGACATATAGTAACAATTAAAGGGGCAGCCTATGGGAGGGAGGGTAGCGGGAGTGAGGATGAAAGATGAAGAGAGAAAATAATCAAACACAATTTTAAAAAAGAGAGCAGGCTTGGCAGAGCCAGATGATAATACTGAATCACAAACTGAGTAATATAATTATCAGCATTCTACACCTGAGGTCCAAGAAGACAATGAGAAAAGTAGAAGGGGGAAATGTTTAGCTGGGTTAGTAGGAAAGCCCACTTATGACTGGGGGAAAAGGTAGAACCCAGTGACCCCAGGCTCTGAGTTATTTTTCCTCTTCGTGCCCACCTCTTAGTCTGATGCTGAATCCTCTGGGACAAAGGTTCCCTGGTTCTTGTTACCCTAGCTTTCAGGCGTTTGAGATAGAGGGGAAGAAAAATGGAGGCCCACTGAAATAGTGATGATGAGGCCGGGCGCGGTGGCTCACGCCTGTAATCCCAGCACTTTGGGACGCTGAGGTGGGCGGATCACGAGGTCAGGAGATCGAGACCATCCTGGCTAACACAGTGAAACCCCGTCTCTACTAAAAATACAAAAAATTAGTCGGGCGTGGTGGCGGGCGCCTGTAGTCCCAGCTACTCGGGAGGCTGAGGCAGGAGAATGGCGTGAACCTGGGAGGCGGAGCTTGCAGTGAGCCGAGATAGCGCCACTGCACTCCAGCCTGGGCGAGAGAGCGAGACTGTGTCTCAAAAAAAAAAAAAAAAAAAAAAAAAGAAAGAAAAAAAAAGAAAAAGTGATGATGAGATACGGGTGAAATGAGGTAAGTCCTGGGCTGTAATTCAGGCCTCTAGATGAAAACCAGGAGGAAGTGGCTCTAGTTTTGCGATTTGTGTCTCTTTTGGTCCTCAGTGTCCTCATTACAAAAGTGAGATGGTCTAATCAAAGCTCCATTCCAGGCCCGTTCATCTGTGACTCTCCTCTTAGAAGCTCATTGCCGAAAAAAGCGTTGTGTGGAAAAATGGTGCTCAGAAAGCAGTAACCTCTTTTCACTTGTGGGCTGACTGAGGAAACAGCCAGCCGCCCACCATGACCCAGGGCAAAGTGCACAGGAGCTCCGTCCCAGTTGCCTTCCTGTTAGATAGAGGAGTCAAGCAAACACACTTGCTCTAATCCTTTAAAAAAATTCCTCCTTGGATTCCTAAGGAAATGTGATGTGACGAGATAACAGATAAAACTGGCACGTGTGAAGATGCCATTCTGGGGCTGTTTTGTCATTCTTCCAGGTGATTAATCGTCCAGGATAATCTGAAGAATAGGAAATAGTATAGACTTAGACTTTGTATAGAAATCATTGAAAGCTCCTCTTAAAAGATTCAAACTACAAAAAGCAAGAACATTCTAAAACAAAGAATATTTTATTAGGAAAATATTGGAACTTCCCCCTCCGTCTTATTTCTCCTAAATATTTCCACTTTCTTCCCAGGACTTTAATATCTTTTGCCTAAGCAGACATAGGAATTTATGATATAAGCCAAAGCTTTAAGGCTAAATAAAAATGGTATTAACACGCATTGCCTCCTTTTCTGAAAGCTTCAGCTGTAAGCTTCTGTCCGAAGAGAGCAGTGTGCTCCTCCTCCACCATCCACAGCAATGGATTTCATCAAGTCAAGTCTATCAAGGGGTTACACTCAATGGGTAGCATGACCATGTTGCCCAAACAGGAGAAAAAAGGTCTTTGAATCTCAATGCTGAATTGTACATCTGCACTCTGCCTGATGAAGCAACTTCCTGATTAATTTTTCAGAATGTTTTTGCATTTTCTGCCGAATGTCAGAGGTGTCTTCTCTGTGGAGTCAGCACTCTGTGGCACGTTGGAGGGTCCGCGGTCAGATGGGCTGCTCTTTCCCCAAGGAAGATCCACCTTTCTATTGGTGATTACTGCAAAAGACCAGATGTTTTCCTTTAACCTCCCATTGGTTCTAATCTCCCTCAATCTTTGATCCCAACCCCACTTGAAAGTAACCCTTCATTTAGCTCCTCTTGGGTGGTCCTCAGTGGAGATTTAGTTAATTCTAACTTCTCGTACAGTCTTTCCCCA